>NC_000002.12:111429011-111732042 GCF_000001405.40 Homo sapiens
CCAAGGTTAATGGAGATCTTGGGGTCACAGTTTACAGGCCACGATCAGGGTGGGTGTGGAAAGAGGCTTCCAGATGAAGCCTGACGTTTCTCTCAAATGTCAGTCTGCCCACACTGACTCTACAGCAATCTGGAGAGGTATGAGAAGCAGCAAGACAAGCGTGGCTGAGTTATGAGAGAGTCAAGCCCAACACACATTTAAACATGTCAGATGAGCTGTGTGGACGTGCCAGGGTTCCCTCAAACACTATTCGATATCCTTTCAATCAGCGTTTAAAGATAGCTAATAAGCAAACAATTCTGTTTTCTTTAGTTTTGCTTTTAATGAAGGACAAGGGATTAAGACACACAGAGACTGGCCAGACAAATGGGAAACCGACCAGACCAGCCCATGACCAAAATATCACAGGCAGACCACCCGCAAATGCAGAGGCCTCAGAGTCCACAGTGGGCAGTTGGAACCAGGCCCCAGGGAATCTTTCAGCTGCATTCCGGCTGTGATCGGCGGGCAACAGGTAGAGGTGCTGGAGGGGGATGAGTCGTGATTTTCAGTGTCTGTCATATTCGATCAAGTGTGTCATAGAGCTTCCTGTTTCATCTCCCAGTTATTCTGAAACAAAAACATGCATGAAAAACACAGGTCACTGCCAACCACACTGACAGTCGCTCTAGTACATGGAAACTGAAAAGGGAAAGACATATCATGAATGCCACAATAAGCCAGAGAATCAAATTTATCAGCATCTATTCAAATATTGGCAAGCAACAAACATTGCTGGCGGCAATGGTGGTGCGGGACATGGGGTGTCCACATAAACAGAATTCAGAAGAGACTGAAAAGGCAGATGTTCCCAAAAGCCTGCTGCTTTGTTTGGGGCCAGCCTGTGTGTTTATTGAAAAGTTGATTCAGTTCTGACTTCCTGGTCAGGGTCTGACTCCTGATGGGCCCTGAGGCTCTTCCCCTACATGCCCCTGTTGACTTGGATGAAGAGTCACACAAGGACTTACAGGATGGCACAGGTGTTCGCCCAGGTGGTGCCCTGCACTCCCCTCTCCAAAGGCCCAAAGAGACCCAATGAGAGATCCCCGTGGAATTCCAGCCCAATGAGGTCCTGAGACTCCCCGGGAGACATGGCCTCCCAGGTGCATCAAATAATCACAATACACCTGGGCCTAGCAGCCTCGGTGAGGTAGAGGGAAGGGTGGATAAGAAGTGGGGCCCCTGACCAAGCAAAGGCCCTGAGGACAGCACAGGACTGACAGCAGCTCCAGAAAGACTGTGATTCTGTTAATAACTGCTCTGCCGCTTGAGACCAGCATGGTCTGGCTCACTGTTTGCAGAAAATCATTCTCAGTCTCCCAAACAAGTGAAAGGATACTTCCAAAGACAGACAGAGGGACGGTAGAATCAGAAATACAGATGGCACCATCTTCCCAAAGTCCATACTGTAGCCCCACAAAACCAACTTCATGCTTAAATCTGCTGCTCAGACACACTTTGGGGAGAAAGCAGTTTTTCCAGGAGTGAGCTGGAGACAGCACTTCCATGGGAGGGAGGTCAAATCCAAGACTACCCGCTATTTCCAGCCATATTCACTATGGATGAAGAAGGGATGGCTCTACCCATGACCGTGCAAAGCTTCCTTGGGAACCCTGCTGTCCCTTCCACATGCAACCTGTCCAAGATGCAACCCTCAGTTCACCATGAAAACCCACTGGCCCTGCCGCTCCCCATTTCCTTTGGTTAATATTAGGCACAAATTTTTCTGTAAAATGAGATGAAGGCATGTGATTTTGGAAAAGCTTCATCCTTCCTCTTGAGATTCATTCACAAGATACAGTAGCACACAAAATACCCAGAGAAGTTAAGAAATAAGAAAGCTGTTTAAATTATTGTGCACTTCCCAAACATATATAGGGCATAACATTTTTTGCACACTGGCCTTTGCTGGCAGGGCTCTGCTGAGTGGTGTTAGGAAATGTGGCCGAAGGCAGGCTGCCCAGCCTGCAGGGCCTGGCGGAGCTCTCCTCCTCCTAGGGTCTCTTGCAGTGCTGCAGGCCAGGGAATAAAGCTTCTCCTGACCCCGTAGCCCTGGCTGCCAGGACATGTGGTGATTATGACAGTCTCTATTTATCTTTTGAAACTCTGTATTGTTTCCCCCCACCCCCAGTATCTTTCCCAATGTCTTGTACAAGTGAGTTAACGGATCCATATAAACTCCTACAGTCTTATCTGTTTTTTCCTTAAAGGCCTCATTGGCTAGTGACAGTGAAATACCGAGCTTCCTGAGCCTTGGCGAACCTGGCCCCATGATTCCTACACATTCTGGGAAGAACACTGCCCAGATGAATCTGTTGGGAAAGCCAGCTTCCCGTTTTGAGTCCTATGAGCTAGCATTTTCTAATGTGGCTTAAAGTCCAGCATCTGGGCCCAGGATTTCATACGCAGTGTCTTCCTGGGTGGGCAAAGAGAAACAGGAACTAAGTAATGCATCAGTGGCCTGTAGGGGTGGAAGGGGAAACCTGGTTTCTTTAGTTTCATCACTGAAATAGAGAGGTGGTTTACCAACCCGTGCCCCTCACCAGTTACCCCCACTTTTGAGTGCAATGAAAAACCAAAATGTAATAGCCCAGGAGGGCTACAGTATGGAACACCCAACCATGTGGACCTTGGGCCAAAGTCACAGAGTGAGAGGTGGCCGGCCCTTACGGATCATCCAACCAACCCTTCACCTTGCAGGTGAAGAAAGCAAGGCTCACCGAAAAAGGAAGTTGGCAACCTTCCCAAGGTCACTCTGGATGGGACACAGCTGGGACCAGGACCTGGGTCTCTCCTACCTCTCCTACCTTTGGCTTCTGGCCAAAGCTGAGAAGACCCTGAATTCCAGTTCTCCACTGAAAGGCCTTGTCTGGGAAGTTTTGCATGGATGAATCAACTCCATGTTGGCCTGGCTGTCTAGTTATCACTGAATAAACCCACGACAGTTCATCTGAGAACTAAAAGTTTTGCCCCTAATTCAGGGCCGATCACACACATGGCTTCCTAGATGCCAGTGTACACTGGGAGTGGGTGGAGACCACCAGCGCCACTCCGGTGTTGAGGCAACCCTGAAGAAGCATCTAGTCACAGACAGGGCCACTCTTACTCTTTGGCTTGGCTGACCTGCTGTTCCTGCAGGTGTCTAATATTGATGAGCCGCCAGGTAGGTCTCCCCACTGTGGGTACAAAACCTCACTTCCCCCCAGATCTGAGAGATGGCCTCAGGGTCACACACATCACCCTGAATAGAAGCCCTCATCAGGGGCCCCAAATGCAGCTCAGGCAACCTTCAGGAAGCTCCCCAGCTAGCTCCCAAATCATGCTCTTTCTCTTCCCGATAACAGACAGAAGGCTGCTGGCATGGTAAACTGACAAAGGGAGAGAAGCAGTGGCACAGATGCATACCCCCAGTCCCACCCCCAAGGCAGGCTGTTTTGCCCCTGAAGTTGAACCATCCAAGCCTCTACTTTCTGTGCAGTAAGTCTCAAGGTAGGAGGAAGTGAAGACCACAAGCTTCGATTTGCTGTGACATCCAAGGAACTGCCAGTACCTCACTGCTGAGAGCCCAAGCCAGAGCTTCCAGCCAGCCTCATGCAAAAACACACTTGAGCTTCCTCTGCCCCATTGGCAGCACCGAGGTCTTCCTCAATGCATAGAAAAGGGACGAGTGAGGAACTCACACCCTGTCCATTCTTGACTCACACCAGATTCTAACAGTATAGGAAGCCAACTTTTTGAGATTTCAAAAGAATTGCCAAGGAGGATGGAGCCTGCTCAGTAACTACCAAACTGTTCAGCTCTCAAGAGACCACTGTTTTTATTTTTCAGAATATTAAAACCTAGACCGCACACTCAGGAAATGTATATTGCTTATCACAGACTAATTTTAGGGAGATATGAGATGGGTTCTTTGTATAAATCAGACTCGTGTGCTGCTAGAGCTGTCAGGGCAGGGGAGCCAGGCAGCAGCACTTGAGTCCCCCTGCCCTTGTCTCTGACAGAGGCTCCCGCGTCTAGAGCTTCAGCCACGTATCTCTGAGCAGACTTAGCACCTTTTCAAGGGGACCCCCGCTGAGAAGCAGTTTCTGCAAAGTGCTCCACACGTCATTACAGACCTACACTTGGTCAGGAAGATTCTGTGTCTTTGAGTGGGGACTTTCAATACCCTCGTCAGCAGAGTGTGACAGTGCCAGGACACACACCCGGGTCTCCTGGCCACCATTTACCAAGGATGTACCACAGGCCAGCTACAGCTCCCCAGCCAAGCTTTCCTTCAAACATCTCCCCAGCCCTCTCAGGTTGGTGCTATTGGGATCATCTCTCTCACTTAGGAAGGACCGGAGCTCAAGGGAGTTCAACAAATAGCAGGGAAATAGAGGCACACAGCCTTCCATGCAGCAAACTGATGGTGAGGCTCTGCTGCCTGCCAGGATACTCAGCAGCTCCTTCAAACATCTGACCCCCTGAGGTCTTCCAGGCTCTCTCACTTTTGGTTACAGAGAGTGTCCTGAGCAGCACAAAGTCAGACATAGCCGGGTCCACGCACATTTGTGTCTTTCCACAGGGTCAGACTTTTACTGATGCTATTTCAATCACAAAAGCCACAAGTTACATGGAGTTCCCAAGGAAGTGATTCTCCTTAGTACGTCCTGTTCAACTGGTAGTCAGAGCTGTGAGCACTCAGGCTCAAGCCACTCTGCAAGTCAGTCAATATTGCAAACCATACACAGCAGTGTCCTTAACTTAATCAATATATAAATGCTATATTAAACATTCCACATGGAACAGTAACATTTAACATCGAGAGAAAGGGGATAACAGAGCATAAGTGTGGCTTTGAAAAAAAAAAGAGTGAGAAGGGGATAGAAGAAAGGGTTAATGAGCCAATCCAATGAGAGCAACGTGGATGAGAGTGTCCTGGCCTGTTCCGGACAGACATCAAGAGTCTTTGATGTGGGCAGAGTCTTTGGCAGCAGATGCCGGGTGCTGATCACGAGCAACAACAGAGCAAGGCTCTGTTAAGATGACCATCTCAAGCTGGTGAAATCCTGCTCTTCTTATAGCCCTGAGACCTCTGGCAAGGACTGATAGTAGAAGAGGGCTGGTGATGTCCCTGTCTGGTTGGGTGTGGTCTTTATTGATTAGGTGGCCATCTGTTCCCTGTTGGCATGATGCCTTTTGACATGTAAGATGGAGTCTTTTTCTAAGATGGTGTCACTTATGTCAAGAGTGCTCTATATAGGGAAGAACCTATGACAGCTCCCTTAGTTTATAATAAAGGCGGAAATTGTCAAGGGGCAGCAACCCAAGGGTTGGCCCTTGGTAGATTGTTTCCTAGTCTAGTGATACCATACACTACAGCTTGACCCTTTCACTATCTGTAAAATACAACCCATTTTTCAGAGAACCAAACCTCAAAAACATTTTAGCCACTTTATAGTCTGATGGACATGGTAAAAGGCCAAGATGACAGGTAACCTTGCTGTGCAGTTACTGAGAAATGCAAAAGGCCTTCTGAGAGGCTGGTGTGGATTTTAAGTCTGTGGTAGGACACACAAAGGGACATTAGGAAAAAAGTGGAGACAACTTGCAGACTCCAGTAGACACGGTTTTTAGGCATTTCAAGCACCCTGGCTCTAGGCTGCGGTTCTCAATGGGAGTCTCAGCACTGGCAGCATCTCATTACCTGAGAGTTGTTAGAAATGCAAATTCTCCGGCCTCACCTCACATATTCTAAGAAGGAAACCCTGGGGCTGGGGCCTAGGAATGTGTGTTTCACAGTGCCCAGGTGATTCAGATACACACAACCACCAGTGGCAAGTGATATCTGCTCCTAGTGACACTCTTGTATGCAGGGCCATGGGTGACTGCAGGTTGGCTATGCGGCTGGCTACTGATGTTCACACTTAGTCAACTGTACCCAAGCTACTTGCCGGACGCTCTCTCCTGAGATCCCGACTGGGGGCGGAAAGAGCAAGCAGCTCAGAAGCCATCCAGAATTTTCAACTCATTTTTGGGGTGACCTGGGGAGAAATGTTGGCATGCTTCATCCCTTAATCTTCTTTTCCAGATGTTGCTCATCTGCACAGCGTGGGACTGAGCACTGTGGGATATTCAATCTGCACCAGTGTTCTCTCCCTAAACATCAAATGTCTCTTCTAGCCATGCTCCACCCCTGCTCCTATCCCCCTTGCCTTCCATCCTTCAGCTCATTTTGCCTGCACAGAACACGACAACCATGAATTCTGCTGCATCTCTCTCAAATAGGAGAACAGAAGTGTTTTCACCAGCTCAACCCTCCTCACTGCAACCCTGTGCAAAACACCACATCCCCCACTCCCACTTTCAGGCTCTGCTCACACCGACCTCTGTGCCCAGGTAGAGAGCACCAGCAAAAGGCTCACAACAACACAGGTAGGAGGCACTAGACAACCAGGCCTCCCAAAAAAGTTGAAAAAAAAAAATTGTTTGTTTATCATTTTAAAAAAACTAACCTCATACAGGAAGTATGAGAAGCAGAAGAAGAAGAAGAAAAAAACCCAGGCTAAAATACTGGAAATGTCCACATTTGTTACAGATAAAATATGTGTTTCTCAGTTTCCATATTCAACTTTGCAGGGACGGTGGGAACAGGTAGGGTAGGGCACTGCGGGGGGGTGGGGACTTAGGATGGATGGGGATCAAATAAAAAAGGTGACTGTGAGTACATGAGGCACAGGCTTGCCAGATGTGGGGCAGGACCACGACCCCAATCAGGGCCCTCTCTGCAGGTGTGGCTGTCCCACCCAGACTTGGAGAAGGGGATGCCTAAAACAGAAACTGTTATCCGAGATCCTCCTACTCACCTGCCTCTCTGGCCCCAGGTCCTGCCCTCGTGTGTGTTTCAGGTGAAGAAGCCAGAGTTACAAAATCATGATCACCTCCCTCCAATAGCCCTTCCAGACCTGCAGCCCCAGCAGCAGTCAGCTATGGAGACACCGCCACCCAGGCCTTCCTTGGAAGCCTGAGGCCGTGCAGACCTTCAGGACAGCAAGCCCAAACGGGCGGACTTGCTTTGGTGTGATGGACACAGACACGAGGCCACTGGAGGCAGACAGGAGTCAGATCTGATGCCTGACATGGAGCCAGGTGCCCTCGGGGAAATGTGGCTCAACTGGATTTTTTTAAATGGGGCTGGAGGACTCACAACCTCCACATGAGGATTAGAGTGGAGAAAAACAGTGAGAATAAAGAGTATGTCCTCTTTCATAGAACCAATCAGTAGGAGAGAAGGAAATAGGAATTCTCCCTTCTCATAATAAAAAAATAAATGCAAACACTGTATAACGTGCACACATTAAAAAGATATCAACTGAAGGATTTTAAGTCATTGCGATTGGTGTCAAAGAAAGCAATTGGTATGAGAGAATGAACGAACGAAAGAAAGAGAGAAAAAAAGAGAAAAACTGTACACCAAAATCTCAAAATAGAACCAAAACCTGCAAATCATACTCAGGAGTCTATTGTGAACCCATATTTCAGCATGCTGTTGAAAAGGTTAATAATTTTCCTACCGAAACTGAATGTGGGTTGTGAAAGAACATTAAAATGAAGAAAATTTCCCCGTGGCTGCTATTATATTATCACCAAAGCCATCAAGTTTCAGTTTGAGTTATTTGTATTTATTTGTGAAAACAAAGATTAGATAAGTAGAAACATAAACCTCATCCTAATTATTGTCCTGGAGGATCTGATTTTTAAGACCAAAAAAATAAGACCATCACACACACAGAGGCAACACAAGGTATGAGAAGTTACAACAGCAGAGGCAAGGGAGAGGAGGCTGTTATCTCGTTCTATCATTTGAAAAAAATGTATTGTCTCATGTAAAACATTAATAGTTGCTTACAGTCTGCGAAGATAATATGAGAGTCAATATGTACTTTTAGCTGTTGACATTTTTGTCAACTATATACCCAGGTGGAGAACTTTTCTTTTAAACTGCAAACTAGAATTTTTGTTTTACACTTGCAAAAGTGTAGTAAAAGCCATACAATTCAATGTTGAACATTGGGGTGGTGGGGGAAATGGAATTTAAATGCTGCTTTAAACGATCAAAACAAGAGCTTTGGGACATTTACAACCAAGTGGGGTCTAGAGAAAACACAATGTTTAGGTGCAGAGCTGGCTCTTATTTCAAATTTGTCTCAGATGCCCAGGGGGCAGCTTGTTTTCTGAAGTTTTAAAAGAAATCCAAAGATGAAATAGTTAATCAGAAACAATGGGTAAGCAGAGACTTCATGTATTTCCATCACAACATAAGCATCAGAATGAAAAAAAAAAAAAAAACATGCAAAAAAGAGCTTCAGTGGTCTCACATCACCGAACAAACTGTTTTTCTACCTATTTTGTGTTGCTGGCTTTTGTTATCAGCCCAATCGGCAAATTGTGGCCAATTTTGTCATGGTTTGAGCAGACATTTTGTTCCCAAACTGCTTTCAACATTTTAGCTACCAAATACAGTTTATGAGAAAATGAACAAGCCACAATACAAACAGAAAAGGTACCTTTTCTTACCAAATTAACCCCCTTTAAGCTTAAAATGCAAAAGTTTTTTTTTAATGCAAAAAAAAAGGAATTCTAGTAAATTCAAATTCTGAAACAACCTCATCAGTTTTTTCCTGGAAAAAGGATAATTAATGATTAACCTACTGATGGATTTTGAAACCAACTACACGACATTCCCTGATTCCGACCACCATGACACCATGAAACTAGTTTTTAATGACACAGTATGTAAATGCTATTTTGCAAAAACACACACCAAATATTGTTTGAAGATGCAGATCACGAGGCTCAAGGAGAACAGTAGAACTATGTTAAAGTAAAGTAATCGGTTAAGCAGTTATTTACTACTGAAAATAAGTGACACCCACGTAGTTCATGTTATATATTAATATTGAAACCAAATGACAGTCTAATACCGCAAATCATTTCATAAAAAAAAGAATGAAACTAGTTAAAATTAAAACACAGGGTTTTATTTTATAAAGCATTAAATATTCAGATCAAAACGGTAGAAAGCTGACTTGGCTTTTAAAATATTTGTTTTGCTGAATTTCAACAACAGATTGAAAATGAAAAAAAAAAAAGAATGAAAGATCTCTCCGTAAAAATTTAAGAATCACTACTGAGAAGAAAAGCAGAATTTCAGACAGAGGCTTGAAGAAAACTTCTGTTTGTAATCTTCCCTCATATTTGAAGACACAGCAATATGTACAACATTTTTAGCCTTTTAAAATACCAGCATGCCCACACACTGTCTCAGATTAAAACAAGGAGAAAATGACACATTCTGAAACCATTTTCTAAAGCTTCTTTTCCTGATAACAGTGAGGCGCTTACAATCAAATTAATGAGTTTCTAAAAAGCCCAAACAACTCTCCATAAAGAAACAGAATTGTTCATAACAGCATGCAGATATTTCTAGATTTTTCAGACAACACTTTGAGCATTAGTTCTTGCTACTTACTTTGGAAGATGTTTTTAAACATCTATATTAGAAAGAAATACTACTCAGTGCTTTGCTTTGTTAAATTGAGGAACACTCTGAAAAACACCAATAGAGTCAGCCCAGTATTTCCCTCATTTCAATTTAAAAATTAGTTAACTCTTCCCCACACTCCTTGCACACATATGTATTCTCACAATTTATTTATACTTGAAAATTCTTAAAGTAGTGAAGAAAGGAAACACCCACAGAAAATAAGTCATCATTTCTTCTGAAAGTGGATTTCTTCATAAAACATAAACCAGCAAATAAACAGTGAAAAGAACTAAAAGCAAATAACAAAACTCAGTAAGAACACTGAAAAATACATATTGACTGATAGAAAAGTTAGCACAGGACATTTTAAATCATTGAGAAGAATAGGGACATTTGTGGTCAGTTTAAAAGATTCTCAGTGAAAGGTTGGCATTGCTTCTGGGCAAGCTGAACTGATGAGAGCACCAAGGTAATAACATCTTCCATTCAAGATAATGTGTTATGTTGTTTAACACCGTATCTAAAACATGTGACTCAGAATTCTTACTTCACTTTTTTATATTTCAATTTTTTCAGTATTATAGGATTCTTCTGGTACTTTAAAGCAAGTAGCCTGATTTATATAAGACAACAGCATTTAAAAACAGACAAAACAGCCTTGAAAAAAAAAAACATGACGATTAAAGATGACAGTGGATAAGGAGACCGTGGTAATCACCTAATTTGTTACTTTCAGACATTTTCTGTATGAGAATTTTACTCTGCAATACCTGCCCCTATCTTCATGCAGCATAACTGAATGTTCACATTCAGAAAAAGCCTGACCTTAACTAGTACTTGCCACTCTTTTAAACCACATATCCTCTTCCCCCGATGTAAGACTTGGGAAATGAGGGTGATTTTAGTCATCTGGAAAGAGTGAAACAGGACATGGTCTTGAAGCACTTTCTTCAGAACCGTTGTCATTTTAACTTTGTTTTACCACAACAGAAAAGGCCGTGCCCACGGAACAAATTCAAGTTCACCCTCAATTGTATCTGTAACTCTGGAATTTCTTAAAAGCAGACTGGCACAGCACAAAAGCTTTCCTTAAATAGTCAAAGCATTAAGAAAAAAAATCCCACTTTTCTTTTGCAAGTATATGAATTAAAATGTGAACTCTTATATATTAAAAATGAATGTTTTTAGCACAATTACTTCACAGGCAACCAGCTAATTTTTTCTTCCTCTTTTTCACAATATGCATTTGTTAAAACACCAAGATTTTTTTTTAAACTCTGTTACATTTACAGGCATTCCTAAGTGTAAGCAAAATATACTTTTCCTCCCATTTACCATTTTATTTGAAGCCAATCTGTCATGTATAAAATGATGACAATTTTGTTAAAACAATCTGGCTTTAGAGGTTAGGGCTAGCTCAAATGTAGATTTAGAAAATTGAGCTTTTTCTCTTTTAAAAGCAATGAATAATTTACCAAAATCTAGAAATAACTGCAACTGGAGGGGGGAAAGTCAGACAAGAATGAAAGAAGCCAAGGAACTCAGAATTCTTGCCCCGGAAATGAGGGACTCTTGCACTTCATTTTCTGTTGTCCACTAAATAAATAAATAAATAAATAAATAAAAATTGATTTCTAGTTATAAAATTAAATGTGTAACAAGTTTAAGAAATTTACAATATGTTAGATACAAATATATATAAGTGAGCTTAGAAAGGTAAATTGCATTTCTTAGAGCATAAATCCAGCCCCCTGTGCTAATGCTATTGTGAGTTGACAAGACAGATACAGACACTGGATCTACACCACTGAAAACAGGATGATTTTGGTTGTAAACTTGGATTAGTGCGAAACCATTCTCTTCTGACAGGGTCTGTCGGCACAATTGAAAGGCATAGTCGACACCGGTGGACCATGGAGAGTGGAATGGATTTCTGATAGTCACCTAAAACCTTTCACTGATGTTGGCTTGAAAGCTGCTTAATTAGCTGTAGGCTGCCAACCAATCTCCTTATCAAAGCCAGCTGAAAACAAAACTGAGAGAAACAGCTTGTGGTTTCGCAAAAATGTATTTACATGAAGTATATTTTAAAGGGAGTTTGATCATTAGGTACGATGTCATCTGTGATGTGCGGTGGGTTTGACATTTAAAGATGTCACAGGTTGTCAGATTCATCTCCAGTCTATACTTAGTTGAGATGTAACAACTTCTGCTAGCAGATCTTGTTCTGTTGATTTCCAGCCTAGAAATCTGAAAAGATTTAACTCTTTTTTTTTTTTTTTTTTTTGAGACGGAGTCTCACTCTGTCACCCAGGCTGGAGTGCAATAGCGCGATCTCGGCTCACCGCAACCTCTGCCTCCCAGGTTCAAGCAATTCTCCTGTCTCAGCCTCCTGAGTAGCTGGGATTACAGGCATCCACCACCACGCCCGGCTAATTTTTGTATTTTTTAGTAGAGACGGGGTCTCACCACGTTGGCTAGGGTGGTCTCGCACTCCTGACCTCAGGTGATCCGCCCGCCTCGGCCTCCCAAAGTGCTGGGATTACAGGCTTGAGCCACCACCCCTGGCTGAAAAGATTTAACTGTTATTTACTTCATGCCAATCCTTCTCATGTCCTCTCACCTCCTTACCCATGATCTATTAAAAAGGAAGTGAAGTGGTGGGTGACACGTGGAACATAAGCCTATTTTTGTACCTAGTCCCAAGGATGGTGACAGAGGCAAAAATACCGCCGTGAACACAGGCCAGGCAGAGAGAGTTGCCGATAGGTGTGTGCTTCCTAAAATCAAGAAGGATCCACATCTTTCTAGCCCGTTATTTCACTGCGATTTGTATTGAAAAGAACATTCTGACAAGACGGGATTTCCTTCAGTTAACACCTAAAAATTGTCGAAACCAAGGAAAACCCAGAGTGAAAGCAAACGTTCTACCTCGTCGAAAGCTATCTTGATAGAAGTCATACCAAAGCAGCAGCAAAAGATCCCAGATAAATGTCGACCTTCAGGTATCCTCAACCAGGAACGTGGTTCGGTAGTTTTGTCAGTGTGTTTAGCCATCAAGATTTAATGCTTTATATTTTATCAAGAGATGGAGACATGAATCACTACCATTTAACTGTTACAAGAATGACGTCTGGTGAATGTTTAGTCATCCATTCACTCTTTTCCAAATGTCACTTTCTGTCTTGCCTAATTCGTTGGAAATGAAAATTAAGCTCTAAAAGAGAAATTAAGACAAACCAGAACAGACCCAAGTGAAATCAGCACTCTGTCACCGATAACACCCCTGAACCACAGAACCTCAGCAACAGGACCGCACAGATCTCTCAAACAGAAAGGGAAATGGTCAGTAAAATTACAGGAAAAAAAAGGTTCATTCAACTTCGAAACTTTGTTACTTATGACCCTTCTTCCACCTTAATTCATATGGCAGAGGTCAAGGGGTATTAGTCCCAGGATATGAATGCAGTGTGATGTGCAGTTAGCAACATAGTTTTTAAAGGGTAATAGAAAAAAAAGCTTTATAAAACTGCGCTACTCATCAATTATTTTCCATAGTTTGCTTTAAAAAGGCCTTCTTCCCAAACCCAATTATTCCATTGTTAATCATCTTGTTTGAAAAAGAACAGTGGCATGAAATCTGTCAATATAGGTTGCCATTCAAGCCCAGGAGAACCAGGCAAAAGGAAGTCCCCAACCAGGGTTCTGACAGCAGTTAGAAAAGGTAGAAGGCCAGGGGCTCAGGGAACAAGCAGGGGACAGTAATGACTGTGGCCTATCTCCTGTTCTGTATCTGTCTCCTTAGCAGGAAATAGCAACTTTGATTATTTTATAAATTCAAAGGCAACCAGACTTCATTTACTAGGAGCTCTCTTCTACTTGGCTGAGCTGTGGCCTTCATTTGAGGCGTTACCAAAAGCAGTGCATGAATACCAGGAAAGCTGGTCTGCAATGAGGAGTGGAATGAAGGGCTTCACTCTCCCCCAAAGCACCAGGGAGCTCTGCTTTTGGGTCCTCCATGCCGAGACAACCCATTCTGCCAGCTCCTTTGAACACTAGACTGAGGTTCTAGCCCAGTACACCGAAGTCCCAGGGACAGCTGATCAGCAAATTGGCATTATGGATCAGTTTCCAGGAGGACAAATAAAGAAAGAGTTACAGTAAAGCACAAAAGCGTGTCTGATGGAGCTAATCCAGAATGGGCAATGTTAGACTGCACAGTAAAATGTGAACTCCTCCATTTCAGCAAATCAAAGGGACTTCCCACATTGTCAAGGTCTCCTTCCCACCTGCCTCTGGCCCCAGGTGCAGACGAGAAGCCAGAGAGGCAATGTGGTGTGCCCCACATGCCCCTCCCTTCATCACTGGGTTTGTTGTTGATACTGTTCCCACTGCGTTTATTCGGTGACTCTGCCTGCAAAGCTTCCTTTCTGCTGCTGCCTGTTGCTAGGGAATGAACCTTAATCACTGCGAGAGAACAACAGCAACAGCAATCTTCACTTGGCACGAGCAAGCACAAATGTCTCAGTTTAGTGACAATGTAGAAATCATCCCTAAAAGCATCCTCATTTACATCTTCCCTCAGAAGGATGGCAACATTTGCCCTGTCATGAAATACATATTCTCTTCATCATAATGTCAGAGATGGTGCATTTGGAGTGGATCCTATTTCCATATTGAATTTCTGCCCTTTGTCATCAAGCTGGGTGTCCAGGGTGACTTCGGGCTCTTAGAATAGCTTGGCTGTGGATCTCACCTAGTTGTCAGCCTCTATTTAATTGTTTTTTTTTTCTTGGAGTAAAAAAGCAAACCGCATCGTCAAAGCATTTAAAAACACAAACCAAAGGAAACTGGGTTTCCAAGCTTTAAGCAGATGTTATTTACCCACAATTTATTTCCAAGAAGTAACTGAGAAACCATTGCCATTTTTCATCAGTATTCAATTAGAAGCATAAAATCGTCACTGTACCAATGATCTATAACATGGTTCTTGCTGGAGATAAGTGAAAAGCAACCTATGTCCTCAAACTCTAGCTCACCTCAATTCTGGGGTTGCGGCTTCCCCAACCCTTTTATGTGCTTTCATGGGGGTGGCCAGAGGCTGGCCACTGCTGGTTGCAGGGACTGGGAAGCTGGCAGAGATGAGCAAGCAGGGCCCTCTCCAGCAGCCACCACCCCAGCTAAAGAGAAGTCCAAGGGTTACTTTGTGGTTTGAGGGGCACCTCCTTTTCTCTGGCACTGGGAGGATGGACCCGGTCACTGAGCAACACACAGGCCTCATGCCTCAGGCTTCCCTTGGGTAGTGGAGTCCCACCTGTGGGGACTGGCTCTGCTGGGCTCCCAAGGAGGGGAGAGCAGGGCCAAGGTCTGTGCTTCTCACCTTCGCCCCTGCCCAGAATGGTGTTTGGTTCAGAGTTGACGCTGGGTGAGCATCTGCTGCAGTGGTGGGATGGATGGTGTGAACCGACCCCCTAGCTTGGGACTCAACCACAGTTCCGAGGTTGGCACAGATTGGTACAGGGAGATGGGCAATGCTGGAACTGCCAATCATTGAGGTATCTTGGCCTCTATATCTGTGGGTTCCACATTACTGGATTCAACCCACTATGGATTGAAATATTTAAAAATAATAAAACAATAAAAATAATGCCAATAAAAATATCATAACAAGTGTTTACATAGTATTTATGTTGCATTAGATATTATAAGTAATCTAGAGATTATTTAAAGTACACAAGAGGATCTGTGTAGGTTACAGGCAAATATTATGCCAGTTTGTATCAGAGACTTGAGCATCCTTGGAGTTTGATATCCATAGGAGATCCTAGAATCAATTCCCCATGGATACCAAGGGACAACTACACATTGTGTAAATTACCAAATTTGCTCAACCTTCTGAGGCAACTACTCTTAATATCCTCATTAGAGAGAAGGAAGTTAACAGAGGGGTGGTTAACCTGCTGCAGATAACAATAAGTCAAGAGTTAGAGAAGGATTGCAGATGTCCTTGCCTTTTTACCACACCTTCTCTGCCATTGGAGTCAGTGGCCACCACCTCACAGCTTATGGACACCCTTCCCCAGAGGCTGTAGGTCTGGCCCACATTCCTGCCTTCCTGATTGGAGTGTGACTTCTCCAGGACAGATGCCATGGCCAGCTCAGTTCACTCTGTCTCTCTGGCACCAAGCACCCTGCCTGGAGCACCGTGGACCTTGGCATATGTTTACGGGACTCTCTGTTTTTTAAGAAGTAGTTTGCCATCTCTTGCACACAAAGCTTTCTAAAGCAAAGAGGAACTGTCTTCAACATTGGGTGTCTGGATCTCTACTAAGAGCAAGAACTTCGTAGACCTAGAGCAGACTCACCACTGTCACCGTATTTATCCCAGGAGGTGCGCCTTTCCGGAATCACCTTGTGTATTAGTTTGTCAATGCATTCCTTCATTTATTCATACCACTGTCTGAGTGATTAGTACACACCAGGATGAAGCCTTTCACACTGATGTAGACACGAATAAAAATCTTTTCACAGTTGCCCTGTTAGCCATGTCAGCAGGATCTTGAGATAAAACAGAAAAGCAAAACTACACACGGTTGTTTATCCAATTTAATAACATTTATCTCAGAAGGTGAGAGTGTGTATAATCTTCACAATCAAGAGTAGAACATGTCTGGCACACCTAATCCAAGGTTCTGCTGAAAATTCTCATGGGCAGAGCAAGGAAAATGGGAAGGCACGCCTGCTGAAAGATGGATGGCCATTGGTAACTCAGAAAGAACCGCTTCTCTGTCACGTTGGGTCAGGTCTATGATGCAATCACCCTGTGCCAGAGGGAGCCTGCCTGTGTTGGGAGAAGCAGGGCTTTCATGCCAAGGAAAGAATCCAATAAGTCTCTCACAGAAAAAAAGTGTATTAGATTGATGGTTCCAATAGCATTATTATTATTTGTTATGATTTTTTAAAAGTATTACTATTTTTATTATTAACCACTTTGGGATTGCAAAGTGTCTCCCAGTTCACAGGAGCTTTTGTACACATGGTTTCACCTAAACTTCAAAACTGTCCGGAGAGGTAGGAGAGGCAGATTCATTCATTCATTGGTTGAGTTGCTATTTGACACACGCCCACCTGTTATCAGGGCCCTGGGCCCCTCCCCCATAGCATCGCTGCACTAGTGGAACCAGCCCAGAGAGAGCACAAGACTATGTGTGTCAGGAAAAGAAGGAAAGAAAAAAAGACACGCAGAGTTTTCTTTCCCTTTCCTGAGTCTAGCTTACTTTAGACTTACTTTCCCTGTTCCTCTAGCTCCCACCAGGCTAGGATGGGGCCATAGTGTCCCCAGGCTGCCCCCCAACCCCATGCCCACCCCCTCTCCTGAACTACTCGGCACTTCCTTTCCTTCCCGCCCCCACCGCTCTGCCCTGGAAAGACTGGGGAGGCCATCTGTGCCGTCTCTTCTCCCAGACCAGTGGTTAACAGAACTCCCAGAGGAGGCTCCTGTGTGTGTGCAACTCTAATAGCAGGATTTCAGGCCTCATTTGTGGCCAAGACAGTGCGGAGGTGACCTTTGGCGACAGGCCTATCTCATTAGCGTGTAGTCTACAAGATTCTCCCAGGGAGCTCTCGGATGGACTGTTTCTCCTCGCCTGAGATCTTCCCCTGCTTGGCCTGAAGTCCCACTTTGAGGGAGTGGGTGGCTGTGGTCATGGGGAAGGCTGGGGGGGTAGGCTACCTGCAGCAGCCCCTCTTGGACCCCCCAGGTCGTGGTAGCTTTCCATTCCTTTACACGCCACCAACAGGACGCCTATCGCCTACCTGGTGGGAGCAGAATCCTCTTGGAGTCACTCCACAATTAGAAAAATAAAAGTTGTACTTCTGTTATTTGCATCTTACCTTGGTTTTCTTTTCTTTCTGAAGACTAATATATTATGGGTGGTTTCATGGTTTAACTTCTTTTTTTTTTTTTTTTGAGACAAAGTCTCGCTCTGTTGCCCAAACCGGAGTGCAGTGGAGCGATCTCAGCTCACTGCAACCTCTGCCTCCCAGGTTCAAGCAATTCTCCTGCCTCAGCCTCCCGAGTAGCTGGGACTACAGGTGTGCGCCACCATGCCCAGCTAATTTTTTTGTTTTTAGTAGAGACGGGGTTTCACTACGTTGGCCAGGCTGGTCTTGAACCCCTGAGCTCATGATCCGCCCACCTTGGCCTCCCAAAGTGCTGGGATTACAGGCATGAGCCACCGTGCCCAGCCCTTCATATTGTTTTTTAAGAAAAAAATATAAAAATGCTGTCTTTGATCTTTTTTTAACAAGCAATTTTATGTATATTGGCAAAAAATAAAAAGGTAGAAAAAAGGCAACAGGAGAAATAAGAAGGAAAAGGAGGAGGAAAAAGAGGATGACAAGAGGAGAAATGGTTTGGGATGAGACAAAAAAGGAAGCGTAAAAGTTAACATAGAAACTGACCTCATTCAGAGAGACCCTAGAGGAAGACACAGCCTCCCTTTGGACTCAGATGCTTATTGCATAGAATATTTTAAAAGCAATTGGAGAAATTAAAGGGAAAAGGTGCTTTGGTCCCAGACTTTCACTATTCCATGGAGCACCATCCTTTAACTCTGGGAAAAGTTGCTCTTACCTTGTTATAATAGTTTCACTTTGGGCCCAGCACAGTGGTTCACGCCTATAATCCCAGCACTCTGGGAGGCCGAGACAGGCAGATCACCTGAGGTCAGGAGTTTGAGACCAGTCTGGCCAACATGGCAAAACCCTGTTTCTACCAAAAATACAAAAAAAAAAAATTATTCAGGTGTGGTGATGCGTACCTGTAGTCCTAGCTACTCGGGAGACTGAGGCACTAGAATTGTTTGAACCCGGGAGGCAGAAGTTGCAGTGAGCTGAGATCACACCACTGCACTCCAGCCCGGGTGACAGAGCGAGACTCTGTCTCAAAAAAACCCAAAAAGTATCCCTTTGTGTACCTAGCACGGTGGAGGACTGTTTTAAAAGCAGGTCAGAAGATGAAGCCAGTAAGACTTACTGCGGGACTGTAAGCACAAAACTGAAAACCCCTGCTATGGAAATAAATCTATGCCTCTGAAGAACAAATCCAAAGCGATGACTCAGGGAGGCAGCAGGGGGCATCCTTCCAGGCACTTTTAATAAACTCTAGTTTTAATGGAAAATATTTCAACAATGGTGATAATTCTGCAATTTATTTGCAAAGTCAAAAAATGTTGTTTTTTTTAAAAAAAAAAGATTCACCTATTATGATTTTCTCTGTAATTCTTAGCTGTGACTCCATAAACACTACCTCGCAGTAATAGAGAGGCTTTTGCCGGGACGCTGACTGCCAAGTTTGGGAAGCCATAGTCCTAAGGTGATAAAAAGCCCAACTTCAGGAACGTAAGTGTAGGGGAGCTTCCAGGCATCCAGCAGTCCCCAATTCAGGGCAGGTCTTGCTAGTGTCAAACTCAGCTTCCGGGACTCTCCTGGTGCTCAGAAGATGCTCTGTAAAAAAACTCCACCACCATTCCTCAGGCCAGCAGCCCCAGCCTGGACAAATGCACCATCCTTCATATTCCACCACTCTCAACACACACCCTGTTTGCCTCTTTCTTCTTTCTGTTCATTAGCTTTTTATTCTAACCTTCTTTGCAATGTCAATGAAACTGGCATGCAGCTTGTTTCTGATAAACCCATTTCACACTCGGATGGACACTTCCCTGTTTGGAAGTTTATTTCTAATATTACATTCCAGGACGTCCTCCCTTGGTTTCGCCCCATTACTCTGGTTACCCTTCTTTAGAGCATGTTAAATACTTCTTTTACCTCCTGGGTATCAGTAACCTTCACGTGTGTGAGAGTTATGGTCTTTTTCCTGCCCAAGCTCCATTCAAGCAACTCAACATTCTTAATTCTTGAGAGTTTTTTTTTTTTTTCCACGAAACTGTTCTTGGTGACTTTTCCTTCACTTCGGGTTCTCCTCTTTCCCTTCCTTCCATCTAGGTGTCCCCAGCTGAACGTGTGTGTTCAATTTTAGAAGGGGCCTGGGATCAGGAAAATGCTTATCAGCTTAGAGGCAATATACGTTAGCCTAAAACGCCCCACTGGTTGAATTACAAAAGTAGCCACAGCAGTAGCCTGGAATAAGCCTGACGTTGAATGTCGTATTTCAGGCTTCACGTTGGGATCGTATGCAATCTACAGTTATAAACCCATCAGAAGTATGGCCATCCATGCCACGCTTTTCTGAATGGTATTTATTTTACATGGGCAGTGGATGGGATTTGATAACCGTTCTCTCCAGCAAGATGATTTTAGAAAGCGAAAGGCGAACTGGCTTTTTTAGTTGTGGCACTGCCTCATTTGGAAAGAAAAAGTATGTCATGCTTTTGTTTCACAAATGCCATCACACGTTCAGGCATTTGTGGTTCCATGCTCAGGCGATATCTTCATTTTGCTGCCACTTCCACACACGATTATTAATGCTGAAAATGGGCACAAATGTGTTAAAATAAAATTTCACAGCGGTGTAGTGTTTGCTGTCAGGAAGTAGGTAAATGGTCTACAACTGGGACAAAAGTTTGTGTGGAATTAAATATAATTAGTGTTAATTCCACTGGGGTGGAAGTTTTAAAATATATCAAATATGCTCAAGAACTTTTTGTATGATAAGGGATACGTATTAGAGTCAAAAATAAAGACAGCCCATAGAAAAGGTGTGGGAAATGATACTCCAAGGCCATAGAATGGCTACTGACATTTGTTTTGTGAGCCACCTACAAAAATCATGTAGATAATTCTCACATACATACTTCCCTTAGAAAAATGGTGCACTTACAAATAGTAGATGCAAATGAAATCTAAACTAAGGTTGCAAAAGCACAAGTAGACCCTCCCAAGCTCAAAGCTCTCATAAAGCCATGGCATCTACATGCTGTGAAAAGCCTCGTGCTGTCCTTTTGAGCAGCCAGTGTTGCTGCAAACTGCCGGGGACCCACTTAGTTTCAAACATGATTTTTTCCCTGAAATAACGGCCTCCCATCTAATGGCACGCTGAGGTCACGGGGCACGGTGGAACCAGTCTGTGATCTGGGAGCCTGCCCCCAGAGACACACCAGTGGAACTCGTGAACCGTCTAGATTAAAAGATTAAAACGTCCTTACTGCAGGTCTTTATCATGAAGCCCATCTAATCAGTGGCACGTTTACTCAGAATAAAGAATGGCCCCTCTAAGGGAGGGGGGAAGGCAGCAAAGGGTCAGCAAGGAGCCCTGTGTGGGGGTCCTGCCGTCTGGGTTCCAGTCATTAAGAAAGCATATATTCTTTGAGCCTCCACTCCTGAATCTGTAAAACGAGAGCTCTGGACTCCAGGGTGGCTCTTGAGATTGTGTTTCTCCCTATAATTTCTATAATTTTTTGCAAATCACAACTACCTTCTCACTTTATTATGCATAATGATTTAAATGCCCTGTTTCCATGAATGTGTATTCTTTTATTGTGCTAAAATAGGCATAGCATAAAATTTACTATTTTAACCATTTTTTAAGTGTACTCTTCAGTGGTATTAAGTACACTCACTGTGCTGTAGCTATCACCACCATCCATCTCCAGAGCTTTTTCATCTTCCCAGACAGAAACTCTGTCCCCATTAAACAATAACTCCTCATTCCCCCCCCTTGCCTCCAGCCACTAGTAACCACTGCTCTAATTTCTTTCTCTATGAATCTAACCCTTCCAGTTATCTCATGTAAGTGGAATCCATACAATTTTTTTTATATTTACAAACATCCTCAGCATGACAAGGATTGAACAAGATTATAGTTTTATTTTGTTTGTAATATGCTGTCCCTTTTCTGTCCTGTCCTGATACATGTAAATGGCACTAAAACAGAGTGGCCCTCTCCAGGGCCGCTGGCATGATCAATGCTTTCACAGATTTAAAAAATGGAAGCTGAGCCCCAAAATCTAATTACATAGAAAGCATTTGCGCAGGGATTGCATCCAGTGAGAAGCATCAGGGACATACTATTTTGGTACACTCAAAGACACACTTTTAAAATCAATATTTTAAAAGTCATATCAGAAGTAAGATAAACCAGGCTGCTATCTCAACCCTCCGTGTGTACTCTGTACATGATGTCTCTCTCACCGCTGAGAAAAGCTATGCGTAACAACAGGAAACTGATCACAGATCCCAACATCAGCCCCGGTGACTGTAAGTAGAAAATACAATGAGTAATTCCCCTGAAAATGAGATGACTGAAGTTGATTATGTATTTGCTGTTTAAAAATAAAAAAGAGTCAACAAGAATGGGAGTGGGGTGGGGAGTTTTCCACGTTAACAGAAATGGCAAGTTTTATTTTTAAAATTTATCTGTAAATACAAAACAAGTGATAAAGACACCATGTGTCATTTGTTTTTGTACAGCAAGGAACTACATGCAGCTTGCTAATTTTCTCAATTTGTATGCTACAAGGTGAACTGCAGCATCACAAAAATTAATTTCCTAGCCAAGCAAATATGAAATATGAATTTCATAGGTAGGCTTTTATAAAATATTAAGTTATGGGCAAGCCAATATAAAATATTGATGTCATACAGTATGAGCAAATATGGAGATAAAAATCGCTGACCCAGATTATGAATTGTTGATTAAAGAGCATTGTTTACCAGTTTGTAAGTATATCAGCAAAATGTATGTGTGGGCATATGACAGTTCTAATTTGAAATATAATTCTAAATCATATTTACCTTTGATCTGAAAATACCTGATAGTGTGAAAAAACTAAGGCTTGACAGCCAAAACAGTACAAAAGTCAAATGCTGCATTTTAATTCAGAAGTGGGCAAATGTCAACTTGTTTTAATTTCTGAAACCTCTCCTTTTGGGGTTATTGTTACACATTTGATATTGAAAAGAAATTGAGGTTAATCAACCAATATTATTTCTCTTTTTTAGAAGCCTCAGAAAGTTTGCATATATACATATATGTGCTATAAGAATATACAAGTGTATATAAAAACATAAAATATTACAATAAAGAAGAAAATTCATTACAGACTTCCTAGGGAAAAGGGAAAAAATCATGTAGAAAAGCAAATCTTGATTTGGCATAATTAATTGTAGGGTTTCTTAATTGTGTGGAGGGAAAGGTTGGAGGAGTAAATATGTATCTGTATTTACAGAAGAGAATGGATCTTTCAAGCCAACAACCCAACAGTAAAGTTCTAAAATTACACCACCCAAGTCCTCTACTGTTTCCTTCTTTTGGACAAAAGCAAATATTGACCAGGTGCCAGCCTCGAGCCATTTGAGGCAAAGGCAGCCGTTGCGATGGGCAAAGCCACAGCCTGGCCACACCGGGCCAGGCTCCACGTCCAAACCCGCTTGCATCGTAGAATTTTGAAATTAACAAGTCACCAGACCACACACCAAGCAAGGAGTAATCACTTCACAGAGAGAAAATAACTATGTTTAAAATGAAAGCAAGATCAACACTGGCCTAAATGCTGGTAAAATGACCTTGAGGGATGTTCCAAATTGAAACGGATCAAATTAGTTTTCAATCCACTCTAAAATATGAAATGTCAAAAATAAAAATATGCTGATGAGGCTCAGCGCGCTGAAGTTTTAAAATGACTAAAACGACATCTGTCATGGAAATCCCTGCAATTTTACAAGAGAATAAGAAAGGCTATTTTAAACGGTGCTTAGTCACGTTGCATTTTTTTGGTAGTAATGTCCAAACTTTCCTGTCCCGGTGGCAGAACCCATGAGCATGACCTCCACAGGACTCTGGGGGAATGGGGGTGGGCAAGTTCCAAAAATACCACTCACAGCTCACAAATGACGGCTGGTCAACTCACATTTGACTGTGAAAGCCACAGTGCAGGAGCGAGGACGGACTAAAATGTCTACAGGAGAAGGTAGGGTGTTGTGTTCTAGAAACCCTGGCAGCTGTGGGTGAGCACAGAATTTTCTAATGAGTAAGACTGAAATCAGTGAAAATGCCTCAGCATTAAAGGGAAAAATAACTTATCTGCTGTCTAACCACGGAGCTCAGGCATCTAAGAAAAGCCTAAATAATTCACGAAAACTGTGCCCAAATAGACAAAAGGAGCTCACTGCTTCTTGCAGAATATTTAAACCTGACTCAACTTTGGGGTTTTAATCCAAATATCTTAAGTTCACATTTCATTGCTGGAACATTCCATGTTGTATCAGGAGCTGACTTAGGTGGGTGAAGTTCTTAACCCTGAACAGAGAATAAAATGTTAAAAATAGTAATGAGAGTGCCGATACCTCCATAGACAACCCTAAAATGTGTAATGTGTTCATGAAACACACTGCTCACCGTCTAAAGGAAAGGTGGTTAATCCTGGGCAATTCAGGTTTCTTTGCAGCTACGCCATGGAAGGTCCCTTAAATGCAAGACTCAGCATGGAAACCTCTTTCACTCTGGAATCCTTCTCCAGAACTTGGGTGAAGGTTCACACACTTACATCTACCCCCATGCTTCCCCAAAAGGGCTAAACCCAGAAAAGCCTTTCCCGGATGTCTAATTGGTGACAGCCTATTATGCCCAAGGGGTTTACTTTTCTCCAGGTGCAGAATAACAGAGGAGAGATTTGTTTACTCTCTCCCTTTTTTTTTTTTTTTTTTTTTTTGACATTAACAACTTTGTTTAATGGCCTGGGAGCTTGAGCCGGTCAGATCCCTAGAGCAGGGTCCACACACTCAGCCCTGGACTTTCTCCCACCTATTCCAACCCAGCCTCACACTCCCATAACTGCATTCCTAGCCTTTTCTTCCCGTTTTTAACACTGTGCTTCACCTAGTAATCAACATAAAAACAAAGCAGATAGAAGGACAGGCCTAGGTCAGGCAACCATCTGGGGTAATGCAGGTGTCACAGCCACAGGCCAGGCTTGACTGGCACAGGTCTGGGGAGCCTGGGGGCAGCCTGGGTGGGTGTGAATTAACAGCCTGGAGGTGGTGGGAGGGGGCATTCTGTGTGCCTCTGGGGAGGGGCGGAGGTGAGGTGTTCTCTTTGTCAGGGACCCTTGGATCTGCTGGGGACAGAGCCTGCCCAACTCCCTCCTAAGCAACTTCTGTTTCCTCTGCTCTCCCTTCCTGCAACCTGCACTCCTGCTTCCTGCCTGGCACTACCAACTGTGGGAAACCCAAGTAGGTGGCACCATAGTGGGGGGCAAAAGGCAAAGCCTTGGTTGGGTAGGGGGCATAACTCCAGGCCTAGTTCTGCAAGCCCTGACACTGAGGCAGGATGCTTACAGAGGAGACAAAAAAGCAATGCAGTGCCTCGAATAACAACTGGGGTGCCCCCACACTGCCACTGACAACTGCCCCTCAATAACTAGTACACCCTAGTCTTTCTAGCTTCTGGGCACTCCTAGAAACCAGAGCTTCCAAACCCTTCAGTTCACACAGGCCAGGACTTGCTGAGGGCAGGGGGCGGGGGAGGAGGTGAGGGTTGCTTTCAGGAGTATCTGTTCTTGCTCCCATAATCTTGGAGTGGATCACAAAACTGAGTAAGTGTTGCTATGGTTATTAAAGTCATTCCTTTTAAAAAAGAGCAAAACATGGCAGATTTTCTTAACAACTTGTTCAAATGGCAACAGTCCCGGGTTGTAGCTAATTAAGTGTGCTAAAGATAAACACAAGATCGCACATTCCTATTAAGATTGTTTGCTCCTGGTTCTTTTACACACACACACACACCACTTTGAACATTCAGGGGAAATAATAAATTCTTATGCATTCAGCATGAGGAGTAAAGAAGAAAAATATATTTTCCATAGAAATCGCCTTACTTCACCTCCTTTAAATTCTACAACTTGGTTCAGGACAAATAAAGAGGAAACTACTGGAATGTGTGAGCAGGCCCCACTAGCTCTGAAGGCAGAGGCCTCAGCAGGAGGTGAGCAGCTGCAGAGAGGCTCAGGCAGGCGGCCCTGGGCAGCCTCATTTCTTTATTAACACCACCACCTACAGGGACTGCTTTGAATAGGATGGTGTGGTGTGGCCCATAAAGCCTTGCAAGAAAAACAACATTCAGAACAATTGCACCACATTTTTTTTTCAACTTCCTGTTTATTAGTATTTTATCTAAGAGCAGAACAAAAGTCTGTATAAATGGGAGAAAATAAAACAAATGAATGCACTGTTAAGGCCTATTCACAATGCACACATACAACAACTTGTCAAGTGCATTATGTCTTTCAATTGAACCCACCTCCGACCTTCAAATGTCTCTGATGACAGAGATCAAGAGGAAATAAATGGAATTTGTTATTTTATAAGAATTATATATAATTAATTTTTAAAAAAATAAGTAAATGGGCTTGTTTTCGGCACAACTGTATGACAGTATTCCTTGCCACACTGTACAAGTCAACATCTTATCAGTAAGAATTGGTATTTTGCTAGAAATACGCATGAATATAATGAAAATGCAAATGTCCCCCTAATGTTTGGTGCAGAGCTTGATTGTGTAAGAAAAGGAAGAAAGTATGTGGTCAAGGTGTGGGCAACCTTTGAGGTTCTCAGCCTAAGAGGTGGACAAAGGGCTGGTGACGCCTCCACTGGAATCCTTCCAGCGAAGTCATGAGGTCATTACGAAATTGTTAGTGATGTCTGTGAACTCTGCTTTTCTTCCTTAACCTGCCTGCCATGTTGTTCTTTGGGCTTCTTCTCTGCCTACTTTTCGAAAGGCTCAGGGCCAATGAGATGGAATGAATGAGTGGCCATAGGGCTTCCAGTGTTGACCTTGATGGCCACATTTTCTCCTGAAAGCAGCCCGTACAGTCTGTTTTTGTGGATACTTGTGAATCAAAGGGCTGGGCCTTGGCACAGTTCCCTAGGACCCTTGCTCTTTTTTATCTATGGTTATAAATACCACTGAGTCTCATTTATTTTGAGTAGTTTTAATGTCATGTTTCCCTATTTGAGAAGGACACCTAGACATTTGGGATTATCAACTTGGGGAATTGCCTAAGATTTTTTTTCTATGCCCTAGTAATCAGGAATTTTGTTATTATTTACTCTCCATATCTCAGTCTCCTATGACACTAGCACGTATGGCCTTGTCTAATTATTCCTGATACCTATTACCTCGTTCACATGAAAATAAGAAGTCAGTAAGAAGAGGCCTCCTCTTGTTTAGCGTAACAAGAAACATATCTGCAGATAGAGACAGCATAAATCAAAGCTGAAATGTGAACTTAGCACTGGTCAAGACCAGTTAAGCTAATCAGAAACAGATTGCAAATGCTCTAGCAGAACAAATACTGTCTTTCTAAATGGCTGAAAGTGCTGTGAGGGACTAAAACTGAACAGAACAATCACAACAAACAACAAAGGTCACCAAATAATAAAGCAGCCATCATTTGTGTGCTGGTAGTAAACACTGAGAACTCACTGCATGTGTCTTGGACATGGGAGATGAAGAAATGTGGGGTTGGTTTTGTTTTGCCAAGGGGCATTGATTAACCCTAACCAGTAGTCAGATCTAGGAAGGGGACCCTTCCTGGAGAGAACGTCTCTATGGAATTCATTTTTTATTTTTTGGTAATTTTTTTAATTGACAAAAACTCTATTACATTTACTGTGTAACATGATGTTTGGAAATAAGCATTAAGGAATGGCTCAATTGAGCTAATTCACATATACTTATCTTTTATGGTGAAGACAATTAAAATTTACTCTCAATAATTTCAGAATACAATACATTGCTATTAACTAGAGTCACATGTTGTACAGTAGATCTCTTAAGTTTATTTCGCCTATCTATCTGAACTTTTGTATCCTTTGAACAATATCTCCCCATTACCCTACCCCTGCCAATGCCTGGTAACCACCATTCGACTCTCTACTTCTGTAAGTTCAACTTTTTTCTATATCACGTATAAGTGAGATCATGTGTTGTTTGTCTTTCTGTGCCTAATTTATTTCACTTAACATAATGTCCTCCAGGTTCATCCATGTTGTTGCAAATGTCAGGATTTCCTCATTTTAAAAGCTGAATAGTATTCCATTGTGTATATACGTGTGTGTGCTGCATTTCTTTATCCACTCATCCACTCATGGACACTTAGGCTGGTGCCCTGTGGCATTCTTGACTGGCAAACATAGAGGAAGCTTTAACCACTAACTTCTGCTAAGGGAGGAACTGTTCCTTGGGCATTAGAGTAGACAAAACATTTTATCAGCATCAGAAAGTATTTTGGGGCCGGGAGCAGTGGCTCACACCTGTAATCCCAGCACTTCGGGAGGCTGAGGCAGGTGGATCACGAGGTCAGGAGATCGAGACCATCCTGGCTAACACAGTGAAACCCCGTCTCTACTAAAAATACAAAAAAAAATTAGCCGGGTGTGGTGGCGGACGCCTGTAGTCCCAGCTACTTGGTAGGCTGAGGCAAGAGAATCGCTTGAACACGGGAGGCGGAGGTTGTGGTGAGCCGAGGTCGCACCACTGCATTCCAGCCAGGGCAACAAGAGCGAAACTCCGTCTCAAAAAAAAAAAAAAAAAAAAAGAAAAGAAAAGAAAAAGAAAGAAAGCAAGCATTTTTGAAGCCACTCACTGACTTCACTGATAGGATGCACAGAATAAGTCAGAAAGGCAAAGCTCCCGAGTCTGCTTCACAGAAAGGAAATGTGCATGCACGAAATAAGAAGTCTTTCTCAAACACAAACAAACAAAAAGCAACTCCCTGTGCTGATAAGGAAGGAGCTAGATGCTGGGAACCAGGAGCTGGGGCTGCTGGGAGGACGGGGGAACAGGCATGAGGGCAGGTGTCTGAATAGGAACTGTTCTGCCGCCATCTCACACAGGGGATGGAGTGATGGGCATGATGCCTAATTTGCAAGGGGTGATCTTGAAAGCCACTGAGATCCCTCTCCCAGGAAGCTTACAAAAGGAAGAGCGAGTGTGACAAATAAGTGAGAGGTGTCTACTTGCAAGTCAACAAATGCCTCCTTTGCACACCAATATGCTTAAATTTAGTGGGTCACCTATGTCACTGAGTAAAACCTAGTGGACATCCTAGTGCCCCATTAGCAAGCTTCATAACTCCACCCTCAGGACAGGAGTGGAGATAATGGCGGGTAAATTAATGAGTACATCACAGTCCTTTATCCACTGTGATTGGCTCATGTGTAGGCATGTGACCTCGGCTGGTCCAATCAGGGCGAACCTCATACCTTTTACAGGAATGCTGTGACAAAAGTTTTTCCTGCTGGATTTGGACCTGAAAGGACAAATGGCAGCCACCTCGAGATCATGAGGGTTGAGTTTATTTGAGAATGGGGTCAAAGCATTAAAAACTGGGCCAGGAGGAGAAGACAGATCTGAAATATCTCGACTCCATTTTGAGCTGTATGTATGACGCCCTTTTCCTAGATTGTTCACTTACATGAGATGGTAAAACTCTGGATTTTGCTTAAACCACTTTGAATTGAGTTTTCCGTCACTTGTAACCAAAAAACTCTTTTTTTTTTTTTTTTTTTTTTTTTCTGAGACGGGGTCTCGCTCTGTCACCCAGGCTGGAGTGCGGTGGCGCGATCTGGGCTCGCTGCAAGCTCCGCCTCCCGGGTTCACGCCATTCTCCTGCCTCAGCCTCCCGAGTAGCTGGGACTACAGGCCCCCAACACCACGCCTGGCTAATTTTTTGTATTTTTAGTAGAGACGGGGTTTCACCGTGTTAGCCAGGATGGTCTCGATCTCCTGACCTCATGATCCTCCCACCTCAGCCTCCCAAAGTGCTGGGATTACAAGCGTGAGCCACCACGCCCGGCCAACCAAACAACTCTTAATTAAATCAGAAATGCCTTTGCAATTATATACTACCCACCCCTAAAGAAGAAGGTTTTTACAAGTGTAGACGACTCCTCCTTCATATCGCCCTCAGTATTATGCAACAGTCCATCCCATTGAACTAAAGTCACAGAAACGTATATACCAAAAGATCCAATAAAATGGAGTGAAATGCAGCTCTCTTAGTGCATCTGCTCCTTAGCATTCTGAGAGATCCTACTCCCAGTGATACTACCCCAGGCTGTCAAGGCGGGTCCCTCAGATTGTCTTTTATAATTGCACAACAATTATAAGGAATATTAAAATGGAAGTTAAAGCATCCAGAAAGAAAACCAGATTAAATGACTGAAACAACAGAGGACTAAGTAATGACAAGAGATGGCATAATATCATCATTAGGCCTCCTTCCATTTTTAACGTTATTTCTCATTCAGCTTTTTTACAAGACACAAATTTCTTTAACTCAAGGAATTTATTTTGCTTCAGGCTCAGTGTTCTTTCCTGCAGAATCTGACCAACTAGGATAGAATAATGCTTGAAGAGCTCTGGATTTTTATATTATAACAAATAATTATGTATAGGTTTCTTGACATTACTGATTTCTCACTGAGGTTCAGAATAGCTCAGCATACATAATAAGGGGTTTTAAGAGGTGTTCACCCTGAGTACACTTAGAAATAACATCCAACTTGGATCAAAGTGTACTTTTTTAAAAAGTTCTTGATACTATAAGCTTTGATTTGCTTCACAGAAACACCTCTAACTATAAGGGCAACTGCTGAGGTTTGACAGTTCATCTGCCCTGATCTTTCATTCATTCATTCATCATTGTGCAGCACTGAGTTTAAATAAAAAGAGCCATGTTATTGGGCTTAGAATTTAACGTGAAACCCCCATCCATGCAAGCTAAGGGCCAAGGAAGGAATGCCAGCTAGCCTCCTACAGGCAGTGGCTGAAGAGCTGAAAAAACCTAGTGGCCAAGTCAGGCCACGGAGTTCGTTGAGCCTCTGCTGCCCATGGGCCTCCCCGTTCCTGGCATCCTGGGTCAATGGATGGATTCTGACTGTGGAGGCCCCCAGTTCAGCCTCTTTTCATACCCCTGGGGGTTATCTGCAGTGCTGCAGCCCCTTGGTGGGAGCCTCCTTCTTGCACTGGGGACACCCTGGTCCCCCTAAAATCCCACATACCCTGTGGAACTCCAGGGGGGGGATTCTGAATTCCTTAGACACCAGCTCGTTCACTCTCATTTTACAGGTGAAGGGAGCTACTCTCTGTCCAAGCAGATCAGGGCCTCCATGGGCTTGCCTCCCAGGCAGAATTCCAATTTCCTGGTCCATCAGAGGTCCTCACCTGCTCCTCTAGGAGAGAACCCTGATATAAAAGGGAGGAAAGATTCCCCTCCATGTTTCCAGTGCTCATTGGTTATCACTAGCCACAGTCAAGCCTTCTTATGACTCCCAGTCCCATCTGACTTGCTCAGAGCTCTGGAGCCTAACATCCCAGTCTTCCTGAAACACTGCTTAAGCCATGGGATTTTCCTGCTCGAGGACCCACAGAGCTCCCTACTGGCTCCAACACAGAGTTGACATTCTTTGCCCAGGCTGAGAAAGACCTCTGTGGTTTGCTCCTACCCTAAGTATGCAACATTTCCCTCTTCTCATGAATCTCTTTGTGCTTTTATTCAACAAAAATATGTTGAGCACTGGATTATTAGTTTGCTTGAGCTACTATAACAAAGTATTAGAGACTGACAACAGAAATGTATTGTCTCACAGCTCTGATGGCTGGAAGTCTGAGACCAAGTTGTTGGCAGGGTGGTTTCTTCTGAGGCCTCCCTCTCTCCTTGGCTTGTAGATGACCACCTACTTGCTATGTTGTCACGTGGGTCTTCCCTCTGTGTATGTCTATATCCTAATCTCCTTTTTTTTTCTTTTTCTTTTATTATACTTTAAGTTCTAGGGTACATGTGCACAATGTGCAGGTTTGTTACATATGTATACGTGTGCCATGTTGGTGTGCTCTTAATCTCCTTTTATAAGGACACCAGTCATATTGAATTAGAGGCCACCCATATGACCTCATTTTACCTTAATTACCTCTTCAGAGACCCTTTCTCCAAATACGGTCACATTCCAAGGTACTGGAGTTGGGGTGGCACCATACAAATTTGGGATGGGACACAATTCAGCCCTTAACAAGTCCCAATATGATGCCAGGGAATGGGGAAGGGAGGAGAAAAAGGGACATAGAAGGGGACAGAGATGGATAAAACATGGCCTCTGCCCTCAGCAGATGAAACTCTACTGTTCACACAGGAGGACGGCGTGATTTTCTCCTTGCCCACCCCAGCCCCAGCTCCTGCCTCTGTTGGGCAGCCTCTGATGCTTCACTTCCTCCTCTATCTAATCAGTCTTTCAAGGCACAGCCTCATTCCCTTTCTCAGGAGCACCCCCCTACTGGCTTACACTCCCTGAGTCCCTCCTGGACTTCCCTCAAGCGTATCACCTCCTCCCTGTGCTATCCTGACCACCCTGTGAACTTCTCCATGGAGCAGCTACCTGGATGTCTAGTGCAAGGCTGGGCATGGTAGACATCAAGCCAATATTTCCTTCTCATGGGATAAAACATGTTTCTCCTTTCTGCTTTCTGTCTGATAAAAGCCAGCAAACGGCACTGGGGGTGTCTGGTTCCTCCACCACTTGTCTGCGTCTTTCAGATAAATATTACCTATTTCATCGTGTTCTGAAATGCAAAACCTTTCTAGTATCAGTAAGTGAAATCCCCAATCAGCATACCATGATGAAATATTCTTCTAAGTCTCATATTTTTACTCACTTTACGCCCAGAGTTATGTGTGTGAGAGGTGACATTTTACTGTGTGGGACAGGAATGCCATCCTCACTGATGTTAACCATGTCACACTGGAATGACATCTCAGAAGACGAGAAATAACCAGGGGCCTTTAAAACTTAATGCATCTTGAGGCCGGGCACAGTGGCTCACGCCTGTAATCCCAGCACTTTGGGAGACCGAGGTGGGTGGATCACTTGAGGCCAGGAGTTCAAGACCAGACTGACCGATATGGTAAAACCCCATCTCTACTAAAAATACAAAAATTAGCCAGGCGTGGTGGTACACGCCTGTAGTCCCAGCTATTCGGGAGGCTGAGGCACGAGAATCGCTTGAACCCGAGAGGCGGAGGTTGCAGTGAGCTGAGATTGCACCACTGCACTCCAGCCTGGGCAACCGAGCAAGACTCTTATCTCAAAAAAAAAAAAAAAAAACTTAACGTATCTTGAAATGTAAACAAATTATCTTGTTTTACACTTTTCTTTTACTGTCATCAGCAATAAATGCCACCTGATATGTGTATTCAACACTGTGCCCCAGCCCTTTCCTGCTGAGCTAAACATCAGCTCTTAACTTTGAACATGCCCTAGACTCACACAGACAGACCCTCAGAGGTCTTCTCTGTGCTCCCAGAGTGCTTTGTTCAGAGTCTGGTTTAGTGGCATGGTAATTAAGAGTGTGCACATTGGGAGCTAACTGTTTGACTTTAAGTCTACCTGCTGTGTGACTTTGGACAAGTTACATAACCTCTCTGGGCCTCATTTTTCCTCAAAGCCACCAAAAAAGTCACTGAAGGGCATTGGGGGCATCTGGTTCCCAATGTAAGGATGAAATAAGATAATTCAGATAATTAACCTGGCCCAGAAGCTGGAACTTTTTGGCCCCCAGGAAACACGAGTGTTAATATTCACATTACCTTTCCCAACTATCTCCCCTTCCAAACTGTGAACTTCCCCAGGACAAGGGCACTATTCCTTAGGTGCCTGGGACATAATAATCACACAGCTAATGTTTGTGGGAAAAAAAAACACATGCAATGACTCAATTCTACTTTTAAAACTGGCTTTTCCTCCTTATTTTAAAATGTAACTTGCTCACCTTAGGGCCTTAAAAAAATATGTAACAAGAAGAGTAACACAGACCAATTAAAACTTTTAAGTTAACTAAATGAAACCCCCCAGCTCCTGTCTTTGGGCTTCATCCATAGGTTTTCAGGGCAAACACCCCACAAATGCCAAACAGATTTGCACATGTGCTAATTATCTACTTTTCACTGTTTCCCATAAAATAAATACTTTCAAATGCAAAGTTGACTGTGAAAAGTATATTAATTATAGAGAATGAAAAGCAGTACCATGATGTTCATCCTGAGGCCAAATGAACAATGATCAAAACTTCTAACTGAAAATTCCTGGAGAACACCTTCATCGGCAGCATATGCCATCTCCTTGCAGCTCTCCCAGCCAGCACTAAAGCCAGCCTCCAGGCTGTGAGGCTCACCTTAGCCTGAGTCACCATCCCTCACACTTCCTGAGAGTAGTTATGTTTTTATTATCCGGTAATTAAAGATAAAACATAGTATAAATTGAATTATGCATGTAAAAGCATTTGTATTATTTATATCACAAGAGTCCCAATATCATAGAATACATAAATGCTAGAGCCACTTGTGATTTTTGTTATTTACAAAGGCTGATAGGCAGGTGGATTTCAGCATCCCTGCCAACATGGTGGGATCTGAGGCTGCCAGGGTGGGAACCACTCATCAAGGAGAACATTCCCTGTGTCTACCAGCAAAGATCCAGGCCAACTGCTGGCTGAAGAGAGAGCAAAAAGAAACAGGCTATGACGGGCTTCTGCTCTTACAACCCTATAAGGAGTATATATTTTACACTGGAAAATCTGATCCTTAGAGCAAGCCAGTCCTGTATCAGCATATAGTCCTGGTATTGTCCAGAAAAAATAAATCATCTTGCTACTTAGAGACATTAGCTAGCCAAACGCAGTAGAATCTACAAGATCACATAGTATTCAAATTATTATTAACCAAAAATGCCTTGTAGTACTTTAGGGGTACAGAGCAAGCAGAGAAAAGGTGGTGGTCCATGAAGTGCCCTTTGTAACATTCAGAGCTGAGCTGTCCCCTGTAACTGGGCACCATCCCTGCACTGCTCCTTGGGTGTTGGGCTCTGAAACACTCCAGCTGACTCAGAAAATGATTCTCGGTGGGGGATGGAAATCAGGAGCTCTTTATTTTTGATTTTTTTATTTTTTTTGAGATAAGATCTCACTGTGTCACCCAGGCTGGAGGGCAGCAGTGCCATCACAGCTCACTGCAACCTCGACCTCCCTGGCTTAAACCATCCTCCCAACCTCAGCCCCCAGAGTAGCTGGAATTACCATGCCACCACACCTGGCTAATTTGTGTGTGTGTGCACACACATGCGCGCGCGTGTGTGTGTACGCGCATGTGTGTGCGTGGAGATGAGGTCTCACTATGTTGCCCAGGCCGGTCTCAAACTTCTGGGCTCAAGCAATCATCCCACTTCGACCTTCCAAAGTGCTGGGATTACAGGCGTGAGCCACCATGCCTAGCTAAGCTCTTTAGAAATGATTTACTCCCATTTTTTGAAGTTTGCCATGTCACAGAAAATGAGACCCCACTGAGAGATTCAAATGTGCGGGAAGAAAGAACAATGTGTGCTTCTTCACAGGGGGAGAGCAGGGAGCCTGCAGCCCGCCTGAGCTGCAGGTGCTTCAGCTGGTTTCACACTTGCTGTCCCCAGCCCCTGCTCCTGGCCAGACGCCGGCCTCTGTGGGCGGCCCGGAGGGCACCGTGCGTTGGTGCAGGCCTTCGTGGGCAGCAGCGCTGACGTTTGGAAACAAGGCCCCACCCACACAGGCTGGGTTTCAGTTTCACCAGGGAGCAAACACCATTATGCAAATTATTTTCCTTGCTCAACTCCCCATCCCCCATCACTGGCTTACATATTCATTCTTCACTCTGAAGTTAATGTACACAAGAGGCCAACTAAGGATTTGCATCCTATTTACTTTAAAATGCCCAGGTGCAATTTTGAAACAAGATTCTCCTTTCAGAAGGGCAATCACGAATATAAAGTAGAGAATTAGTAGCAGTGTCAAGAGTAAAGCCCCGAGGCTAATACCAAACTTCTAACATAAACGGAGTGTTGAAAGGCACATGCCAGGAATTATATAAACCGAAGGAAAAAGACAACTGGGGGGTGTGTTCCCATGCATTCGATTTGGTCCAAGGAGAGCCAGGCCCACGGAGAGTGGACAGACAGCCTCGGGCCCCTTCAATCCTCGCTACACATGTCAAGAATACCTGGGTCTCATGGGGTTTAGGAAAACGAATGTCTAGTTCACATTCAGGTCACGTTCTAGAAATTAGGGCATGAAGTCATTTTATCTGCATTATGTGTGATTCATTTGCAGTTTAACTCAAGTGATTTGAGGTACCAACTCAGGCAAAAAAATTCTGAACCCAGAAACAGTGTTAGTAAAATTTGTAGGGGGTGGAGGGTGTGGGATGGGGTGCACAAAGCTATGCTTTCCTTTCCTGTCATGATAAATAAATTCATTAGGGATATGTTTATATGAATTTAGACCTGAATAATTCCATGCAGCTGTAATCATTATTTTATTTATGAGATTCAGATAATCGTAGTGAATAATTTTGCGGTTGTTTCTAAAGAGGTCAAGGGTTTCTATCAGCAGACACACAGAAGGAACCATTTTTAGGATGGTAATTTCTATTTCCCTCAAAAACATTCTTCCTTGGTCCCCACTTATACTCAGTTTCATTTTTCAAGGCGGATTGCAAGGTTCGTGTAAAGCTCACAGCTGCAATGAAGTCACTGACAAATCTGTGAATTACCCTGAGTGCAAAGACAAGCTAGTTCATTTATAAACAGCCCTTAAAATAATAGTAAACTAAACTGCAGGTGGGAAACCTTCATAAGATAAAAACTCAGACACACTGTCCCTTCTTGGAAAGCCCTGGATAAGAAGTAAACAATGCCAACAAGTCCCTTAGTGACTTGTCACTCCACTTAAAATGGCCTTTATTAAGAGTGATGACCTCCGCCTTAACTGTAAGACCAACCAACTCAAATGTAAGTCAAGAACAAGAACATATTTCCTTGCAGGGGATTCTGTGCAAACTCATAGATGATTTGCACCTCTGTGAAAGGTCATGGCTAGGAGGCCAGGTTGAGGAAACTTGAACAGCTAAAGTATACCCTGGCTGTCTGCTAACTACCTGCATCCTAATTACCTGTCTGCTATCGCTGTGTGACGTGCAGAGCCATGAGATAGGATCTGTCTTCATTTACAGATCATAAAAAAACAAAGCTTTAGACAGGTTAAGTAGCTTGCCCAATGAAAGCAATTTCTTCTGACCCTTGTGCACAATTATGTCCACAGGAGAACACCATACACATATATTGCCCAACCTTTGAACACCATTTACTCAAGAATGGCTTTCCTTTCCCTGCCATGCACAGGCAGGCTTGTGGTTAGCCAGTCCTTTCTGGTCAGTGTGGATATATCTGCTGGGTTCAGGGGTGTAGGGTTAGGGATCTCACTGTTTCCGCACACCAAAACTGTTCTCCAACAGCTCAGTCAGTAAAAACAGCTGATATCGGGGCAGGGGTGGAGTTCTTGGTTCAGGACTCTTCTAATGTCCTGGACTGCAGAAAAGCCCTTGCCCTTACCCTGGATAAATACCTGAGAATCCTTGTCTCCTTCCCACTCTGTAGGCACTCTTGTCCTCTCCATTCCCTTCCTTGCCTCCTGAGGAGCTTCTGTAGCCCTGGGCTGATGTGGGGAAGGGAGAAGGGTCCCCTGCACCCCTGGGATGGGAACATGAATGAGTCTGCCCACCAACCCCTATGAAATATGCATACCTGTGCTCAAATTATGGGGCCATCAGTTCTGCTAGTCTCAGAGCCCCCTAGGGAGGGCGACCCAGCTTTTACTGGACACCCAGGGACTTTCCCTGGAACCTGCTGTTGTGAGCGTTTCTGAGGTGTAGACAAACAGCTCCCCCACACACCTAGCCAACAACCCACTCTCAAGGTGGGAAACACCATTCTAAGGACTCGCATTAACCCATCTGAATAACCCTGGGTAATCTGGAGCAGAGGTCGAAACCACTGAATGGCTCAGGTACGGTAGAAAATGCCTCTGATTGATTGTTTTGGACATCGCTGCTATTGCAACAGAGAAAGATCAAGCCCCATCACCTAGAAGGGATTTCATTCTTTGCAACAGGAAAGATAGTTCAGAATCCAGCGCCAATTATTCCCAGAAAAAAAATACCATTTGAAACATTACAAATGAAATTGAGTTATATAAACCGCCTTCCTCATCCCTTCCAAGGAGGGTGGATTCTGCGGATGTCAAGGGTGACTGTGGCAGACTGGAAGGGTGGGAAAGAGATCAAATTAGAGAAAACCAAGGGAAGAGCAACTGCCAGCCACCTAGGAAAAAGGAGAGAGGCCTAGGTGACAGGACCCCAAGTTGGAGAGAAAGACACACAGAGGGGTGAGTCAGAGGAAAGCTACAGAAGGGTGTGCTGGGGACAGGCGTCAAGAGGTGAGGCTGCCTCAGGGAGAGGAAGCACGGGAGGAGACCTGGCCCAGGAGAGTTTCAGAGGCTCCACCCAGCAGCGTGCAATAGTACCTCCTCCCCCAAGAAATCAGGATTGTGCAGGAAACACTCTCCTACTTCTCAGTGGCCACTGGAGAGCTCTGAACCCAGCCCAGGGTCAACTGCCCGGCACTGTCAGGCAGTTCCTCTGACTCCACAGTACATTCTAATTGCAGTCACTGTGAGTACACTGGCAATTATGCACCCTGCCCCAAATTCCTAATTGTAGTAGGAAGTTAAACTGGAGCATTTTTTTTTTAAATTGCTCAAACAAGTCTTTAGGAATTTAAATGTATTTATAGAAACGTATGTAAGTATGTTTACATACATTTCTATAAAAATATTCTTGTAAGTAAATGTTATTTATATATACTGCACATCTAATGATGCAATTGGCTTCATGACTTTAGATATTAGAGATTAGGGAGTTTCTTGGTCAGGACAGTCAGGAAGAAGGGAGAGATGCTTAAAGACATTGGCAGAGCTGCATGGTAGAAGTCTGATAGAAAGGGCTTGAGTGAAACCTGGAAAGACAGTTCATTAGGGAAAAGGTGCCTGCTGCCTGTTGGGAGCCAGTGCCTCCCACATAGTGGTGCTCAATGCACTGTGGAACTCAACAGAGCCCTGGCAAAGCACGCTCCGGGACTCACAAATCTGAATGGGTTAAAAGAGAAATAGAAGAATTTGGTCGTGAGAGAAAACAGAACTTCTAGACTTCTATTTTATCTACATTTTCTGTCCAAGAAAAAAATATTAATACTGAGAAGGAGACTGTGTTAGTCAGAGTTCTCCAAAGAAACAGAATCAATTGGATGTGTGTGTGTGGGGGGGGGGGGGGTGGGTGGGTGGGTGTGTGTGTGAGAGAGAGAGAGAGAGAAGGGCGAGGAGGGTAGTGGAGATTGAGTTGTTTAAGGATTAGGTTCCCACAATGGTAAGGGCTGGCAAGTCCAAAATCCACAGGGCAGGCTGGCAGGCAGAGACCCCAGGAGTCCCTGTTGCAGTTTGGGTCAGCTGACAGAATCCAATCTTCTTTGGGGAGGTTCGTCATTTTCTTTTCTTTTTTTTTTTTTTTTTTTGAGACGGAGTCTCACTCTGTCACCCAGGCTGGAGTGCAGTGGTGCCATCTCAGCTCACTGCAAGCTCCGCCTCCCGGGTTCACGCCATTCTCCTGCCTCAGCCTCCAGAGTAGCTGGGACTACAGGCGCCTGCCACCATACCTGGCTAATTTTTTGTATTTTTAGTAGAGACAGGGTTTCACCATGTTAGTCAGGAAGGTCTCAATCTCCTGACCTCATGATCCGCCTGCCTCAGCCTCCCAAAGCACTGGGATTACAGGCGTGAGCCACCGCGCCCAGCCCATCATTTTCTATTAAGGCCTTCAACTGACTGGATGAGGCCCACCCACATTATGACTCTGCTTTGCCAAAATCTACTGATTTAAATGTTAATCTGCTAAAAAGTGCCTTCACAGAAACATCCAGGATAATGTTTGACCAAATATCTGGGTACCATGCCCTAGCAAAGTTGGCACATAAAACTAACCATCACAAAGAGACTGACATTGTGTGGGGCAACTGAAGCCCAGGAGAGGGTGGAGAGTATGAAATGGCATCCAGGTGATGAGAACTGAGTTCTGTTTCTGCCCAGTGACCGGCAGTCCAGCAGTTGGGAGCTGAGCTCTAAGAATCACCACCACAAACTTCTCAGGAGTCCATAAGACACCAGCAATTCTGGTGGCTTAAAGGGCTAGAAGGTGGCTCCGTAAACCCTGAACCTTGTATTTACCTTTGACAAGATTCTAAGATAGATTGCCACAAACATGCTTTAGAAAACCTTAGGAAAGGGGCCGGGCGCAGTGGCTCACACCTGTAATCCCAGCACTTTGGGAGGCTGAGGCGGGTGGATCATCTGAGGTCAGGAGTTCAAAATCAGCCTGGCCAACATGGTGAAATCCTGTCTCTACTAAAAATACAAAACTAGCCAGGTGTGGTGACAGGTGCCTGTAATCCCAGCTACTCGGGAGGCTGAGGCAGGAGAATCGCTTGAACCTGGGAGGCAGAGGTTGCAGTAAGCTGAGATAGCACCATTGCACTCCAGCCTGGGTGACAGAGCAAGACTCCATCTCAAAAAAAAAAAAAAAACCAAAAAGGTAGGTAGTAGTAGGTTATGTACTTTTGGGTACAAAACAAAACAAAACAAAACAAAACAAAGAAACAAACAAAAAAAAACCCACCTAACTTCATAAGTGTAAAATATGAGACTTTTATGTGTGTGTGTGTATGTGTGTGTGTGTGTGTGTGTGTGTGTATTTGGTTTGTTTTTTTGTTTTGTTTTGTTTTTTGTTTTTGAGACAGGGTCTCCCTCTGTCACCCAGCTTGGAGTACAACGGCGCCATCTTGGCTCACTGTAACCTCTGCCTCCCAGGCTCAGTGATCCTCTCACCTCAGACTCCTGAGTAGCTGGGACAACAGGTGTGCACCACCACACCTGGCTAAGACTTTTGTGTTTTGTAGCAGAAATTAATGGGGAAAAATGTTATGGAATTCCGTCATTAACAGAAGTGTATTGTAGCCACCAGCCAAGCAAAGGGCTCCAAGGTGCACTAATAGGGTCTTATAGGGTGGGAGGAGGTGGCCCCTTTCTGCTCTGGGCTGATCAAACCTCACCTGAAGCACCTTACTTCATTCTCAGGTCTACAGTTTTAGCAGGACAGAGGCAGCTTAGAATCTTCAGGGGAGAGTGAGAGACAGTGAGGGAACTTGTTAGGTGTGAGGTGGTCAAAGGAACCCTGGACCTTGGAATATCTTGGTGGAATGTGAAAGGAGGTAGACAGATTGAACCATTTTGTACCGAGGGATGCAGACGGAGGTTGGAATGTGGATGGAGGCTGGCAAGTTTCCAATATACAAACTGTTCAATGAAGACCAAATGTTCAAGCCATCAAAAGAAGGCCGGGGCTGCTGGATCACTGGGGACATCACAGAAGAGTCAAGAGGTTTTCAGGGGCTGCAGGAGATGGTTGCTGGGTCCTCCGTAACTTTGGGCGTGAGTCTAGGAAAGGAATAATAGCTTTGCAGAATGCTACAGCAAGTGCAGAAGAGTAAAAAACCACGAAGCTGATGTTTTCTGCACACCTCGTCTGTGCCTTACTCTGTGTTGTGTCCCACAGTTAACACTAGCAGCAGCCTCTGAGACAGGCATTATGGTTACCTCCATCCTACAGATGAAGACATTGAGGCTTAGGGATGCAAACTGAATTGCCCAAAGTTACATGACCAGTAAGTGGTAGGCTAGTTCAAACCCTGATCTCTGGGACTCCAGTGACAAAAGAACCAGTAGTCTCAGGGGAAAGGCCAAGTGGGTTGTATTTACCACCATAAAACCAAAAAAAAGTCTGAAAGAGAGACCTAAGTTTTTCGTTTAGATAGTTTTTATCTCCACTTGGTCTCACCTTAGTAAATTTCACATGAATAGAACATGTGGGTGGAATTACGATCAAAAATTATGAAATAAGGCTGGGCGCGGTAGGCTCACGCCTGTAATCCCAGCACTTTGGGAGGCCTAGGCGAGTGGATCGCCTGAGATCAGGAGTTCGAGACCAACCTGGCCAACATGGTGAAACCCCGTCTCTACTGAAAATACAAAAATTAGCCAGGCATGACGGTGCATGCCTGTAATCCCAGCTACTCTGGAGGCTGAGACAGGAGAATCGCTTGAACCCAGGAGGCAGAGGTAGCAGTGAATCTAGATCACACCACTGTACTCCAGCCTGGGCAACAGAGTGAGACTCCATCTCAAAAAAAAAGAAAAAAAAAAAAAAAAAATATATATATATATATATATATATATATATATATATATATGTAACAAAAAACATAAATCCAAGGCAGAACTCAGGCCAAAATACCACCAAAGACAGCCAACCCTTTGGAGGATGAGCGTATACAATTTAGTCTGAAAGGTGCATGGGAAAAAAGCCACAGAAGGTGGGCCAGATGGATATCTTCTGGTGATAATGTCAGAGCCACAGGTTGAACCAGAAGCCCAAGCCTGGGAGAATGAAGTATGTCTACAGAATGACTAGGTCTCAGTAAGGAGGGCCAAAACTGGCCTAGCCGACTCCAAGGGCTCTGACTGAGGTGTCAGAGGTACAGACAGGTGAGGCTGCCCTTATGATGGGAATGTTGGATCCTGCCCACAAAACTGGGAGCTCCCTTGTTCCCAAAGCAGGAGAATCACATTCCACATACTTGCAATTGTTGACTACTGGTCAGAATCGTTGAAAACAAAAAGTGTATTGTTTGAAACCAAAAATAGATTTGATGCACCTGCTAGCAAAATACTAAATTTTTGTAGCTGCCAGATGTAAAGCACAGAATCAGCAATGAAGAATGCAAAGGGGAGCATACTGTGTCTCTATAATTGAGCATGATGACAATAATTGGCCAGACATTTCACATTTCACCTAACCACTTGCTGCACAATTTATCCATGGGTGAAATAAATGGAAGTGGGTCTTTTTGTTTTATTTTATTTTTTAAGTAACACAGTCTTGCTTTGTTGCCCAGGCTGGAGGGCAGTGGCATGATCATAGCTCACTGTAACCTCAAACTTCTGGGCTCAAGCGACCCTCCCACCTCAGTCCCCCAAGCAGCTAGGACTACAGGTGTGCACCACTGTATCTGGCCAAGTTTGTGTGTGTGTGTATTTTTTTTTATAGATAGAGTCTGGCTATGTTGCCCAGGCTGGTCTCAAACTCCTGGGCTCAAGTGATCCTCCCACAGTGCTGGGATTATAGGCATGAGCCACTGCGTCCAGCCCAGAAATGGGTATTTTAAACGTATTACGAAAAACAAATTGTTATGGGTGGAGATGTGTCCCCTGCAAATTCATATGTTGAAATCTTAACCTCTAGCACCCCAGAATGTGACTGTATTTGGACATATGGCCTTTAAAGAAGTAAAGTAAAATGAGATAATTACTTTAGGCCCTAATCCAATTTGACTGGCCCTACTAGGAAATGGAAATCAGGACACAGACATGAGCACATACAGAGAAAAGACTGTGCCAGGAGCAAGCTGCCATCTGCAAGCCAAGGAGAGAGCTCTCAGAAAAAAACGATCTTGCCGACACCTTCCTTTTGCACTTCCAGCCTCCAGGACTGTAAGAAAAGAAATTTCTGTTGTTTAAGCCACCAAGTAGTATTTCGTTATAGCAGTCCAAGCAAACTAATGCACATATCAAAACTACTTTAGTTTTTCCACTTTGTTGCAAACAATTGCAAGGTGTCCAGGTTTTCTGTCTTCCCCCAGCCTGCAAGTGCTCAGAGGACACCCAACCCTATGATCTCAGCCAACTCATGAAGTTTGATTTCACAACTTAGTGATGTCTTCCCAGTGGAATCCTAAATGATAAGGAAAATGGTATAGAGCCAAGACTTGAACATTAACAACCCAGGAGCACAGAAACAGCACAGTTAGCTGAGAGGCGTTATGGAGAGAAGCAACTGAATGCACACTGAGCGCTGTGAGAAGTCCACGACAGTGGGGAACAGCGCCCACCGTCACAAAAAGAAAGACCCTCGGCAGGTACTTTAGAGTCACGTTCATGCTGTAATATGTGGGGAAGAAAGACTATTCCAAATGGATCTGGCTCTTTAAAACAAGGGAATTTTCCTTGCTCTTGGGAACCAGCAAAATCCAGCTGCTCATTGAACTGCCTGTCTGGAATCTCACAAATTTGCACCTTGAAGTTGTTAATAAAGGACTAAGTTGATAATTCAAACAAACCCTGTGGTTTGGAAGTCACTGTTTTTCTGCTTAGCGTTCGACTTTCAAGCTCTTCTTTTGGAATAGCTCTTCAGGGCATTCTATGGATGTGTAATAAACCGACAAATTCCTTGTGAGAAGTTTTAGAAACTGTCAGGTGAAATGAGCCAGGTGCGAGGGCCCAGATGGCTCAAAGCTGAAGCAATGAGGGCTCTTTTCACTGTAGCTTCTAAATGGGCTCCCAGGGTACACCCCCACACACCAAAAATTTTCAGCCATGTTTTGGTAGAAGAGTGTGTCATCCTGAGGGTGGTACCACGAGGGACCACATCATTTGCATATTTATGTCACAGCAGGCCTGATCCACACAAACTCCTGTCGCTTACCGAGTTGTGCACCTTTACCTCCATGTGCTCACTGGGCAGCTGGAAGACACACAGTGAACCTCTTGTGCTCTCAGCCTTGGTTTGCTGACCTCCATGCCTTTGCACATGCTGACCCCCGCTCCACACACCCGGACCACCACTGCACATCCAAACCCACCTGCCTCTCAGGGCCTTGTCCAAATGCTGCCTCCTTCATGAGCACCCATAGTGAGTCCAAGGCAAGTCCCTGTCCCTCCCTAAACTCCAGGTCACGTCACCCCAAGTCATCTTCATCAATTTCCCTTCCTTTTTTATATCCCCATTGCTTAGATCTTGCTTTTATGGCATGGCTGTAAGTGGTTTCCACTGGGATGCCTTTCTAGTTCACCTCTGTGTCCTCATCAATTCGGCGCTGAATTATATACCTGTGATTTTTTTTCACTTCCTTTCAATGTCATTACTTTCTAATTGCAAAGCAGAAACATTCCTAGTAGTATATTCCAAAGCACACTGTCATTTGGTGTTCTTTATAATGTACAGTGACTATCACGTTTGCCCTTCCAAGCCCTAAAATCTTTCCACTCATCTCTTCTGCTTATATGCCTTGATGCAAGAGGGGTTAAAGTTTCATGCATAAAATGTCTGCACTAGAGGGCACACTAGAGCATGTCCATGCATAAATGTGAACACATATAAATGTGTGCATGGGATGAGGCAAGAAGACGGGGATAGTAGAGAGAACAGAGGCTGGCTGAATCTCCTCAGGAGATGATCTGGAGGAGCTGCATTTAATCCAAACATAAAGCCTTGGTCTAGGAAGTGATCTTCTTCAAAGGCTCTTAGTCTCGTGCATGAACATGAAGCAGCAGAACCTGTGACTTCCAAACCACAGGGCCGTTTAAATTATCTCCTGTTCCTTTATTAACAATGTCAGCATGCAAATTTGTGAGATTTCAGGACATACAATTCAGGGAGTAGTGGAATTTGTGGGTACCAAATAGCAAGAAGTTTCCTTGTTTTAAAAGAACCAGATCAACTGGAATATTCTTTATTAATTATATATTACCTAATACTATCTGGGAGTGCAGCTATTGACCAGCGATGGCAAGCTGTCCATCACGGGCAGTGAAAGGGCCTGGCTGGGCCGCCTGTTTCTCCATGGCTGCCAGAGACATTGGCCCTGGTCACTTACACGATCTCCACGTGTATAGCCCAGCAGAGGAGCTGGCCACACTGCAGTGGCTGCAGGAGCATGCAGGTGTCTCCATTTGTTATTGGTGGCTACTTAGCCAACATATACTTGGGGGAAGGAGGGGGAGTCCCCCAGAGGTGCTTCACCAATTCCGTAATAACAGTTCTGCTCTGTAACACTCTTAATGCTTGGGCGAGAGAAACTGCTGCCACCCCATGCCCACCTTCACACGTGTCACGTTTTTCTGGCCCATCTGCACAGGCAGGGGCCCAGGTGTTGCCATCTGTTCTGAATTCTCAAAATGTCAGTGTAATATGGGCAGCCTAGAGTTTCACAATTCAGCCAGTTATTCACCCTGCCACGTCTGTCTTGATTGTGGCTCTCATGTGTCCATTCTGCTGCTGCCTCCCACAAGCCAGGTCCTTTCCTTCCAGGCCACACCAAGATCCATGCTGAAAGTGACTTCTAGGAGGGCTACAAATCTCCAGTGTTTCTTCACTTCAATTCTTCCCACCAAGTCATTATTCTAAAGCTGCACATTGATCATTCCATACTTTGCTCAAAAACTCTAAGCAGCACACACACACATGTGCACAGACACACAGACACACACACACACACACACACACACACACACACGCCCCTGCAGGTGGAAGACCCAACCCAACACTGTGATCTGACAGTTGGGACTCTACACACATGTCCCCAGCCTCCTGCTCCACCGCAGCTTGCCTGAGCCAGTGAGCCCAGATGTGCCACAGGCACCTGCACTCCGCCTCTGACCATGCCACTCCTCCATTTGTAATTATTTTCCCATTTTAAAAATTTCAATCCAATGTCACTTATCTTCTGCCTATAGTAATTTATTGCTTCTAATCTTCTACAATATTCATATGTTTTGTCCTCAAAACATTTGTGTTTTTTGGAAGCCTGGTCCCATGAAATTCTCTAAGAAAAAAACAGAAAGTTCCACCATCATCTACATTTAACATATACCACAAATGTTATGCTGTTTCACATATTTTCAAAACACATATTTGGATATTTAAAATGCACGACCAAAGGCTCTGAGAAGTCTTGCAGATTTTTAGAAAAAGATGTTTCTCTTGGGTCAACCTGGCTTTTCCCATGCTATATTTATTTGACTGTACACCCTTTGGGGACACAGTATTTATAATGGTCTCCTCCACTCACTGGCACCCCCTGACCTCCAGTGCTCCCTTTACAGGCATCACCACATTACAAACAACTGACCCACAGGTCACCTGAACATAAAAACAGTACAGAGGAAGTGATAGCAAACTTTCTGCTCCTTATGGGGCAACTGCAGCTGGATGTGCTGGGTATTTCATCTCTGAAGCCATCATGTTGGTTGAGCTCCCAGATTCTGTAAGCTCTGACCTCAGTGAGCTCACCTTGGCTGGAGCCTGATCTGTACAATCCAGGACTTGTTTGGGAGCTGTGGGTTTAGGAGAGTTTGGGTGGGAACATGGGTGGGATGGGCATCATGGCCCCCTGGTGCTTTCTTTACAACTAGACAGTAAGTTTCTCCCAGGTAGGGTGCTTCTTTGCATTATTGGCCTGAGCCTAAGGTCCTCACAGTGATAGAAATGCACCTCTGATTATTCTCTCTGAGTCCCTGAATGCTGAGACCAGGCTGATACCCAGTACAGGGAGGACCCTAAGGTTGCAGGATATGAGTGGTGAGAGAAGAACCCTGGAGAAACTCAGTTTCTCAATCCCAAGAGATCCCAGGGATGGGTGGATAAATTGGAAAGGCTGCCCAACAGCCCCACTCCACAGAGCATGCCTTAAATTAAGACAGAGTGTTCTCCTGCAACTAGTCCTTCATGGCCCCTGACCTCTTAGTTCTGGGAACCAAGTGGAATAAGTGTCATCAGTCTGGTGGAGCAGGCAGGCCTCCTGCTGGCAGCCTGCCCTCTCTGTGGACCCTTCCAGGACAGAGAACACAGCCCAAGCACAGCAAGCCATGGGGCTGGAGGCTCCATGGTATCAGAATCTCATCACATATTCTATCCTTGACCCTTCATTTCTTTAAGTTGCTTTGAAGCCACATTTCATATATCAGGACCTGCTGTTTACATAAAGCAGTGGTGGAGAGTCCCATTCATCAAAGGCAACTGCATGTCATTTGGCGCTGGCCCTGCCTTGTGGCAGAGGCCCCCTAGAGACCTATGCTAGGTGACTAGAAGCATCTTCTGGGCTCAGCAGGAAAGGGGCTAAGGCCCACCAATACCCAGACCTGCATGTCCAGAGACAGTGTCAAATTTGACCTGAAATATTAAGAGTTTAATGCCTTCTTGTTTTACAGTTTTAAAGGGGCAATTTCTGACATTCTTGTTTTTAATAAAAAGGAAGAGAAAAGCACAGAGTTTTAAATTATGTAATTACAAAGCGGTGCAAAATGAACATGTGCGGCCTTTGTTCAAAAGCCATTAAGAATTTTAAGATGGTAACAGCAGGGCATTAAACCAAGCCAGGCCCTTCTGCGCAGGGGAGGCCCTAAGCGACTGCACAGCGCGCACACCTGTGAGGCCGGCCGAGCAGATATCAACATCGGCCACGGGTCCGACAGGGAGAGTGCCAGGGACTTCATGGTCTCACTGTAAGGCCTGCAAGGTGGCAAGACAGAAGTACAGCATCCTGGAAAGACTTCCTTGAAAAGAGGCTCTCAGCCCAGCCCTCGGTGCCCTCCCAGATTCCCACGCTCTTGGGGTTTGGGCCGACTTGGCAGCCTCTAATCGTTTGATTTGACTCAAGCGCCACACTTGGTGGGTTCAGTCTCCTTCTTGTAGGTTGTGTCCATTCCTACTCTTGAGATTATTTTCATCAATCTGTTTTGTTTTTGGCCCCAATCAGGCCTATTTTTTATTTGGGTTGCTTGTCTACATTTCACACTCAAGGTCAAACTTTCTCAATATGCAGATACTAAAACGTGATTCTCCGGGGGCCCTGCCTGGCCTGGCCTGGCCTGTGCTCAGCCCTGGTTGTCTGTCTTTCCCTGAGCTGACCACACCCTGGATCCATTTATGCCGAGGCTCTCTGAAGCTCACCTCCTGAAATCTCTCGGCTGCTCCGGCCCCAGTGGCCCTCCACTGCGTTCACTGTCCGCTGGTTCCCGTTATCAGGTCCTGACTCCTTCCTGTTTCTGGCCCATATTCTCTAAAAGCTCTGAGCTCCATTCCTCTGCCTCTTTGCCCTGAAGTCACATGGGAGACGGAAAGACACAGACGTTGTGTCAAAGCTCTACCCAATCCCACATTCCAACTGGAAACTGCCCATTTGACACCTCCCCAACACATAAAACTTATCAACTTAAATATCATAATTTCAGCAGGAAAAAAGTGAATGACTTAATAAATAGTCTGGGAAAATTTGCTACACATTTAGGGTAAAATGAAACTCCCTTACTTCAAATTATAAACAAAAATAAGTTCTACTTGACTTGACATTTTAAACCAAAAATAAAATTACTAAGTATCAGAAGAAAAAAATCTGAGGATATTTTTCGAATCTAGGGGTAGGAACAGACTTTCTAAGCAAGACAAAACCTGGGTGTTAAAAGGAAAATAATAACTACTTAAAAGTTAAATAGTTCCATAATATAAACGACACAGTAAAGAAAGTTAAGACAGGTTGAGAGAAAGTATTTGCAGCATATATATCAAAGTCTTAAAATCCAGGATATTAGAAAAGTTCCCCCAGAACAACAATAAAAAAAAGGAAGAAAAGGAGAAGGAAGAAAGGAACGAAGGGAGGGAGGGAGGGGAAAGGGAAGAGACAGAGGGAATAAAGGAGGGAGGGAGGGGAAAAGAGGGCAAAAAATATAAGGAGGCAATTTATAAAAGAGCAATAGGTCTTCTTAAACCAATCTTCCCCAGAGCAAATATATATAAAATCAGTATTTCTGGAGGCTGAGCTTAATCCTTTACTTTTTTTCAGTGCTTAGCTACAATTTTATTGGATTTTTACCATAAAACTAACTCTTCAGCAAAGAGGGCACATTTTAAATAGACCTTCTAAATGCAGAGTTCTTCTGAGTTATGAATGACTGCAAGGTAGCATGACTACAAAAATTGTTCTAAACAACATTATTCTAAATTATTCTGCATGATTATTATATTATTCTAACAACTATATTATTCCAAATTTTAAAGGAGATTAATTATGGGAGAGATGGTTTACGCAATTACCAAATACACAGAGAGGACAGGATTGGGAGGAAATATGCCTGATTGGGAACAGTGGGTAACTCTAGTGGTAGGAATGTCGGTGGTGAGTTTTATTTTCTTCCTTGTCTTTTCTTCTAAACCCCTGCACCTGGCATCAAGACAGGCAGTGCCACCTGGGCACCAGCAGAGCCCTCCTCTGTCCTGGGGCAGCCGACCCTCAGGGGCACCTCTGCTCCCAGGGTGTCTTTCACCTGGGGCTTTTATATTTTCTTCAGATATTGCCTTAAAGAAACATGCTATTCATATCCTACAGACATTTTTTTTACATGGTTTTTGCGTTGCTTCAAATAATGTCCTCAATTTTACAATAAGAGGATTATTTAAAATTTTAAAAGCTGACACTCGTAGCAAACTACTGTGACCTGTGGTGCCTGCATCCCCTGCCCGGCCACTAGGTTGTCCCGGTTAGAGTCCAAATGCCCCCCAGCTGCCTGCTCACATTTCTGAGGTGGGCAGGGATCCATGGGCCGCTCTTTGGCCCACTCCCGTGCACGTGGGATGTCCACAGCTGGGACACCTGTGCGTGGGCACCCGCCCTGCAGGTCGCCTCCAGATCTGAGTCCTCACTCCTCCGCCTCTTGACTTTGAAGTCAAGGTTTCACTCTCTTGACGAATACTCACTGCTTAAGGCTACCCTTGCTACTAAAATAACTTTCCATGAAATACTCTGAAAGAAGCTTCTTGACTGTAAATGCCATTATATTATCAGAAATGCCATGTTTGTGTGCGGTTATGTCTTGTGTAACTGACTCCACCGGATTTTCGAGGTGAAGATTGCTCGTTTTTGTCATTTCCAAAACCCAACATTCTTTCACTATAATGTGGCAACTTCTCAGTTCTTTAAACTATTTTTTTCTTTAAGTTCTTATGAATTGATGGTTCCTGTTTTTCTGAACTGTGTGTTGAACCCGTGCTTCTGCTAGGTTCAGAGTCACCTTTGTTCAATAACTAGCAAATGAGGCAAAAAGGTCTCACATAAAATGTGACTTTGTGGCCACTTGGGAGCCTCCATCTCCTCTCTTTGTAAATTTTAATTTGAAGAGACGAGTGTGAACCTCAAAGGAGGGAAAGGGAGCGGGAAAATGGCAATGTGGGTGAAAGTTCCATGTTCGGGCGAGGTTCTCTGTGTGAGGTGAGACTGTACTGTCCTGCTCACATGGGAACCATGGCTCGGCCGCCAACCTCGCATGGAGTACAGGGACCCACACAGAGACACACTCTGTAGCCCACCAGAGCACGGATCCCATCCCATATAAAGATGAAATGAGTCTTTTTGTTTTTTTCTTTTTAGCACATGTAAAGACCAAATTTTTCTTTTGAACCTCGATTTTCTTTTGAACCTTGATTTAACTTTTAGGAAAAGTGAAAACAAAAGGAGAATATTGTATTCACCCAAATAAAAAATGATTTCCTGCGTCCAGGTTGACTGCTCATCCATTAGCAGCAGATGTCTCTCGAGTAGCTGAACCACACCAAGCTGGACCTGGGACTTGAGGAGCCCCCTTCAACCTCTGCCAGGACGCACGCTGGATTAGCATCTGCTAGGGCTGCCGTAAGAAAGTACCAAAAAATAAGTGGCTTAAACAATAAAATATTGTCTCACAGTTCTGAAGGCTGGAAGTCTGAGATCACAGTGCCCACTGGGCCAGGCTACCTCCAAAGGGAAGGCTATGTTCCAGCCTCTCTCTCGGCTTCTGGTGGTGTAGCTGTTTAAGTCCAGTCTTCACATGGTGCACTCCCTGAGTGTGTGTCTGTCTTGAAATTTCCCCTTCTTATAAGGACACCAGTGATATGGGATCAGGGGCCCACCCGACTCCAGCATGACCTCATTTGAACTAATTACATCGGCAATGGCACTATTTCCAAATAAGGTCACGTCTGAGCTGCCAGGGGCAAGGACGTCCACATGTGAATTTTGGGAGACACAAGTCAACCCATCACACACAGAGGCCCTAAAGGATGAATCACACACGTCTGGACTCCTACTCACTTTCTTAGTCGTGTCTTCTACCAGTCCTCTTTCCCCAAACTCATTCCCCTGAAAGCAAGTTGCCTTCCCACTAAGAACAGACCATTTGCTTTCTTTCCCTTCAGTGTCAGTGTCTATGCTAAGGAGAAGGTTGTTTAAAAAGCAGCTCAAAATCCACCAGACTCCTCAGGAAGTGCCTCTCAGGGAGGCCTCTAGACGGGGCTGCTGTGCCTCAGTAGCCTCAGTAAAGACCTCCCTCCAGCTGCCCTGTGTCTCCTGACTCCCGGGCTTTGTGATTCTAACCTCATGGGTGATCTGAGGGTAAACCCCAGGAAGTCCTGTAGGTCCCAGGGCTGTTCCTGTGAGGACAGCTGTCCCCTGCACGCGCGTGGGGTGCCGTGTGCTCCTGAGGAGCCGGCTGGGGCAGGCAGGGCCCAGTGACACCTGGGCTGGAACTGTGGCTCCCCCACTTGTTTGCTGGCTCTGCTTCCTCTTTAAGAAACGAGGATGATCATGTAGGGTTCCTAAGGGGGTTAAAGTGTGTGAACTCCTTAGAGGCGCACGTAGCCCAGAGGAGAAACATAAGTCAGCCTCAGCTCCTCACGGTGCCTTCGGCCACAGACAGCATTTGCCTTCACCAGGCTTCTTTTTAAAACAATTCTTGACTTGGAAAGGGTCCTTGGGAAAAATTAAAATTTTTAAAATAAATAAATAAAATCTGAGGTTAATTCTTTTGAAGATCCAATCTCCATTTCCTCATCCATCTGTTTTGTAAATACAATCTGGTGTCCAGGCGACTCTGAGGGACTGGGACCCTCCTGAATCACACAGCGTCCAAGTCACTCACTGCTCTCATTTCTGGCTATCAGATTGTTCCCCGGGGGAATGGAGTCTCCGCCCCTGGGAGCTCAGTTCGAAACCACGGCTGACCGTGAGGATGGCGACTCCCCACTCGGACCCCCTGAGGATGGCGACTTCCCGCTGGGGCCCCCTGAGACTTTGCTGGGGCTGGAAGACCACACACAGTGCATTCCCTGAAGGCCAGGGCCTACCCATCCACCCATCCATCCACACTTCCCCTGGGGTTGCCTGGATAAGCTCAGGGCCCCACCCACCCAACAGGGGAGGAGGGGAGACCCAGCCAGCCCTCCTGGAGCCCTGACATTTACAGCTGCAAAGGTAGGCAGCTGCGCTCAAACACACAAGCCAGGCCTCTCAACACAAGAAGGGGTTTAACATTAAAGAATACATTATGAGGCTGAGGCAGGCAGATTGCTTGTGTCCAGGAGATTGAGACCAGCCTGGGCAACACAGCAAAACCCTGTCCCTACAAAAAATAGAAAAATTAGCCAGGTCTGGTGATGCATGCTTGTAGTCCCAGCAACTCAGAAGGCTGAGATGGGAGGATCAACTGAGCCTGGGGAGGTCGAGGCTGCAGTGAACCGTGATGGTGTCACTGCACTCCAGCCTGGGCAACAGAGTGAGACCCTGTCTCAAACAAAACAAAACAAAAAAAAACCCATTTTGATAGATTTTGTGGAAAATAAGGAAGAAAAGAAAAAGGCCCATTCTTTTTTGCTTATACTGTATTTGCAAAGGACATATAAGAAACTAAGAAAAGGGTTACGGAGGGAACTGGATGGGAGATGGGGATGGGTGTGTGTTTTTCACTGGATACCTTTTTATACAATTTCATTTTTGAATCCTATTCAGAAAAATTAAAGCTGGAAATTCTATTCCCTCATTTACCACGTTTACAGGGTGAAAGAGAAATTCTGTATCCTCATCCCAAGAGATGCTGAAAAGCATCCGTGGAAGGTTGGCACCACCTGTCATGAGCGCCTTTTTCCAGATGAGAGTTCCCCAGGACTCATCGCAGAGCTTCCGGCTGGACTCCCTGAGGCCATGGAGAATTGCCAGGGTAGGGGTTACAGAGAAAGATGCCCTCCCTTGGAAATAATTTGTTTGAAGGCTCCTAATCTGCATGTGGTCTTGGCAAATAGGATCCAGCAAACCTGGATGTGTGCAAGCCATTGGAGATTCGTGGTTTCTTGGATGAAGCTGGGAATTCCACCTCTGCCTCAAGCTGTGCACCCTCAAACTCTCAAAAGCCTCAGTTTACTCATCTGCAACATGAGTTAAGAGTGCCCAACCCCCATAGGATGGGAATGATCATGTTAAAAGACATACATTCTCCAATCTCTACTGCTTCCAGGAGGCCCTTCAGAATAACATTGATTCACTACACACAGTGTAAGCAGCATGGCTGATCTCTCGTAAGTCCTGCATGAGGTAGCAATTAGAACCTCAAACATGAGAATCAAAGAGTGCCACTTTTGCAGCAGTAGAAGACTAAGAAATTGTAATAATCCTTTGAATCAGTTTGCTCAGATTACTCCCAGATTACTCTGGGACTTTTCTGACATATGAAGAACAATTTCTATTTCAATAGGGTGTCCATTGCCTGCCACTAACTTTTCATTTTCACAGAGAATGGCTGAAATTAGAATGGAGAGATTCTGATAATTCTGGCAAGCAGAGGGCAGATGGGGGTGAGGATGTGCGGACAGGGGCTGTGTTACTCTAAACGGCAGGGAAGGACTTGGGGACAGCATTTGTTCCCCTCTCCAGTGACATTCCTGTTTTGTTCAAGTGCCCCTCTGATGAACCCAGTGGGTGAACACAGAGCAGGTGACACACACTTTGGACAGGTGAGACAGTCACGGGTGAGTCACCTCCTTACCAGGAACCTCTGGTGTGCAGTCACCTTTCCTGCGGCTGGGTGGCAGTCTGTACTCATTCTGTGCCTTACCTCTTCCCTCCCGAGCATGACTCTGAGCAGGCACTTCTGGGGACTTCAAAGAGACTGTCACATGCAGATGAGATGAGCCATGTGCCTTTCAGGCCCAGCTCAGCAGGGCCAGCTTGAAAGGCATATCTGAATTGAATCAAATGCATCCACCCCACAAACTGAGGATGTGATTATGTGTAAACAATGAAAATGACAATCATTGACAGCCCAGCGTTTAAATGCTCTGGATGTTGGAGGTAACTTACAGCCAGTATCTAATTCACAGCTGCCCCGAAGTTAGCTAACCTCGCCAAAAGCTCCCTGTGCTTGAGGATGGAGGAAAGAGAGAGCAGCAGAGAAGGATGGGTATCCATCAAGACAAGGCTGGCTGAGTGTCTAAATCATCCCCACATGCTCCATTTGTCTGTGGGATCACTATCACAGATTTGATCACATGATACATTTCATAACCCCCTTTACCCCCATCAGTGAAACTTGTGCAGCAAGGGGAGCTATTTGTGTTCAATGCAGTGCCCGAGAGCACTGGGATAGTGGCAACAGTGAAGACAATCGCTAGTGGATGTCACAGGTCTCTGCTCTTGGTCTTCACTGATCCAAGTGGTCTTCTGGTGAAGATGTAAAGGGGATACCACTCCAAGTTATAGATGACATGAAGCTTCATGTTTTATATTAGAGAATACATGGGCTAAATCTAAAAGACAACACCAGCGATAATGCAAAGTTCTACTTAGGTTAAAAAAAAAGTTTTTTTTTAAAAAGTCACCACCTCATATTCAGAATGATCCCAGCACTTTGAGAGGCAGAGGTGGGAGGATCACTGGAGGACAGGAGTTTGAGACCAGCCTGGACAACACAGTGAGACGCTCGTCTCTACCAAAAAAAAGATTTTAAAATTAGCCAGGCATGGTGCCACATGCCTGTAGTCCCAGCTCTTCAGGAGGCTGAGGTCAAGGGTCACTTGAGCTCAGAAGTTCAAGGCTGCAGTGAGCTATGATTGCTTCACTGTACTCCAGCCTGAGTGACAGAGTGAGATCTTGTCTCTAAAAGATATATATATATATACACACACACACACAGAATTAGAGAGATGTGGCTTTGCAGCACGTTCCCACACAGAGAGGCAGGGAGGTCAGCTGGCTGTCAGTGCAGTGCCCAGGTCCAACAGATAGGTATGGTTGCCAAAAACCAGACAAAGGAGGTCACTGTGCCCACCTGAAGTGGGACATTGGAAAGTTGCCAAGTAGATGCTGTGGAAGGCAGCACAAGATCAAGGGTAGCTGAACACCTCAGCACATAAAGAATCTTTCCAGGAATCATGAGAAGAAGGAAGAGCTTGAACAGAAGTGGTGAGGTCCGCCTGTAATCCCAGCACTTTGGGAGGCCGAGGCGGGCGGATCACGAGGTCAGGAGATCAAGACCATCCCGGCTAAAAAGGGTGAAATCCCGTCTCTACTAAAAATACAAAAAATTAGCCGGGCGTAGTGGCGGGCGCCTGTAGTCCCAGCTACTTGGGAGGCTGAGGCAGGAGAATGGCGTGAACCCGGGAGGCGGAGCTTGCATTGAGCCGAGATCCCGCCACTGCACTCCAGCCAGGGCGACAGAGCGAGACTCCGTCTCAAAAAAAAAAAAAAAAAAAAAAAAAAAAAGAAGAAGTGGTGAGGTCCATGCAGTCGGAAGGGCTTTGGTGTGGAAGGAGCTGGGGCTCATGCAATAATTCAGCAGTTTCTGGGACAGGATATGTGCTCAAGGTATATGAATGGGCATGTTGAGTTATGACCATCCTTCCCATCGTGGCTATGCTTATATGACTTCGGGGGCAAAGCTAGGTCCAAAATATGGATGTGCCAGAGAATAGGCTTTGGATAATTTATAGAACGTCTTCTCAGCTGGCGCTTTGCAGTGATGCGCTGGGCTGCCTCTTTGGGAGGGAAAGGGCTTATGGATTAGACAGCCCTCTGAGGGCTCACAGAGAGGGGCTTCTATGGTGGGAAGTGCCCTTCACACTGAGAATCGTGATTCCAAATGAAGGGTGTCTAAGTAATGATGATGACTCCATGTTGGATGGTTAAGCATCTGCCACTGTGGGTCACCTCGCCCATGTATCAGGGAGGATCAAAGAGGACCCTCGATCATGGCCACACAGCTAGCAAGAGGAAGGCAGGACTGGCCCAGGGATTCTGATTCCACATCAACAGAGTTTTTAACATCCCCAGAGTGTCCCTGATTCCCTCTTCATGACGCTGCACTAGCTGCCATATTCATACAGGGAAGCACACCAGCACCTGCATCTCCCCTACTAACAGCCCTCCTCACAACCGCACTGCTTCTCAGCTGCCCTGACTGGTCTCAATTAACATTCATTGAATAATGAGTAAATAACTAAACGGATGGACAATTGAACCTCTTCCCTTAGATGTCCAGCACTCTACACCTAATGCTGCCCCTGGGTGTCAGCAAATGAAACCTGGAGGCAGGATTGTGGTACTCCTCCAATGCCAGAGTTGGAGGAGAGAGATCATTGCTGGAATGGAGATCTGGGGCCCAGAGAACAGCTCCTACAGTCAGGAGTAAATGGCAAAAAGCCACTAATTCCAATCTAAATAGCTAATGCTATTGAATACCTACTATGTGCAGCACTTTCCTAAGAATTTTTCATGCAAGAACTCTTTGCATCCTCAGAACAACTCTCTGTGGTAATTGTTCCTCTATTTCTAGTTTACGGGTGAGGAAACTGAGGTCAGTAGGTGTTAAGTAACTTGCTATGCATGCATTAAGTAGCTGGTTGAGCTGAGGCTCAGCCCTGGCAGTGGCTTCATCATTGTGCCTTGTGAGCCCCTCCAAGGTCACATGGTCCAGCAAACTACAGCAAACTGGGGAGTAGCCAGGAGTAAAATCATGTGGGGAACTTGAGGGGTGACTTCAGGGGAGGAACAGCCCCATGTCTCAGTCTGTGATCCCACACACAGAAGGACATCATTTGTGCTCAAGGTAACTTGAGCAGGCAGGGCATGGGAGAGAAAAGAGGCTCAGGCCTGGGGCCCTGGGTCTGCTCATCTCCGCACAACTTGTATGTTTCTTGTCAATTGTGCCTGAACATACTGTAAAGCTTCTCCCTTAAAAAGCCAAAAGAGTAAAGTTTGAGGGATTTGTAGGACACTAACAAGAACCAAACCTGAGGCTTATTTATGCCAGTCTAACTATTAATAGTTCCTGGAATGGCTTTACACAAACAAGAATAAGGCTGTCTATCCCCACGCAGGAAAGTTCATGTGCAAATACCACAAGGCTGGACAGTCCGGCTGCATGTGCCCTGCACCTGAGGCCCCCAGCCCAAGGGAACCCTCAGGACAAACAGCAGAGAAGCTCTGGGTGCCAGGGCATCCTCCTCGACAGGCCCCCTACCCTGGCATGGGCACGTGAGGCCTGAGAGCCCACTGGAGGTGGAGACATTGAGGCTTCCACTAGTGGCCACTCATGGCAGAGGCCAGGGACCCCAACCTGACTAGCCACTGCTCGTAGCCCAGGGGCTGTGCACCTTGGAGGGGTCACCAGCCCCTCTGAAGACCTGCCGAGTGCCACCGCAGGGCTCAATTCAGGCCCTCCACCTCATCAGAGTGACGGCTCATCTTTCAAGGCTCCCAGATCAGGAGTCTGTGTTCCACATGTGTGCTGTCCAACCTGGTAGCCACATGCAGTTGTGGGCATTTAAATTAAAATTAACTGAAATTAGATAAAACTTTCAATCCAGTTCCTAGTCACAGTAGCCACATTTCAGTTGCTTAGGAGCCACATGTGACTTGTGGCCGCTGCTTTGACCAGCACAGATACAGAACTTTTCCATCCTTGCAGAAGGTTCTATCAGACAGTGCTGCACTAGAGAGTTTGGGAAGCCACCTTGTGACTTCCCCGGGTCCTCGGAGAGTTTTCTGTTTCTGCCTCCTCTGCTGTCGCTGCTGTCTCTTGGCCTTCAGACTGAGACAGGAGGCCCAGGCTGGGAGAGGCCCAGCAGCAGCTAGCAGCAAGCAGGACAAGGCCCACAGAGGGTGCCCTATCAATCAGACATTGCTGGGTGCATTTGCCGAGACTGGGAGCTCACACAGTGGCCATGAGAGCAGCGACACATTTCCAGCAGCGGAGCCTACAGTTAGAGGACAGATCACGAGAGGTGTGGGGTCCACCCCAACTGGAGCAGGCCCTGAGCAGCTCCCAGAGCCCCCCACACACTGAGACTGCAGGTGTCGAAGTTGCAATGGTAGCAGCCACTGCAGACAATGGATGCTCCCCCCCAGGTTTCCTGGCATCACCTAAGCCCAAGTTTGTTTGATGACATCTGGAGCATTATGACAAGAAAGGATCCCCAATAATGACAGAATTTGAATCTCCCAATAACCAGGCAGAGAGGGTGAGGTAGGGCAGGGCGATCTTGGAGCAGATTTAATATAATTTAGAGATTTCTAGAGTAAAGGTACGTCACATTTTGATACCTTGGCATTATAGACTGGAATTCATACCCGTTAAACAAATAATTGAGCCAGTATGGAGAATTATTACATGGGGAATAAGGAGGCTGAAATTAAAACAGGGACAGGACAGAGAATCCTGTTCTGAAAATCCTGCTTGTCATTTCCAAAGCTCGAGTGAGCATTGAGGATGTCGGGCTCATCAACAGTACATGAAACCAAGCCTGCCTGCCTTCCTCAGAGGCAAGAGTTAGGTCCACATTTCCTGGCACGCAGCTCTGGGTAATTCACAATTCCGAAGCTGCCCCTAGAGAGACCAGCCTATGTTGGCCAGGGCAAGTCCTTCTGTGATTGCTCTCTGCCCTCTTGGGGCCTACATGTCCACTGGGCATGCTGGGCACAGTGCATGGGGCCCATGATACTGTTAGGGGCCTGCACAAGTGTTTTAATTTTGATTTATTTTAAAATCAGAGGAAAACCACAAATAAACGAAAATGAATGTATAATAATGAATCAGCCTGAATGACATTTATCTTTCTGCCAGAGCAGTCACACTCTGCTTTTTCATAAGAAAGTGGTCTGCAAAGACCAAAGCACCTGGGGTCCCTGGGCATCACCATGAGGCCATGACCCTTGCCCCCTATACCAGAGACCTGAAAGGCAGCTCCACACAGAAGTGACCCTGACACCCTGAAAAATACTCCTACAGGTTGAATTTCAGCTGGAATATTTTTCCCACCTCCCTCTGCATCCGGCTCCAAAAATAGTCAAATCTCCAGGCAGGCAAAATAGCTGGTCACCCAAAGACCTGTGACCATCTGCCTGCTCTGCCATCCTTAGCACTGGTTTCTTTCCTCCACATTGTCTTATGGCTTCATGAAGGCTGTTGGAGCTCCAGCCATCACGTCTGCATTCCAGACAGGGGGAAGGAGAGAATTCAGGTGCAAAATGCTAAGCCTATTACATGTCAGTCTCCTTTAGAGAGCTTTTCTAGAATCCCTAGCTAACCCTTTCAGCCTATATCTTTCATTGGCCACCGTATCTGTAAAGGAGACTAGGAAATATCGTTTTTTAACTGGGCACACTGTTGTCCCTAACAACATGGACTTGTGGTTGACAACAGAGGAAGCAGAAGAGAATGCATACTGGAAGTCTCTACAACAGAGTGCTGAAGACAACCAGCTTGATATTGTATAGTACTCTCTCCTGTGAGTGGGCCTGGGGACAAATCATTTAACTTCTCTGTAACCAGGGTCTACTTGATGAAGTAACCTCATTGCCCACACCAGAAGCATCAGGAAGGGTACCAAGGAGATGGTAGCTTCAAGGACTTTGGACCACTTGGAGGAGGGTATTCAAAGGGACAGAAGTCACTTGCTTGATTCTTGTATTAAAATCAAGTGGGATTTCTTTTCATTCATGCATTTCACCAGTACTTATCACGTATCCAATAAAGCAACAAGGACAATCCAAACACTGTTCTGTTGCCTGAGGGCTGACTTGGGGCCAGGCACTGTTCCGGATCCTTTGCACATGTGGCCTCACTTAGTCCTCAGAACCATATGTGGCAGAGTCTACCATTATCATCCCCATCATTCAGATGTGGAATTGGGACAAAGAGGGGTTAAGGATGATGCCCGGGGTCACACTGTTAATACACAAAGGAGCCTAGCTTTGAACAAACAGCCTAGCTCTTAGACCCCAAGGAGGTGGTAGCGAATTGGCAGACAAGGTCTCACCTTTTTTTGTCTTTCTAGTGAAACACATATAAGCCCAATTATGTAAGGCCATCATAAATTTCCCCCAGGAGACTGGCACAGGGAGATGGGGGCTACTCTCACCTTCTGCAGCACACACCAAGAATCTCTGCTGTGCTTGGGTTCATGACTCACCCCTTCCCTCAAAGCCAGCTCTTCCTGAGTCAGGACCATGTCCTTTGAGTCCTGAGGTGCAGCAAGGAAACTGTCCAGACTTGGCTTCAAAAGCCAGGCTACTTTCCAGCAAAGAGCCAAATGGCTGGTTGCTTAGAATTTTTAGAACAGGTTCATCTCCAAGGACATGGAGTCTATTCACATAAATCAACCTGATCAAAGGCCAGAGAAGCTAAAACTGTCACATACCCATTATCTACTGGCATAATCAAGGCCAAAGGGATTCATAAGGAGGCGGTGGGTTTTGGAGGGAGAGTGCTTGCTGCTATTTCACCTTGGACCTGAGTCCCCTCTTGTGTGCCCCTTGCTCTGCATCATCTCAGGGCCTTGCCTCACTCCTCCATCTTCCTCCTCCAGCTCCTTTACAGATAGGGTGGCCAGTGAAAGACTAGGCTGAAAGGGTTAGCTGGGAATTCAAGGAAAGGCCTGCAGAGGAGTCTGACATCTAGGAGGCTTTGCCTTTTGCCCCCCACTTCCTTCCTCTCTTCTGTCTGGAATGCAGAAGTGATGGCAGGAGCTCCAGCAGCCTTCTTGAAGCATAAGATAACTTGGAGGAAGGAAGCCAGTGCTAAGGATGGCGGAGTAGGCAGATGGATGAACTGGCTGCCTGTTGACCCTTGTCCCAGAAAACCTGCTTCCTGTTTGAGGACGGAACAGAAAGAGCAATAGAATCCTTTTTCTGTGCAAGAGAAATTAAGCCTGACTCTTTTCGGAGCCCTTGCTATTTTATACATTTTCCCTTGTATCTAGCTGAATTGATAGAAACTTATCAATGTATTAATCAACACTCCGTAAGTGATTTGTCCAGTGAGAACAGCTAAAATAATACATTTTCTGTCATCATTAAAAATCCTGTGATTTTTAGTCCAATAAATGTTTTAAAGGGCAGGATGAAGAGAAGAGCTACAAGACCCTGTAACAGAAGCCCTCACTCGCAGGGTTATCACTCCTAAAACAAAAGATAAGCAGGAAAACCACAGTGGATAAGATCTGCTGTCAACCTTAGCTTTTCTGATTACACAAAGTGCAATAACATCTATTTTTTTTAATCCGAAGGAATCCTCTGACACCACCAAGCATCCTGCCCACTCCTCCTTCCTGAGCGCTCAACTTCCTTCTGATCTATTGTCGGCTTTTCCTTGCCTGAGCTCTGTGATCTAACCAGAACCCAACGGAACCTATAGAGAGTCCAATCCTTGCCCGACAGCCCTGAGCCAGGCCCATAGCTGCCTAGCCTACAGCACTGGGGGCAGAGGGAGGTCCTCTGGATTATGGCACAGGGGGAAGTTGCAGGAAAAACTCCCCACAAATTAGCACCATCTACAATTGACCAACAAAGTGCAGATACTTCTCAGCATTCAAAGCCTAAACAATCAGGATGGAGACGTATAAAGCATTCAATGCTTCACGTTGGCAGGACGATACCAGGTATTTCACTGACAGGTGAAATAGCAGAGTGACGGGACAGAGTGATCAAGGCAGAGTGATCTAAAGGACACAGTAGTACTTCTTTAGGACCCTGGCAGAATGGAAGAGAGCATCTGGCTTCTAAGGCACTGCACAAACTTGAATGATCTTCTTCAGAATTGACAAGGAAAGGCCATGTTATGTTCACCCTGGGTTAAGTTTTAAGTGTATCTTATTTAATTTTTTTCAATATGAGTCATCTCCAGATACTGTGATGATTTCCAAATAACCAGAATCTAGATGACTAGAAATTTACTCTAGCTGGCTTTAGACAGGAAGCGTGAGGACAGAATCCAGCTGCTTCCACTCCAGGGTAGGTCTGAAGCCAACCGTCCTCGGTTTCCTGGCCTGTGGCATCAGTCTGGTTGGATTACACACAAAGCCCTGCAGATCTGCTGCTTTTCCTGATTCTCCTGTCCTGAGTGAGTGCAAGGGGCTCCCCTGTCGTCGATGTGTTCTTTGAAGCAGATGCTGTGCCTGATACCTGCTGGAGAGTCCCACCGCCTTGAGTGAGTCAACAAACCTATCATCCTTCCCATCTTCCAGGATGGATATTGGGGTGGGGGGAGGTTAAAGGGAATACCATAAAGTTGCTACCATACGGTTAGGGCTGAATACAATGGGAGTACTTATTGTGATGATGTCAATGATGATGACAGTGATGATGATGATGATGATGATATCTAGAACTCCAGGTTTTCCTGGAGAGAACCAAGGAGGATTCCCCACTTACCTAATAAATAAATGTCCTGTAAATGCAGAACATGCCATGTAATTGATGACACAAGCGGGATCTCACTTCTGGGGGATGAGAATCAATTCTTTATGGATTCCCACAGGGCAGAGGGACCCGGGTGGAGATACTAAGCTGTCTGTTGTATTTCCGAACGAATGAGTACGTACGTAACAGTTATCGTGTCTCCTTGTAACTCGTGTGCTAATCATAAAATCTTCACAAGGATTCATGACATTCGTGCTATGACTATTCTCATTTTACAGTGAGGAAGGCGGGACACCTAGGAATTAAGTAACTTGCCAACATAGGGACGAGCTCACCACACAACAACCAAGGGTGGGGATACCAGTCAGGTACTGCGGAAAACACTGGACATGAGGTAGACCAGGTGCACCAGGTCCAGGTGCTGATGAGAGGTGGAGAGTGGGAGACAGGGTCAGTGAGCCACAGGCCAGTCCCTAGGCTGAGGGCAATATGACAACAGGACATTGGCCAACTTCCAGCTGTCATCACTGTCTGTGTTTCATTTTCACAGTTCGATTAATAAATGCTCTATATTCAGGGATGCCTGCGGCCTTATTTCTTGATGACAGAAGTGATAATATCAGTCCCCCCACAGGCTTGTTCCTCATGGGTAGGAGGTGACTCAACTCCTAATGTCCAGACAACTGCCCAAATTCTGCATGAAAAAAAACATGATCAATGTCTGGGATAAAAATCAGCCACCTTAAAACCCTTTAAAGGATTGAAGGCCATGGGACCCAGTCATAAGCACATGTCTGGGGCCCGGCACCTTCTCTGAAACAAGGATGATCGAATGTTGGTGTCCATACCGCATGGAAGAGCTGTCTAACGCAGTTTGCCTTTGATTGGCTCCCGTCTCCATGAAGGTGGCACGTCTCCGACTGCTTACAAGGAGACAGGGTCTCACCCTGAGAGGACTCACCCAGAGAAACAAGCGGAGCTGCTCTACTGGCTTAGAAATGCCTGGCACCTGACTTGTGGAGGCTTCTAGTTGGCGTGAAATTGTTAGCCTTGGAAACAACTGCTGCTCACATTGGAACTGCAGGATCTTTCTTGAAAAAGCCATGGAACTAACTCAAGGGCCACAAGCCCAAATGCCTTCAGAGGGCAGATTAATAAGAGAGTCTAGCAGAGTTAGTGCTGATGGAGTTCCTTCTCCATCCAGGCCCTGTTCCGGCGGCCGGGCAGATGCTAACCCATGGGGACCACACAGCAGCCCCACGAGGCTGGCAGGCCCTCAGCCTGGCTTCTGAGCCTCGCTGTAATCGCACTCTCCAAGCTTTGTGGCATTAGGGTGTGACAGGGCCTGAGATCCGGAGAGTGTGGACCCCACCCACAGTTATCTCAACACAAAAAAACAATCCTGAGCAGGCCAAACAGAACCTGGTGGGGGATGCCTTCACCAGGGCTGCATCTGGTCCCAGAGCTGCTGGTTTGCAGCCCAACTATTTCGTTTTATTTTTTTAATTTTCTCAATATTTATCTTCTTTTATCTATAAACGAGTAAGGTTCTGGGGAGGTTTTCTTCCTTGGAATCTTGTTCTCTCATTTTAAGCTGACTTAATCTTCCCACGCTACACGTCACATGCAGAGCGCCAACTTTGAAGTTCACTCGGTGACCGACTCTCCCGCCCAATCCCTCGGCGAGGGTGACGTGCAAGCGGAACATCTCAAGGCTCCAGATGCAGGCTCAGCCCTCAGCTGCCCTGGCCTTAATAAACACTAGATTTTTCATTTCAGAAACTATGTTCAACCTGTTGCCTCAAGACAACCTAAAAATCGTCAACATTAGCCAAAGGTTGGAAGCCAAATGTGTTAGCTCCTGCCTCAGAGACAGATCCCTTAGCAGAGGGGGTCTCTCAGCAGAAGCCCAGAGGAGCTGGGACCCAAGCTGGGAGCTGGTCACTTACATAAGGGGGGCATCCTAAGTCGATTTTAACCCGAGATCCACCAGCCAAGCCTTCCTACGGGGGGCCGGCCAGCCACCGTGCTGTGCTGAGGAGCAGATTGAACATTCTCTTAGCTGCTCCAATTTTAGAATTGGGTGCTGACTCATTATTAACTCAGGAAGCCCACACACTCAAATGACTGTACTGAAAAAGCTCCCTGTCATACCCTGCCTACTGATGTGTTGCTTTTTAAGCAAATTTGAAAAATGTTTATCATAAGGTATTTATGACATTTTAACCGTTTCATTTACAGTAACTAGAACAACATTAAAAAAAAAATGTTTCCTGTATTTTACTTGACAGTAAAGCTAAGCTTCATCGGAATACTAACAGCCTGAGAAATACCTATCAAGATCAAGTCAGGCCTCAAAGACTGAGTGGCCCCCTCCTCAGTCCTCCCCAGTCCCCCACCCCCAGCGCTGGCCCCCAGCATTTTTACGTTCTTCCTGATTTTACTACAGTTTGTGACTTTCAACGTTAAGGAAAAGGAAAGGACGTAAAATACGCTCCTGCAATCATTCATATGCTTTTAGAGAAGGCAGCCAAAGTTCTGCCTCTCTGGTATTTCTCACACTGAAATTGGGCAGCTCTGACCACGAGGCCAGAAATGGCTCAGGAGCTGCCTCTCCTCCACCTCTGAGAAGCGGAAGCTCACCCAACCTCAGCAACCCTGGGTTAGCACAAGTATACCCACTTCCATCTCTGAGCTTCACTTTGGCTTCTCAGAGGAGTCCCGAGCAGCTTATTTTCCAGCCAAGCACTGCAGTCTCTTCCAAGACAACAGAAGGTGCAACCGGCATCTACATTCTTACAACGAAGGACTGAGAAACACCTCCTGACAGTCACACTACAGGACAGTAACCATGGGGCTGGTGACAGAGGCAGCCACTTTTCTAAAACGACAGATCTTCAAAGTCTGAAAGAAACGCAGTGTCCTCACCAGGACGCAGCAGCCTTTCCCACAGCCCAGACTCCAAGGCAAACTGCAGAAGCAACCCTAAAAATGACAGAAACATACTCACCAGGGAGAGGCTGGTGGCTCCACCTTCCCAGGAACTGTGCTGTGAAGATCTGAAGACAGGCACGGGCTCAGGCACCGCTTGTCTGGAATGTCAATTTGAAACTTAAAAAGCAGCGACCATCCAGTCATTTATTTCCCTCCATTCCCAATGATGTACACACGACTAAGAAGGAAAAAAAAAAAAGGCGCACACCTCAGCCTTCATTCTCATTGGAACGAGATGACTCATGCTGACTCATAGCCACCACTTCCTCTCCCGACATTCTCTTCATACTTGTGAGCTGGACTGGTCCGGTTCCCAGGGTCCCTGCAGCCCTTCCTGGAAGAGCAGCCTTCCTGATCCTCTCAGAGAGACCCAAACACTGACCCCACATGGGACCCAGGGGTCGCCCACACAGGGGAAATGCTTTATTTAGGAGTCTTGAGAACAACTGGAAAATAAAATGCATGAACTTTGTGTGCATTTGAATTTCAAATACATACTCAGATTTTGTAATGTGCTACAGGCTCATGTATGAAATTCTTGCTCTTTTCAAGGCAGTTCAGAGTAGAGAGAAGCATAAGATACTTTCTTATTCTTTTAGGTGTTCAGATTTACTTTGCTCTGGTAATAACTATTTCGGTGCCTGTTTTCTTCTGCATGTATTCCTCTGACATAACAATTCACAAGATCTAAAATCATCATCTCTTCAAAGCTGTCTGTTAGCGGGGTTCGTGCCCTGTTTATAAGTTTACATGACTTACCTCTTTTCTATCCATCTTTCAGACTTCAAGAATATTCTAGATTCAAATAGTAAAGCACCAAGGAATTAAATGAAGGTAGAGCAATCCAACTCTTAATAGTTGTTGGAGAATGTTTATCTGCAAGAATCAAGAATTGTCGCTGCCTCCTGGTTTTCTTTTGAATAATGCAGAGGGCCGGGCAGCCTCCCACAGCTTCAAGCATTTTTAAATTATGAGAAGCACTGGGTGTGAGCAGAATCCATGTGATCCTTAGCAGCTGCTCAAGAAGCCACCAAAGGCTACTGTGATTTCATTTGCCCAACTCAAGGTTTCTGGGGGGTGACACAGTCAAAGTCATGGATGAACAATGGTGCCCTTGGAGCCTTTTTTGGCTTAGTACCTGATGCTATGTAGGCTATATTCTGATATAGACTTAGAGTAAATAAGGAAATAATATTTTGTCCGAGGCATGAGACCCAGTTTTCACCTACAGCTAGATTTATCTTAGGGAAAAAATATTTATTCCTTTGCCACATCTCAAATCTTTTATCGGGAAATTCAGGGCATTTTTTTCCATCAGGCAATACCAAGTGCGGTGAGTTCCCTATGAAAGTTGTAGCATATTGGCCATTTGGCCAAATAGTCTCATTCCTTGCAGTTTTGTGTTTTATGGTTTTTTTCCCCCAGGAGAGTTCAAAGCCTGCTGGTTTTCCAGAATTTAGGAATGTCTGTATTGTGCAATTCATTGCAGTGCATTTCCTTTAGAGAAGAGTGGAGAACAGGAAGGAGGCACAGCCCCAGAGACTGCTTTGAGCCCAGCCCCTGTCATCCACAAGGGGCTTGCTTGCCTGAGGCCCCAGGGGCGTGGCAGCCCCACTAGAAGAATGCATTGACCAGGAGCTCTGCAGAGGATGTGGGTTGTTATGTTTGTTCTCTATGTGGAAAGCCAGCCTTTACCTTCTTTATGAAGACTTTTACTTTTATTAAGTTAACTCATTAATTCCTAGGAGAACTGAAAATAAAAATTAATTTCAAAAAATAACACCAGGGATGAAAGAAAGAAACGTGAAATAGTTAGAAAACATGGGCTCCAAGCAGGGCCACACCTTCCTGCCATATTAGAAGTGGTTTCTTCCACAGTGGCACTGTTATAGGAGCCTTCTGGATCATTCTGAGGCTTTAGACACAGCCAGGGTCCCGAAAGAGCAATTTGGACTGCCACCATGGAGAGTGAGTGAAACTGTGTCCCCCCCAGTGTCGCATTCGAAGATAATCCCACAAATGCTAAATCTTAATTCCTGATTGACTTCAGCCCTTCTCATTTGGAAATGGGCTGGAAAGTGGGGAAAAGGTGCTAGTGTGAGAAGAGGGAGGCCATTCCCAATATACTAATAAATAAATCATTCATTGAGGCATATGAGCACCAGCCCCCACATAATTGCTAATATGGAACTTTCTGGAGTAGATTATCTTTAAGCTGGCTCTGAATATTCCACCAGAAAGGAAACAATGATGACATTTTATACACCGCTACATTGAAAACACGGAACATCTGCATGCTCTTTCCCCAAAGAAAATAGCACTGGAAAAATGTAGGTTGCACGAAATTAGGAAAACAAAACAAATTTCATTTCTAAAGACAGTGTACATTCCAGCATGTCAGAGAATTATTATAAATAATGATGATTCACAGTAAAACTATCTAATATGTGCCAATAACTCTCCAAAACACACACAGGTATTAAGTCTTCTGATCCTTCCGGTAGGTCTATACCAAAAATAGTGATATCCTGCCCACTTTTTAGCAAAGAAACAGAGGTGTTCAGGAGCCTTCCCAAGGCTGCAAAGCCTGGATGTGAGCCCAGGCCTCCTGGCTTCAGAGTCCACATTCCTAACCACCAAGCCAGGCAAATTCCCACAAGTGACTTTTTAAACATCTTCGCACACACATTCCCTGAGCTCATGATGTATTCTCCCAAATTCTGCACACATACATGAGGCAAAGGCACTTTCTCTTCATTTGAGAAGTGAATCAAAATCCTAATTTTCAAGTGATCTGTCTCTTAAAATAATATCAATTCTATTTAATGAAAAGAGCCAATTAAAATTACACATTGGACACTTCCCAGAAAGTACCATGAAGCTGTCCACACTACCAATATCTCCAGCTGCGCTGCTCCTCCTACCTGGAGGACACAAGACTGTTAGAGGCCCTCACATCCCTTCCTTCACTTACACCTTCATAGCAGGTCTCTTCATCATCCTCCATCCAGGAGAAGTTTCATGCCCTCATTTCAAATCTAGACCCTCCCCCGTACACCTCATTTGTTCTCTAGGATTTTGCTCCTAACCAAATTTAGGCTCTTTCCTCCAACGTCTTTAATCGCTTCCTGTCTGTAGACCTAAACACAGGCTCAAGTCTCTTTCATCCCAGTAACACTATCCCTGCCTTTGACCCTGTGGAGTAGACCCAATGGGTTCCCCCACATTCATTCCATTCCTCCTCCATTGGCAGCAACCTTGACATTTGGTTAAGATGGACTCCACCCTCATAGCCAGGGGAGTCTTCTCATTGGCTATGCAAAATAAGGGCCACCCCTTGCCACTGTGAATGGCTCCTAGATGGGCTCCCAGGCCTATGTCAGTAAGGGCATGTTTTTTCTAGCCACCGTGGTAAGCTCAGGGGTGCCCAACTGGAGCAAAAACCCCAAGGCTACAGCGATTGCCTCAGGCAAGAAATAACAGGGAAGAATGCACAGAACTAAAGAGTCTCCTTCTTGCTTTAAAGTTTCAAAAGTTCAGGACAAGGTATTTGCTGTAGTTTAAATGTGTTCCTCAGAAGTTGATGTGTTGGAAACTTGGATACCAATGGAGCAATATGAGAGGTGGGGCCTTTCGGAGATGATTGGGTCATGAGGGCTCTGCTCTCATGAATGGACCCATTCATAAATTAATGGATTAATGGGTTATCACAAAAGTGGGTCTCATATGAAAGCCACTTTGGCCGTCTCTGGTGGGTCCTCTCACCGTGTGTTGCCCTGAGCCATCTCAGGACTCTGCAGAGAGTCCCTACCAGTAAGAAGCCCCTCACCAGTTGCAGCCCCTCAACCTTGGACTTCCCAGACTCCAGAATTGCTAAAAATAAATTTATCTTCTTTATAAACTAGTCAGCCTCAGGTGTTCAGTTATAGCAACAAAAAATAGACTAAGACAGTATTATAAAGAGAAAAATAAAAAACCTTGGAGGAATGGGTGAAGTCAGGCAACAATGTATAGTTGTACAGGTTATATACTGCACAACCCAATGGAGTAAATCCATACAAGTTGTGATGTGCCCAACCATATGTGGCAAAGCTAGGTGTAGAAACAGGCGATACCATCCCAAGCTCATATAAGGATTCCACAGGCTGGGTGATGAAGAGAGTTAGAAGGAAAGAGATAGAAGGAAGGGTGCGAACCCTGTTCCCCAAGAGGGGTGCTGGGAAGGAGAAGCATCATCACTCACTCCAGAGCAGTTTAGGGACTCTGAGAACAAAGAGACATCTGAAATTGGGATGATAGGATGTAAGAGTTTGATTGGCAGCTGGGCTCAGTGGCTCACACCTGTAATCTCAGCACTTTGGGAGGCCGAGGTGGGTGGATCACAAGGTCAGGTGATCGAGACCAGCCTGGCCAACATGGTGAAACCCTGTCTCTACTTAAAAATACAAATATTTGCCGGGCATGGTGGTGAGTACCTGTAATCCCAGCTACTGGGGAGGCTGAGGCAGGAGAATCGCTTGAACCTGAGAGGTGGAGGTTGCAGTGACCCAAGACTGTCACTGCACTCCAGCCTGGATGACAGAGCCATATAAAAAAAAAAAAAAAAAGAGTTTGAAAAGAGTTTAATTGGCAGTGCTTTCTTCTTCCTTAGTGGAACTTTAACTTAATGGTGCATCTTATAATTGAGGACATCTTAAATTGGATCTAATGTAGTCTGTAAAGTTAGGAAATTGCATGAGTTCACCACAGAAATGAACGTAGAAAAAGAAAGCAAGAACTGAGCCCTGCCCTGCAGCTTTAAGAGGTCAGGGAGTGAGGAGGAGCCAGCAAAGATGGGAGTGGGGGAAGTAAGGGCTGGTGAGGTGGAAGGGAAGCCTGGAGAGTGTAGGACCTTCAAGGGCAAGTGAAGAAGGTGCTTCAAGGAGGAGAGACTGATCACCTGCATAATCACTGCTGAAAGGTCATGTAAGGTGGAGACAGAAAAGTATACATGGATTTGGCAAAAAAAAGGATTTGCTGGGGAAGAGGGGGTGAAACTCTGAATTGAGTGAGGAGAGAAAGGGGAAAGAAATTGAAGACAGAACAGACACTGCTTTCTAGAAATAAAGCTATAGCTGGAGGGGGAAATGAGGTCAAGAGAGATTTCCTTATTTGTTAAGATGGGAAAAATAATAGCCCATCCGTGTACTTGTTGATAGAAATAATTTGGTAGAAAGAGAAAAATTGATGATGCAAGAGAGAATGAGAAGGAATTTGGTGGGGTAGAAAGAAGGCTAGAACCTACTGCTCAAAGAGAGGGTTTGGCTATGGTGAGGGAGAATCTATCTACATGACAGGACATTGACCAGGCACGGAGGTATGCTCTTGTAGTTTTCATACTTTGTAATAAAAGAAACATCAATTTTAAAAACTCAACAACAAATAGAACATGAAAATAGTCTGTCTACTTAAAACCTTAAAACATTACAGATGAAACTAAAGTCTCCTTTGGTGATGTTGTGGGATTTTATTTATTTTGATGTCTGAGAACTATTCCATTGTATGGATATACCATAGGTTGTTCATCCATTCACCTGTTGAGGGAAATTTGTTTTGTTTTCCACATTGGCTGTGACAAACACAACTGCTGTAAACATTTGTGTACATGTTTTTGTATGGATGTAAGTTTTTCTTTTGTCTAAAGTAAATAGTTAATTTACTGCTGGGTGATATGGTAACTGTATGCTTACCCTTATAAGAAACTGTCAAACTTTCTCCAAAGTGACCATACAATCCATTTTGCATTTCCGCCAGCAATGTATGCATGAGAGACCAGTTGATCCTCATCCTTTCCCCTGCTGGTATTGTCAGTATTTTTAGTTTAGCTGCTCTAACATGTGAGTCATGGTGTCTCCTCATAGCTTTAATTTGCATGTCCCTAATGACTAATGATGCTGAGCATCTTTCCGTGTGCTCATTCTTTTCTCCACTTCTTAATCGGATTCTTTGTTTTCTTACTGTTGAGTTTAGAGCCACCTTTATACATTCTAGGTACAACCTTTTAGATCAAATATGTAATTTGCAAATATTTTCTCCCAGTCTATATCTGGTCTTTTCATCCTCTTTAACAATATATTTTGCAGAATAAAAGTATTTTGATGAAATCCAGTTGATGTTATCTTTTTTTTATGGATAGTGCTTTAGGTCTTCTAAGGAATATTTGCCTAACTCTAGTAATGAAGATTTTTCTCCTGTTTTATTCTAAAAGTTTTAGAGTTTTACATTTTATATTTAGGCATATTATCAATTCTAAGTTAATTTTTCACAATATGTGAGGTTTAGATTGAGGAGTTTTCTGACTGAGGATATCCAATAAAACACCATTTGTTAAAAAGTCTATCTTTCCTCCATTGAATTGTTTTTGGGACTTTGTAAAAAAAATCACTTGGCTGGCTGGGCATGGTGGCTTACGCCTGTAGTCCTAACACTTTGGGAGGCCAAGACAAGCAGATCACCTGAGGTCAGGAGTTTGAGACCAGCCTGGGCAACATGGTGAAACCCCATCTCTACTAAAACAGAAAAAATTACACAGGCATGGTGGTGCACGCCTGTAGTCCCAGCTACTCGGGAGGCCAAGGCAGGAGAATTGCTTGAACTTGGAAGAGGGAGGTTTCAGTGAGCCGAGATTGTACCATTGTGCTCCAACCTGGGCGACAGAGTAAGACTCCGTCTAAAAAAAAGAGAAATCACTTGGCCATATTATGTGCATTTATATTTGGACTTTCAATTCTGTTCCATTAATCTACCAGTCTATTCCTTTCCCAACACCACAATCTTGATTAATACAGCTATATGTTAAATCTTAAAATCAGGTAGTATGTTTCCTCCAACTTTATTCTTCTTTTTTCAAAATTATTTTGGCTATTCTTGGTTTTTTTCTATATAAATTCTAGTATCAGTTCATTTGTATCTACAAAATGTCCCCCCCTTGGATTTTGAAAGGAACTGCAGTAAACCTATCAATGAATTTGGGTAGAATCTACTTCTTTACTACATTAAGTCTTCCAATCTATAAACATGGTATAGCTATTTATATAGTCATAGTTTGGTGTCTCAAGCTATATGAGCTAAAAAGTATTTTCATTAAATACTTGGGTGTTGGTTTAGTGATTCTCAATAAGTCATTTTATTGTCTTTATAAGGCCCTAAATTAAACAACCCCTACAAGTATTCTTATGTATATGGCTACCAAGATTTGATGCACCCACCCTATTATTTGGGTGCTGAGAGTGGGCTGAAGTATTAATAGATTAAACAGCCCCTTACCCCTACCTTTTCCTTTTTAAGAAACTCAAGAGGCATCATTCTGCTCAAGCAAGGCCCTTGCTTTCTGTGAGGCCTCCAGTTTTCCACTGATCTTCCTGGCTCTGATGGTTCTTTTTTCTCCTCCCCTCTGCCTCTGCCCTGGGGCTATTTGCCAAGATTCCTAGCTCAAATCACCTCCCTTCTCACTTATTTAGAGACTTCATCTCCCAGCTCACAAGACTCATTCTCCTGGGCTGATGCTGGGGGTCCTCCCTCCACACCCCCATAAGCATTCCAAGAATGTCCATGCTTCTGGTTATGAAAGCTGGAATCCCCAAGCTCTCTTGGCTCTCACCGCTTCCATCTACCATCCATCCATCCAGAGGTGTGCTGGCAAATGTTTAGCAATCACATCTTCAAATATAAATGAATAAAGCAAACCCTAATTTGTAGTGTTTGCTGATTTCTCTAGTGTAAATTCTCCCCAATTGCCAATTGCAAACTACCAGCATGCTCTCACTGAAAGTGAGTTGGGCAGAGATGAACAAATTAGTTCCAAAACCCAGAACAAGTCACTGCCAACACACCACTGCATCCATCCATCATCAAACCTGTGTGAGCACAGATTGCATTTTGGGCTTAATTCTCATGTGCACAATAATAATATTCTTGTTAATGGGAGTCACATTGATTTCACTCATGCTGATGATGAAAGGATTTGAGGGGTAACCAAGTTCTGGGGGCAGCAAAAACCTGGAAATGGTGCTGCTGACTTGTGGAAAATGGTGCAGCATCCGTGGGTTCAATCCACTGAAAAGCAGAGTCCTGACTTCTTTGGTCATGTCTGTCTTCAGTTACATCGGAGGTGATGGGAGTGAGGAGACAAGGCACCATGGATAGTTCCGGTCCTTATGAACAAAGTAGCCCAGTGCATCTCACCTGCATGGCTACATCAGATTGTCAGAAAATCTGCCCAGCAGAATTTCCAATGCAGCACTGGATTCTCGTCACACTGCAGGGTATTATTCAAGGTCATAGACTCTGGGGGCCAGAATGCCTTGATTTGAATCTGGTTTCCACTGCTGGTTGTATGACCTCGGATAAATCACCTAACTTCTCTGAACCTCAGGGCAGTGGGCAGAATTCTAAAGATACTTCCCCAAGATTCCTGTCTCTGCTTTTTCAGTCAAACACTAATAATAGGTAATACTGCGAGAGGATTTTGTAAGTATAATAAAGTCCAAGTTAACTGACCACAAAATAAGGAGAATAGATGAGTAGGCCTGACCCAGTCAGGTGAGCCCTTTAAAAGCAAGGCATTGGCCAGGCGTGGTGGCTCACACCAGAAATCCCAACACTTTGGAAGCCTGAGGCGGAAGAATCACTTGAATCTAGGAGCTCAAGACCAGCTAGCAACATGGTGAGACCTTACCTATAAAAAAAATTAAAAATTTAGCCAGACATGGTGGTGCATGCCTGTAGTCCCAGCTACTCAGAGAGGCTGCAGTGAGCTGTGATCATGCCATTGCACTCCAGCATGGGTGACAGAATGAGACCTTGTCTCAAAAAAAAAAAAAAAAAAAAAAAAAAATTGCAGCGCGTTTTCTCTGGCTGAAAGCAGAAGAGGAAGTCAGAGACGCAAAGCAGGAGAAGGTCACGTGTCAGGAATTCGGGAGGTCTTTAAGCACTAAGAGCAACCCCCAGCTGACAGCCAGCAGTAAAACAGATACCTCTAGGTTATAGCCAGAAGGAATTGGATTCCACCAACAACTCCGATGAGCTTGCAAGTCAATTTTCCCCTAAAGCCTCCAGACATGAACCCAACCCCTTTGACATCTTGATTTTGGTTTGTGTGACCCTGAGCAGAGAACCCAGTGGAGTCTGCCCAGACTTCTGACCCACAGAACTGTGAACTCATAGATGGGGTTTGTTTTAATGTCACTCCATTTGCAGGAATTTGTTACACAGCATTAGAGAACTGACACGTTCAGCCAATTTACAAAATGGGGATAAGAGTTTCATACTCATAGGGTTACATAAGAATTAAAAATTAATATCCACAAATGTCTAGGATGATAATAAGAACAATCTCTAAGTACTGGCTATTTTTCGTATGTGCCATGGAGCTGGTAAAACCCAAATACGTGTGGTTGATGATTTGAAAGTTTTTCCACCAATACAGTATTTGAGTCACAGGCTGCAGTCAAAAGTCTAGAATTTTAAATAAATGAATCATACACTAAATATGCATCATCTTTTGAAACTCAGTGCCTATGAGTAAATCTCGATGATCATAACACATTACTCAACAAAGCAGACCATAATAAAGAAGATATCAGAACACATGGAGCAAAAGACAGTAAGTTTGGGACTCAACCATTCAACTAATCTTTAATGAATACACACCAGATGCCAAGCTCCAACTCAGGTCCTGGGACACAGCAAGAAGAAGACACAAAAGATCCCTGTTCTCGTGAAGCTTATGTTCTAGGAGGGTGAGACAGAAAATAAGTACATGAGAAAAGTACAAGCTAGTGAATTGAACAGTGCAAAAAATTAGCATAGGGTAGGAGGGAAATACTTGAGATGGGCAGGTCATCTAGGAAGGTCACTCTGGAGAGGTGCCATTTAAGCTGAGATCTGAATGATGTCCAGGAGCCAGTCAGCAGCATTCCAGGACAAGAGAGCAGCTGTCGCCAAGACCCCAAGACACAAAGGAACAAGTAAGAGTCCCCAGGATGGCTGCTGCTTAGTAAGCAACAGCAAGAGAAGATGGGATGGGGCTGGAGAAGGTGGCAAGGAAGGAGCTTGAATTTTATGCCAGGTGTGATGAGGAGACACTGGAGGCTTTTAAACAGGAGAGTGACATGATCTGACTTGAATTTTCTGAGGACAACTTTTTCTGTTTTCTTTTTTTTTTTTTTTTGGACAGGGTCTCGCTCTGTTGCGGGCTGGAGTTCAGTGACGTGATCATGGCTCACTGCAGCCTCAACCTCCTGGGCTCAAGTGATCCTCACACCTCAGCCTCCCAAATAGCTGGAACTACAGATGCACACCACCACTGCTGGCTAATTTTTGTAGTTCTTATAGAGACAGGGTTTCACTATGTTGCCCAGTCTGGTCTTGAACTTCTGAGCTCAAGAAATCCAGCTGCCTCAGCCTCCCAAAGTGCGGGAATTACAGGCATGTGCCACCAAGCCCAGCCTCTGAGGATAACTCTTACTGCTAAGTGTGAAGCCCTTGTGTAGGACCAAGTGGAAACAAGGGAGATCAGTGGGTCCCCTTGGGGTCTGATGAGTGTAACAGAGACGGAAAGATGAGGACCTGTTTGAGTAATGTTTTGGAGATAGAGTTGTTGGATGGATTGGGTTCGAGGGCAGTGATGGAGAGAGATGAATCAAGCATAACCCTTCGATTTTTGGTTTGAGTAACTGAGGAGTGCCACTTACAGAGATGGGTGGTGTGAAATCCCAGATTTGGTTTTGGCCATCTTAATTTGGACGTGCCTATCAGATATCCACGTGGAGATGTTGAGTAGGCTTAGAATTCTTGGGAAAAGTCAATATTAGAGGCAGATTCAAGAGTTAATGTTCTACAGATGGAATTAAAGACCTGGCCTGGATGAGAGATAGAGAGAGAATATGTGGAGAAAGATGAGAATGGAACCCAGCACCCTCAGCCAGTGAGGGTGAGGTTGGAAGAAAACCAAGAAAATCACTGCTCAGAAGCCAAGGAGTGAGCGTACCAAGAAGGCAGGAGAGGTCCACCTGCCAGCACTGCTGAGAGGTCAAGTCAGACAGGAGCAGAGCAGGATGCACTGACCTGGCCACATGGAGGCCATGGTGACCAGGGAGATGGCCCCGGCAGCCTCCATGAGTGAGGCACAGGAGCTTGGCTGCAGGGAGTGGGTGCAGCACCCATAGACAATGCTTTCAAAAAGGGAAGCAGGAAAATGGGATCTGGAGCATCCTTTGAGGCCCCACCAAGTACAGTGATGGCAATTGAATGATAGAGGCCTGGGATCCACCAGCCGGCTTCTGAGTATTGCAGTTATCCTACAAATGGAGAAGGCAGGTCAGCATGGAATTAGATGGGTGCTGCTAAAGAGTGCATGGTCCGTGAGTGTGCAATGACATCATGCAGTCCGGGCAAACACGTTTTTCTTGGTATCAACTATTTCTAGTTTGGTGAAGACAGACTACGTATTTGAAATACTAGCAAGAAAACCATAAAGTAAAACTATTATTAAGAGCCAAGGCAGTTTAAATTCTTCAGTTTTGGCTAACGGGAAGAACTTATAAGTGGTTTCTTTTTGTTGTAAGCAAGGGTGGATGATAGCCTTCATCATTTTGCTTGATTTGATGTAACTGGGAAGTTTCTTAGGCTTGATAACTGGCAAAACAAAATCCTTGACACCTAAATAACCCTTTGGTCTAATGCATACTGCCAAGAGATCAGACGGAGCCTGATCTACCATCTTGTTTCTTAGCTGAGTGATTCTTTCATAGCTTAATTTTCACTTAATTATTCCATGCCCCTAATGACTCCCTCAAAAACACTACAAGGACAAATACACCCTAAGCAATCTGAGTTTGCCCTCTGAAAAGTTCATAATTAAAAACTTTACCTGTATTGAAAAAAAATCAGCACACTTCCTGACCACTACTACTGAGTTGTTGAATTTAATCAGACATGGACTTGATAGAGTGCATTCATCTCTAGTGGCTGTTAATGGGAACCAGTGAGTCAAATCTCATGTCTAACAGGGGCCAGCCTGACTGAGGGCCTGAGAGGAGGTTCTCAGGTCAGCACTGGGTCCAACACAGTCCCTCCCATCCCAGGCATCGCCCACCTCTTCACAGCCTATCATCATCACAGTGTCTGCCTGTCCTTCCTGCCTCTGACCTGCACACTCCACTCCTTCTGTGAACTGCTTCTTTCACTTTTGTGATGACACAAAGTCATAGATCTGATCGGGCCACTCTGGGTTTCACATCTGCACAGCTTCTCGGGGCCCTTGTGTGGCTTCAAGGTTTGTCCCTGAGACAAACAGACCCAGAGTGGAACGTAGCTCCCAACTCAGTGGCCTTGAGAAAGAGCCCTTCCTGAGCCTTTGTTTCCTCATTTGTAAATTGAGAATAGCCCTGGTCATGAGAGAGTCCTCGTGCCCCCACCCTGGTGAGGATGAAGTGAGATGATGCAGATGGTGAGGTTCACAGAGGGCCAGGCCCTTAGCGCCCAGCAAATGGCAGCTCTTTGTAGCGGATATGCTATTGTTCTGTCTAACAAACTGCACCCTTTCCTGGGGGACCCTCTCCTTCCCTTCATGTGGTCCTAAAGTTCTGTCATCTTACTCTGCTTCTCACCCTAAACCACCTATCATTAGGTCTGGCTGCACATTTCTGGAAAAATACAGCAATGCATTAAGTCAGGACTTCTTTTTCTCTTTCATGTAAAAGTAGCCTGGCATAGGAAGCACAGGCCGAGGGTGCAGCCCCAAAGCATTGCTAGGAAATTGGGCCCCTGTGTTCCTGATCCACCATCCCAGAGCCTGGCTTTCATCTTCAAAGTGGCTTCACAGCCCAGGATGGCTGCTGGCACTCCAGCCAGCAAGTCCGTATTCCCCATATTGACAGTAGGAGGAAGTGAGGGACGACAGAAAAATGTGTAACGCCATCTCTTCCCACCGTGACGGAGCCTACTGAAAACTCCACATAATGGTTCCACGTATGGAACTAGATCACCTGGGCTCACCTAGCTGCAGACTAGTCTAGAAAATGTGATCTTTTCACTGACACAATGCCATCTGAAATAGAAGTTTTTTAAATTAAGCAAGAAGGGGAGAGGGGTATCTGTTGTCAAGTAGTAGTGTCTGCCAAGGCAGGGGGCCCCAGGCTGGACATGAGTGCCCTTCCATGGGATCTGGTCTGCAACACTGGCAGAGGGATGGTCTGCATTCTCTATAGGTCATGGGCTGGAGGGACACAGTTGTACACAGAGGAACATGAGCCAGGGGAGGGAGAGAGGAGCAAGGCTGCCCTTGGGCTTTGGCTGGGGAAAAACTGATCCCCTCTAGACCCAAGTGAGTTTGAGTAGAGTCTCCAATGCTGTCATGTTGATTAAAGCACCACAGTTATGACTGTTTATTCTAGTGAGAAGGTCATTCTATATAAGCTGATTATTGACATTAATAATACCCAAGTGACATCAGGGACTCCTCCAGCTGCATCCTCTCCCCAACCCCAAAGCTCCCTGCAGCCCCTTCCTCCATGCTGCCTCCTCGCAGGGTCTCAAACCAAAAGCCCCTTTTCTTCTCTCCCTGCCTACACCTGTGCTCCCCCCACCCCCAGCCTGCTCATTTCTCCTCCAGCCCCTCTCTCCAAGCAAATTCCTTCTTCGTCTTGAAGACCAGATTCAAATGTCACCTCCTAAGCGGAACTTTCCCCAACTCCTTTGCATTCACTTGAGTCCCTAATGTTTGAATGATCTTTCATATTTTGCTGCAAGGCTTTACTCCTCCACTAAATTGAAAACACCAAGAGGGAAATTTTCCACCCTTCCCACACACACACTCCCACAGGTGACCATAAACACTTGTCACTGAATGACTGAATGAATGGCAAGTGGATGAGGTTTGGCCAATGCAAGCTCTACCCAAGCAGAAGCCTTCTGAGTGAGGGTTGCTGGGTGTGAACCTCACTCTGCCTCCACTGCCTCCTCTGTAAAAGAAAGATAACAATTCTGACATCTCTCTCAAAAGATTCACAATGCCTGACACAGTGTAGAACCTCAACTAATGTCAGCCATTCATATCGGTACTGTTTTACTGCACGTCGTCAACTCTGCGGCGCATATTTCTTTTTCACATTGTAATGGCACTTGCTTTATACGGCACGACATGGTTTAACTGGCAGAGGTTTGGGGTTTTTGGGTTTTTTGGGTTTTTTTGGTTTATTTTTTTCCCCTTGGTGATGCAACCAATGCTGTTTAGAAGTCAACGGAATTGTTGTTCTTAGGAAAGGAATAGAGTTCAGAAATTCAGGGCTTTGCAAAGTCAGAAAAGTCGACTGCTTATAAAGCCCAAATATTAGAGATGAGACTGTGCTGGCCTTTGAGTGGTCAAGGTCTGAAACGGCTCAGAATGAGATGAAGGGAAAGGACTGGCGTTTGCCATATGGTGTTCCGGAAGAGTCAAGGTAGCCACCATTCCATCAAATGAGAGTGAGGGAAGGGGCACAAAAGAAAAGCAATAAAGCAGGTCTGAGGCATAGGTCTTGGCAAGAATTCAGTGTGACTGCTGCCAGGGAGCTGATGAGAAGCAACTAGGTCAGAAGCTGACTGTGTTTTTGTGGATCCTGAATTGTCAAAGAAACCATGAGTTAAAAATATATTTTATGGATAAATTGGAATATTATTCAGCCATAAAAAGAATGAAATATTAATACATGCTTCAACATGGACAAGCCTTGAATACATTATGCAAAGTGGACACACACTACATGATTCCATTGATATGAAATATTCAGAATAGGCAAGTCCATTCAGATAGAAAGTAGTTTAGCGGTTGTCAGGGGCTGGGGGGGAGGTGGGAATGAGAATAATTGCTTAATGAGTACAAGGTTTCCTTTTGGGGTGAGGAAAATGTTCTGGAACCAGATAGAAGTGGTGGTTGTACGATGTTGTGGTTGTCCTAAATGCCGCTGAATTTGTTCATTTTTAAATGGTAATTTTATGTTACCTGAATTTCACCGCCCTCCCTTTTTTTTCTTTTTTTCTTTCGGAGACAGTGTTTGGTTCTGTTACCCAGGCTGGAGTGCAGTGGTGAGTTCATGACTCACCGCAGCCTCGACCTCCTGGGCTAAAGCAATCCTCCCACCTCAGCCTCCTGAGTAGCTGGGACTACAGGCATGTACCACCACATCCAGCTAATTGTTTTGTTTTTTTGTAGAGCTGAGGTCTCACTGCATGGTCCAGGCTGGTCTCAAACTCCTGGGCTCAAGGGATCCTCCGGCCTCAGCCTCCCAAAGTGCTAGGACTACAGGCGTGAACCACTGTGCCCCACGACATCTCAATTTTTTTTAAAGGCATTCGACTATTCAACGGTGGAACCTCCAACCTTCAGCAGCAGCAAGTGGGAAGGAGGAGCTGTGCAGACCCCACTAAGGGCATGTCCCTAATCCCATATCATACACAGCTATCCAGAGTGAGAGACCAGAGGGTCTCTCTGAGCACAAGCTAGGGGCCCCAGAGGACAGTGAGTAGAGAGGTTCCCCAGGGATAAACCAGAACACCAGGGGGAAAGGCCTCCCACTGCATGCTCAGAAGGTTTATTGCTAGGCGGGGGCCCCTGTGTGCCTCCCGTCTGCTCCTCTTAGAATGGTGGTGCTGTTGCTATTATCCTGCCCCTGTTCTACTGTAGGGTACCGAGCTGTGTGTGGCAGCTAATTTATTGCTTTATTATCTGTTTATAGGCTTCTGGGTCGAGAAAGGCCAAGTTGCACACTACTGAGAGACTGCCATGCACCCCCTGGAGGCCTCAGAACATTCGACATGCTTCAGTCATGGCCACGGCAGTGACTGCTGATTGCCTAACCCCACATGTGTTCTCCCCCTTCCCTGATAATCAAGCCCCTGATTTTCAGCTGGGCACAAAATAATTCTTCCTAGAACAACTCCATGTGTGTTATCGCCCTTGCAGCTGGGGGTGGCCACCACTGGGGAGAGGCAGGGTGAAGAGGTGGAAGGAGCCTGAGTTAGCAGGGATGAGCAGTGGCCAGGTAACCCCAGACCCACTATCCTCTGGATTTCTTTTATGTGAAACAATAAAATGTCTTGTATTCGAGCCTTTGTTACTGTAGGTTTCTGCTATATGCAACGAACCGTTAAGTGTAATTGATACAGTGGGCCCCATCCTAATCAACTCTGGGTACCACATTGTAAAAATCTGCAGTGTGGCTGTAACCCCACCATAATTTGCGATTTGGTGAACTTCCTTATTCTCTTAGATCTTTCAGAAATTGACTAGGGAACTAACAGTTTCCCACAAAACTACCCCACATTTTCATAGTAGGAAACTGCAACAAGGAACTTAACAAGTTCCTTGTTGGCAAGACAGTTATCCCTGAGCCTGCAGGCCGCCTCTCTGGCCACTGAAGTTTCTAGACAGGCCTGCAAAGCAGTAAAGGAAAGCAGCATTGATCACTGCGTCCCTCTGTACAATATTTACTTGAAAAATAATTGCAAAATACCTTGATTTTACCCAGGATATTTTTCAGCATGTCCCAAAGAGGAAATTCATTTCTGATGTAGTTTGTGGATTTTTTGTTTTTATTTTCATATTGTTTTTGTTTTGCTTTCATTTCATGGGCAGTTTCGCCCACTGATTACCCAGTGGACAATTGCTCCCACCAGTTTCTGTTTAATGTTTATATTATTAATTGTGAAAAAATATGAATTAACCAAGATAGCAGCTGCTTGTTAGAGTAACATAAATTTCTTTTATCAGATATTCTTAAAGCTGGGGAAAAGTATTAAAATATGCAAAATATGTAAATTTTAATATAAAGTTTATTTTTGTATGATTATAAAAGTTATAAATGCTGCCTGGGGATAACCTAGAAAATTAGAAGAGTAGAGCGTATTTTTTTTTTTTTTTTTTTTGAGACAGAGTCTCATCTGTCACCCAGGCTGGAGTGCAATGGCATGATCTTGGCTCACTGCAATCTCTGCCTCCCGGGTTCAAGTGATTCTTCTGCCTCAGCCTCCCAAGTAGCTGGGACTACAGGTGCATGCCACCACACCTGGCTTATTTTTGTATTTTTAGTAGAGACGGGGTTTCACCATGTTGGCCAGGCTGGTCTTGAACTCCTGACCTCTTGATCCACCCACCTCAGCCTCCCAAAGTGCTGGGATTACAGGCATGAGCCACTGTGCCCAGCCAAGTAGAGCATATTAATCCCACCTTCCAAAGCCACACACTATTAATATTTTCCTATATTTCCTTCTGCTCTCTCTCTGTTTACAGAGTTGTAGTTACACTGTATACATTGCTTAGGACTCTACTTTATTTCACTTAACATGACAACATAAGCATTTTTCCACATTATTAAAACTCCCTGGTACCCACAGCTAAGTTCTATTTTTATGGTGAAGCATAGCTGGTTCTCAGTGGGCTCTGCTACCCAGCCTTAATCACACAAAGACAAGTTATCAGGTTCCCTCTGAAGTCCTGGGCTGCCCCTTGCCTACTGAGCAGGAACCAGAACTAAGGCTGGCATGGAGGGGAAGGACAGGCCAAATATTGTTTGGCTGCCTGCTCCCTCTCAAGAGCCAGCTTGCAGCCTGTTAAGGGGCCCTGCTGATCCAGAAGTTCTTTCTTGTAGAAACACACACTGGCTTTGAACCAAGGAAGCAGGCTTACTGCTGCAGCCCCAGGGGGAAAATCCAGACACAGAATAAAAAAGTAAACTATGCCAGTGATTGTACGGTGAGATAGCAGGACTGCTCATTTTAATTTCCAGAAAAGAGTCGTCCTTAATCACAGACATGACAAAGGCTGCCCAGCAGACTTCACCCCTGCTTTCCTCATGGTGAGCGCACTGGAGATTTCAAAAAGCCTGTGGACTAGGACCGGGGGGACAGCAGACACAGCCCACTGGGCAGCCCTGGGTGTTGACCACCAGAGTGGACTCGGGGCCAGGCTCCTGGTGAGCGATTTGGCTTCCCTGAAGCAAAACATCTTTTCTGTAGAAATGCAGTGACAGGGCAGGGGCTTTGCTTATTTGTTCACTCCTGTGTCTCCAGCATCTACAACATGCCAGGCACATACTGTAGTATTTGGTAGAGTTTATTGAATAATGACTCTTTTTGCCAACTCCCTTGAATGTTGACAATTAGAACCCAGTTTGAGTTCACAACCATTTCCTTGTGAAGGAACAAATGCCTCCAGGGACACATGCACTTAGCAGTCACTCTTTCCAGGTATGGCTCAGCCTTCGCAGCTTGCTGCTTCTTCACTGCCCTGCACCCCATGGTAAGGTGGGCATGGCTTCAGCAAAAGAACGGCAGAGGGACGTGGGGAAGTAGACACTACCCAGAAGAGAAGAGGTGCAAGTGATCATAGATAGACTTCTCAATTTCAAAATGTGGCTCAGCATATTCATCTTCTTCCAATCGTTTTTCCTTCCCTGTTTCTTTCTCTTTTTTTTTTTTTTGAGACAGAGTCTCACTCTGTCACTCAGGCTGGAGTGCAGCAGTGCAATCTCAGCTCACTGCAACCTCTGACTCCTGGGTTCAAGCAATTCTCCTGTCCCAGCCTCCCAAGTAGCTGGATTATGTCAACTAGTAGTGTCTGCCAAGGCAGGGGGCCCCAGGCTGGACATGAGTGCCCTTCCATGGGATCTGGTCTCCAACACTGGCAGAGGGATGGTCTGCATTCTCTATAGGTCATGGGCTGGAGGGACACAGTTGTACACAGAGGAACATAAGCCAGGGGAGGGAGAGAGGAGCAAGGCTGCCCTTGGGCTTTGGCTGGGAAAAAACTGATCACCTCTAGACCCAAGTCTGCAGAACAGCTAATTTTTGTATTTTTAGTAGAGACAGGGTTTCACCATGTTGGCCAAGCTAGTCTCGAACTCCTGACCTCAGGTGATGCACCCGCCTCAGCCTCCCAAAGTGCTGGGCTTACAGGCGTGAGCCACCATACCCGGCCTCTCCTTCCCTATTACTTAATCTTTTATCTCCTCCTGGTTCCTAGGACCCAGAACTCAGGTTGGTACTCTTAATGCCATTTAAAGGTCAGCTGTATTAAGAGTTAAGTATGATAAGCAGTCCTGTGCACAATTTTTATCATTTTATTTCTGGAAAAATGCAATGACAGCTTTGACTTTAAAAGAATATTTTGGATCACATGTATGCTCTTAAGTTTGGTGCTGCTTGTCTGTAGAATTTTCTGGGCATCTGGACCAGTCAAGAGGAATTCCAGAGTCTCCTCTACACTGAGAGATAGGAAGGCCAAGCGGTGCATCTATAATGTGAAGGTGTTTTCTCTACAATAAGAGAAAGAGACTATGCCGTGATATATACAGATAGGCATATCTCCCAAAGTTAGGAAACTGTAACCACATCTTAGAATAGAAACTGAATCATAATCATCACCATTGTCATCATCAACATCATTGTCATCATCACCATCATCTCCATAACCATCATCAACGTGGTTAATAAGTGTTGGGCTATTACTATGCCCTTGGCACTACGCTAAGCAATATGTATCTTCTCATGTAATCCTCTGACAGGCAACCACATTATAAATTAGGAAACTGAGGCCCAGAGATGTCCAGCAGCTCACACAAGGGGACACAGAAGTGACAAGATGGGGACCCACACCTAGACAGTCTTTCTCTGGGACCTGGACTCCTAACCACTCATCATTGTAGGGAATGCAGAAGCAAAGCAGATGGGACTCCAGGACTCTGACTTTAATGGAAAGTGACTGCATCCTAAGCCCCTGCCAGCAAAGCAGGTGAGACTGGGTCTCTCGGAGTTGCCTGGGTTCTCATCTCTCTTATTCACTGCAGTGGCCCCAGGCAGTGCCATGCACACTCCAGATAAGCAGAAGGTAGATGTTGAATGGACATATGAATGACCTAGTTCTCAAGTTCATTTCCCACTGGGAACTTCCTCAAATTGCTTTCAAATATTTAAACCAGGCTTCCTGACCTGTACTTGGGAGGTTGCACTGTGATTTCTGTGCTCCCATTCATAGCCCTGAGACTCTAATGTTGGCTTACTTGTTTACTTGAGAGTGAGCAGCGTGAGGGTGGGTGTTGAATCTCCCCCACCCAGTCACATGAACTCATAAAAGACAAGGACAACCATTAATAGAGCCATCGCTGGCTTGCAGGGCACAAAATCGGCTTGAGGAGCAGGCTTGGTGGTATAAAAGAACAGTACTCAAGCATTCTAATCAGGAGCCAATATTTCAATGAGGAGAGTGCGAACAAAGACATACAATGGAAAACTTGAGAATAGACACTAAGCTGAATATTAACCCAAGTGAAATGTTAAGTAGAGGATATGTTAGTGATCTAAGATAGATTTAAAACAATAAATATTTACTATCACAATTTCTGTAGGTCAAGAATCTGCACGTGCATTAGCTGAATGTTTATGGCTAACTGGATGTTTATGGCTATAACTGAAAGGTGGAAAGGGGCTGGAGGCAGTGGTGCACTTGGGGATAATGGTGCATGTGATTACATTTCCCAGACTCCTGAGCAGCTGGCGATGGCTGTGGAAATGAGAGTTGAGCTTGTTGAGTGGTACTTCCCAGGATGAACAGGATAGTCAGTGGGCTGGTGCCCTCTTTCTCTTCTCCCCCTGTTCTTTTCTTGTTCTGCTGCTTGGAATGCAGACATGATGGCAAGAGTTCCAGCAGCTTAGGGCCATAAGCGAAAGGCTACAAGAACCACAGTGCCCTCAGCCTTTGAGCCAAGGCCAGCAACTGACTGCCTCCAGATTTCTCATTAGAAAAAACAACAACAACAACAACTCTTCTGTGTTTAAGCCACTTAGGTCGAGCCTGTTAACAGCAGCAGCTGAACCCACTTCCTAACTGGCTGGCCCTCTGTGGTAAGCAGCCTCTCAGACGGCTCCCAATATCCCTACCTCTTGGTACTCACACTCTTGTGGAATCCTTTCACTTGAATCTGGGCTGGATTTACTGACTTGATTCTAACAAAGAATATGGCAGAAGTGATGGAATATCACTTCCAAAATTAAGTTATAGAAAAGACTATAGCATCTGTCTTAAGAGTTCTCACATTCTTTTACATTCTTCACCCTGGGGAAAGCTAGCTTCTGTGTCATGAGATAACCCTTTGAAGAGTTCCAGTGTAGTGAGGACCAAGGCCTGCCAATAACCACATAGATACAGACACCACCCCCAACCAGATGAGCCTTCAGATGAGACTGCAGCCCTGACTAACACCTTTATTGAAACCTCAAGAGGTCTTGAGCCATAAACATCAAGCTAAGCCATGTCCAGATTCTGGACCTACAGAAATTGTGATAATAAATGTTTATTGTTTTAAGCCTATTTTAGATAACTAATATATCTTCCAATAATTTACTTGGGTTAATATTCAACTTGGTGTCTATTCTCTAAGCCTTTCATTGCATGACTTAGCTTACACTGTAGTTATTGATATATTGGCTCCTGAACAGAAAGTTTGGCATAGAGCCTGACACATAGCAGATGCTCAATAGATGAGTGAATAAATGAATGGGTGGATGAGTTAATGCATGACAGAGCCTATGTCCTACTCAGCTGGTCTTCAGCAACTGTATCCTCAATAAGTGTCAAACAAAGCACATAGAAAAGATGAAGGAGCCGGGCGCAGTGGCTCACACCTGTAATCCCAGCATTTTAGGAAGCCAAGGTGGGCGGATCACGAGGTCAGGAGATTGAGACCATCCTGGCTAACACAGTGAAACCCCGTCTCTATTAAAAATACAAAAAAAATTAGCCAGGCATGGTGGCGGGCGCCTGTAGTCCCAGCTACTCGGGAGGCTGAGGCAGGAGAATGGCGTGAACCCAGGAGGCAGAGCTTGCAGCAAGCCGAGATCACGCCACTGCACTCCAGCCTGGGTGACAGGGCAAGATTGTCTAAAAAAAAAAAAGGAAAAGATGAAGGAAAAATAACAACTATGATTAGTTCATCAGTAATTTTACTTGGGTTGGCACTTCTAGACCCAGTTTTATGATTTGCTGAAGGAAAATTCCTCATTGGAGGCCTACTATGTTAGAAAAGTTTTTAATAGCACTCAACATTTATCTTTGGATGTAAAAGTAAACAAAAGTTCTATTTATTATTGTGCTCAACTAAACAACACATTAGTGGGATGTGTTAAGGCCAGAAACTACCAGTCAAATAAACAGACTGACATTAAAAGAGAAAACTCACCAAATTCCCTGATAATTTATGAACTAGGGCTGATTTCAGAATCAGCAGAAAGGGTGGTGGGAACCCTGACTGCAGCTGTGTGAGAGGCAATGAGGGATCATTCTTTAACTGTCACAGGCAGACAGGACTCTTATTCTTCACTGTCACAGGCAGACAGGACTCTTATTTTAGTCTGTCCAGTTTTTCATTTCATTATTCAAGACATTTAAATGGTCACCTGAGGCAAACTATAAAACCCATATTGTGCTTTAATCTAAAGCAGGTCAATTTAAGAGCTTTATGCCGACATGTGATTGTTTGCCAAATTCTAGTTTTATGATGGAAGTGATAGGAGAAAAGGATTTTGCAAAACAAAGAGAGATAAAAAGTATGTTGGCTGGAGGGGCTGGCCATAGGGAGAAGAAAGAGCAGGCAAGAAGGAGGGTGCATGGCAGAGCAGGGAGATGGGTGAGAGCTCCGTGCTATAGCCTGATGGGATGGTCTGCCCAAGAGAGCAGGAAGGACACACTAAATATGCATGGTCAGGATCTGCTGCATTGCCATACAGTGGGGACATGATTCTCTCCAAAGTGACTCACATGACAAAGACAATATTTATTAATCTAGTCTCTAAATCCAGTTTTAAATTCAGAGAAAAAAATCTGTCTGGCTTTTTATGTGAATTGCTTCAATGTATTAAGTAGATGAATGGTTGTGGCTGAGGTCTTGCAGAGAGCTCAGAGGAAATTCTACCCCTCAAGAAGCCCAGGAGCTCCATCTGATGTTTATTCTGGCAGCCGTTTGATTCCCTCCACCCACTCAGTGCCTGCCCTCACCTCCTCCAAGCCTGCGTCCCCCCAGCTCTCTCAAGACAGGTCTTTGTAGGGCTGTAGAACATGGTTCCCATTCTACAAAGCAATGTCACTTGTATTTCTTAGAAATAATTGTATCCTAAGTAGCAACATCTTGAAAACATAAATGGATTCTACTACTGGTCAGAAAGGAGAAAGGTAGATCACAAAATTACCCAAGGAAGTAGTTAACATTGAGAAATAATCTCTTAAATTGTCCTTATTGTGGAAGGCCAAATGATTGGGAAAACCAGGCTCACACTGGTAAGGCAAGTGCCAACACCAGCCACAGGGGCTACTGAGTTCCAGGCAATGAACGGAGTCTTCTTGTGGTACATTTTCCACTCTGTTGTTTGGATCTATCAGTGGAGAGGACCCACCAGCCAAAAGGACTGTCCCTTTCCTTAGGTCTCTTGGTCCATTTACACAACAATTTCATTCCTGAACCAACAAAAGGAAAAGTTCCCACGCTCCCCACACACCAAGATCCTCCCATTGCAGAAGCCCAGTGCCTCCTTCAAAAGACACTCATCAGTTCTCACGGCTCCCCCAGGCCAAGGTGCTGTGCCTGGGAAACGGCCAGTCCCCACAATCAGAGAGAGGCCATGGAAAGCCCGTGTGAGAACCAGCTAGAAAAAAAAAATGTAGCTAGAAAAAGGAGGCAGAGAACAATCAAGTCACATCCTCAGTCTTCAAAGAAGAATATCAGACACGGAGCAGGCTCCATGGTTGGCCAAAAACGGAAACTTCATTTCATTTGTCAGAAGTTATGTAGAGTCAGAGAATGAGATCTGGCTGGTCCTGGTACCTGATAGGGGAGCATCTTCAGGCTCTAGAAACTTCAGTGTCTGAACATTTTCCAGCTAGATCCATCCCCAGACCTGGAATACTTGAGATCAAATGTACTCAACAAAGGGGCCTCTAAAGGTGACATTTCTGGGTGTGTAAGTTGAAATCCAGAGCTATGCAAAAAAACACATGAAAATATGTCTCCTCAAAAGTACTTGGAAATGTAGTAGTCACTGACTTAAGACAAAGTTTCAATCCCATGAAGGGTTTGAAATAATCAAATCCCAATCCTGTTTGAAAACAAGAGGATAGTGATGGCTGGTGGCTGAAAGAGCCACAGATTACAGGTAGCCCAGCCCATCACTGGTGTCTGCAGGGAAGCTGCCCTCTAGGCAGGGACTGGGTCACCTTCCTCGAAGGGTAAAGGAACCTCATTTCCACATACAGGCCCCTTTCTGTCCTTCAAGATATCCATTTATTCTCATTTCTTCCTCCTCACGCTTCTGTGGCTTAGCACATGATGTAGTCCAGAAGCAGAAATCCTTTTGTGACAACATACTTCCCCCTCCACCAGCAGTTTCTCTAGGGCTGGTTGAGTTGTGTTCACAGTATGGGTACCTTGGAGGGGGACTGCAAATCCAGAAATGACAGGCCAACTACCGTCACTGTCCACAGGTCTGTGTCCCCCTCTACTCTGTTGCTGCTGGTTTCCCTGCACTCATGGGACCAGGGCTGGCACGGGCTGACCATCTCTGCCTTCCCAGGATTCACTTTGCAAGGCTCTCTTTGACTCTGTGAGTAAATCCTACATCTTCCCATATAGTCTCTCTCTCCCTTGTGTGATCTCAAGTTTTCTGAATTTTCTTTTAGCTTGCTACCAAAAATGCCTAACAAATACAACATCTGATGCCACCCCCTTTTTGGAGCCTGAACTACTCAACACACCAAATAATAGCATTTTATGTGATTTTTACAACCTCACTGAGCTGCAATGAATGAAGAAGTGAAATTTTGTCCATGATCACCGTTAACCCCAGGAACCAACATTGTGATGATGGTTTAAGAACTCAAAGTCTCTCTCACTTGGGGAATATAAATTAGTGTTTCTATAGCTAAAAGCCACCTTGAGAATATGAGGATAAGAGCTAATCCATTAGTCTTATGTCAGCAGCTGTACTAGAAGGAGAAAGTACATCAAATGTGACACAGCTTATAGTGAGGGCATCGATTCTGTATGGTCCTGAGCTAATCACTCCCCTTATCTGGCCCTCTCTCACAGGCAAATGCATCCAGCAGGACCACAGTTAGTTATTGCTCACCTAAAACATGTGGGCTACCATAGGGGCGGGGAGGAGGGGAGGTGGATCGCAGAGGACCCGCTGCAATTTCAAAGGCATGTGGGATCTGACAGGCAATGCTGCCATGTGCAATAGATCATGGACAGAGGGGCAGTCCTTTCTGCCCAGACCTCTGTCCTTAGCAAGACTACAGTGCACAGGCCCAGAGGCAGATCCTGCAGGAGAGGCAGAATTCTGTCCATGACATCTTAACATCTCTCAACGTTTGGGGCTTATTTGACAAGAAGAATCTGGGAAGGACACAATTATCCTTCCACTAAATTATCTGTGATTCCACTAAAATTATCTGTGATGATAAAAGAGGCCCTAGCCATTTGTATGTGGAGGAGAGGGTCTGATGGGAAGCCCATGGAGGGTCATTAAAGCCTAGATGAGATGGGGTGAAGAGGAGAATCAGAAATGGAAACCCAGGGCGTGCAGATTTGAAGGGTCCCAGAGCTGGGTGATGTGTACCTTTGATCTAAGGACCGTGGTCTGACGGACCAATCACTTGGTAAGTAGGGGCATTCATGTTACAATCAAATAAACACGGCTGTGCTAACTCAAATCCTGAGCCTTAGCCCCAAATCCCTCTAGTGGGTCCTTGCAATGGAAAGCTCAACTTGTTTGCTGTTTAGGTGGGCCAGTATTTCAACACAGGAGGTTAGAATTAATCTGAGAAATGAGGGAGTCTGTCAAACCCATACAGAGCCACATTAACCCTGGTGAGCCATTGGTGTGTATTTCACTTTTAAAAGGTTTGTAATATTTTGCAAATGTTGGCAAATCCATTGGATTAGCCTGGTGACTCCAATTTAAAGTGTATAATTGGGTATTCAACTTTAGAATCTGGATATTGGTCAAAAGGTATAAAATGACTTGTGTAAGCTTTTACATAGGATGAACATGCATTCTATGTTTCATTTATCAGATTTCAAAGAATGCTTTAAGTTCTTGGAGAGATCTTGTTTGTTACAAGCTTTGGGAGAACTTAAGACCGTCAAATACATTAGATGCATACACGCAGTTTAAAATATTTATGGGGTGTAATTAATAAGTTGTAAAATTAAATTAGTAGGTAGAATAATGAAATTTATAATTTGAACTCTAAAACTTAAAGAAGCTAGGTTTTTGAATGTTTAAAAAATTCTAACATTTATTTTTCAACCCTAATACATTTGACCTGTTTTCTGTGCACTTACTGCTCTCTGGGATTCTACCCTGACTCCCACTGACAACACCCAATAGAGGATTGATTTTGTAAATAAGATGAGAGAAAAGGCTTGGACAAAATTAAAGAGTAGGGAGTCAACAATGCATTCTAGGCAAGAGTAGTCCAAAAGTAAAGTAGATGAGTCCAGAAAGCAGAATGGGAACCGGAGAGCAGGATTCTGTAGGGAATGTGAAGCTTCCATTGGCTAATGTTTAGCTTGATTGGATTGAACCGGAATGATTTCAGCTGGGGAGGAGAGGGAGCTAAAGGAGGAACAACAAGGTGGGATTAGACCGCAAGACCCTGACCGTGGGGCTAGAAATTTATTTCTGATTCATGACATTTAGAGCTAGTGTCCTATAACAAGTGTCTCCCCTGGTGAGAAGCAGGCCATCTCTGAAGGCTGCCAAGGAAAGGAGAGTGGTAAGAAAATGCATCCGCCCTTAATATGGAAAATGGACTGGCCGGAGGCCAGGATGCCGGAGGCAAGAGTAAGGGGCTGGCAAGGGAGCAGAAAGGAGGTCATCAGAGACAGGAAAAGCAAAGCAAAGATGACTCCGAGTTTGCCACCCAGGCACCCGAGTAATCAGATGGATGAAACAGGCACGGGGAGGCAGGAGGAGACACCCTGTGGGGAAAGAGGAGATCAGTGTCTGGCGCGTGTACTTTCAGGGCCTACGAGACCCTGGAGGGAAGCTGGCCCATAGGTAAGAGCACAAGAAGGGGTGTACAGAGCAGGTAAGCTGGGGTTACAGATCCAGGTCTGGGATTTGGAACAGAAAAATGTGTGCAAAGTGATCAGAGCAGGGAGGAGCAGGCTGGGGAAGAATCTTTCCAAAGGAGGTGAAGAAGGAAGGCACGGACTCCAGGAAAATCACCTCCCACCCACCACTTACTAAACACACAGGAGAGGTCCCCATTCTCTGTATCTCCAGCCCACACAGCAACTCTGCAAAGTGGATGATTTTGCCCCATTTTACAGATGAGGCAACTGAGCCCTAAGAAGCTACAATTTTCACCCAAGTTCAAATGCTATCAGGTGGCAGAGAAGGGTGAACACCCAGGTCTGTGGGACTCTCCACTGGTTCCTCCTTCTAGGGCCCCGTGTCTCCAGGCCAAAGGCCAAGTACTTTCCAGCCTTTAAATGCGACATTTGCACTCACAACAGATGAGATGGGAGATGGGTTTTGGTTACTGGATTCCTTTTAATTTCATAAGAACTTGGTACATCTGTGTTTCAGGAAAAAAAACAAACTATTTTCAGGTTCCAGTAAAGCTATGAAATCCAGGGAAGTGTAAACAGTGCAAAGCTGGCTTAAGCCCTGGGTCAGTTCTACAAAGGCTCCTCTGGAACCCAGAGATGCCAGAGAAACCAGAACCAGACCCAGTTTAACACAGACGATGAGTACACAGGCTGCAGCCGCATGACAGACATGGCCCCACGGCCCCACAGCCCCCAGACTCCTCTCTTTAGATAATAGGCCACAAAGCTGCCTCTGTGCAGTTAACTTCTTGCTTACTGGCTTGCTTTTTAAAAAAAACTAAAATCAATACCATAGTGATTAAAAAAAAAAGTAGTCTTCACAAAGCACGGGGAGTCCCTGAGATCTTTCTTTCTCCTCTCACATCTGCCAGAATGCAAATAAATTTCCCTAGGGTCTCAGATTCACTCTCCAAAAACTAAAGGTACCACCAGTCACTCAAACTTCCATGTAAGAGTTCAGACATCTTAGAGGAAATATGCTTTTAGAACCCATGCATAAGGTGGAAATGACATCTGTCAACCAAAATCTAGTGCCTCCTCTTCATGCTGTGGCGTTGTGGCCAAAAACTACACGGCCCAGCCCCCCTGCAGCCCGACATGGCCCTAGGTCCAGTTCTCACCAGTGGGAGGAGAGGGGAAGCGTCACGGGTCTCACTCAGGCCACTCTCCCTGTCTGCTGGCTGAATGCCAAGGCCGCCGGGACCTCCGAGGTCTCAGGGAATGGTGGAGGGCGTGAGATGGAAGGAACCAGGGTCTCCGAATCACAAGGGAAAGGAGAGAGCCTGCCAACCAGGACTGTTCCACGAGCACGTAAGGCACTGGTGTGCTAGGGTTCATCTGTATAGCTTCTGGCATTACCCTATCTAATGTATCTGTGTGTACAGAAATGTATTTATTCCTGTATGTGGTGTGTGCATTGTTTTAAGAAACCCTGAGATCCAAATGTAGGTTTTTATTAAATTAAATACATTTGCAGCACAGGAGGGTTCCTCATTGTACAAATTATTCACTGCAGGATTCCTTTACAAAAATAGCTCCTCATCCCGTGCAATAAAAAATATTATTCTGCTTACAAAAAGTTGCTTTCCATATAGCTTGAGAACACACTGCCCGCATCATGAATGTGGACATGGATCCACACAGGAGACGGGGGGCTCTGGTTCACCCTGGAGTCCTGGAAGACCCCTTCCCCCCTGCCTCCAAACGGATGAGGTTGGGACAGATTTTCTCCTCTGATCTGAAACGTCGCTGGGATCTCTGTCAGGCTTTTTCTTAGTGCGCTCTACAGACCCTGCTTTCCACAGGCAAGCCATAAAAACAGCAAAGCAGGGATGTGCGTTGTAATAGATTCACTTTTTGTTGGTGAACAGTGACGTCGAGGTTTCTAGGTTGTTCCTTCCAGAACAAGAGACTCAGGACCCAGTGAAGAGTGTTTGGGTACAGGCTTCTGTCAGCATGGGGCAGTGATCCGGGATGCAGGCTGTGTGCATAGCTGGAGATGGGGCAGGTTGGGGGGCTTCTGGAGGGGAGAAGGGAGGAAAGAGAAAGGGTCTCAGAATGACACTTGAGTTGATTTCACACTGAGCTGACAAAAAGCAGATGTAAGAAAACACAAGAGAATCAAGCTAGAAATAGGATACATCCAAGAAGGAAAACAGATCCTAAAAACAACCTGACCTTTCAGTGCATTCATCATTTATGTAAAAAGTCAAAGTGTCGTGATATGATTTTAAATCTATTTTATCTAGACTTTTGGAGGGGAATGGTTATTTGGTCAAATAAAAAGTGGTTGCAAGTGTAGGCAGCCACTGGAATTGAAGGCAGTGTTGTAGCTCAGTTCCAAATCTTCTGTGAAAATGTCCTGTTAGGGCCTGAGCACGGCCGGGCAGGACGGCAGCCTGGGTCTCAGTCCCACATGTGGCCAGATCCTGCCAGCTTCCCATGTTCCTCTAGCTACCAAAATCCATTTTGTCTGTAATTCTCCTTCTCTCCAGAGAAGGTGTTGATAAATGAAGTGGTAAGGAATGCAACTAACCAAGGAAACCCAAACTATAGACATGATGCCAAACAAACATTGGAAATCCAAACAAGTGTTTAAATACTAAACCCCTTACCATGTTTAATTAAAATCTCCCAAACTAGGATCTAAAGGACCTTAGAAACATACTCTAAAGAGAGTAGAAGAGAGGATCATCCACGTTTGTGGGCTAGAGCAGCATTTCTCAGCTTCTCAAACACCTGCGGGCATTCAACTCCCCCAGGATCTCAGCAAAATGCAGATTCTAATTCAGTAGGTCTGGGTTGGGGCCTAGGATTCTGCATTCCTAACAAGATTCCTGGGGATGACATTGCTGCTGGCTCCTCTAGTTCCAAGATTACATTGCTCTAGTTAAGTTGCTCCTGTAGCAAGGGTTGAGAGCAATTTAATCTAAGGACTAAAGGAGCTGCACATATTAGAGACACAGCTTCTGATCTGAGGCTTGGGATATGCAGAAAAATGGTGGCATTAATGGAAGTCTGCTCAGATCCATGCGATTTTCAAGATGTAAGCACACACACACACACACACACAAATATGTGCGAGCTTACACACATGAAGGTATCTATTTAAAACCCATGCTACAGATTTTTATCCATACCCTACATCACATGGGTAATAGATTCAATCTGGAAGCTTGAACATTCATCCTGGAAGTTTCTTTTTGAGTCTCAGTCACAAGGGTAACTTTTAAAAGCAAATTTCTAAAATACAGTCTGATATACAGGCATTTACACCTGACTCCTGACTCGTGACTCTTTTTCTTTTTTTTTTTTTTTGAGACAAGGTCTCACTCCCATCACCAAGGCTGAAGTGGAGTGGCACGATCATGGCTTACTGCAACCTCATCCTCTGGGGCTCGGGTGATTCTCTCACCTCAGCCTCCTGGGTAGCTGGGACTACAGGTGCCCACCACTACACCTGGCTAATTTTTTGTATTTTTAGTAGAGAGGGTTTCATCATGTTGCCCAGGCTGATCTTGAACTCCTAAGCTCAAGAGATCCACCGGCCTCAGCCTCCCAAAGTGCTGGAATTACAGGCGTGAGCCATTGCGCCCAGCCACGCCTGACTTTTAATAGTCCTGACCTCAACAGATGGGTACTGGGGTTTTTAATTGATATTAACACACTCAGGTGCTCATAGCCTGAGGCCCCAAAACGAGTGTGATTATCTCGTTCTTCATAAGCCAGACAGATGTTGACTGCCAGCAACATGAAGTATACCAGGCCTTATGGAGGGGAAGGAGATTTGAGAATACTAGGTCAAGGTCAGCTCCCAAAACACCTTCTCTAATCGCTCAATAGTTAACTGATGTCTTGAATTATCTTGGAGCTTAAAGGGAGGGGCTATCCTCTTTCTCCTCTAATCATGTCATGTTTATCTTTAAACTGAACAGACTTCCACCGAAAATATGATCTACAAGTAAGGTAAGTTAACAGGGCAGTTTCTTTGCATATCAGCTTTATTTAGAATTTACATTATGTTTTCATTTTTCTATCAAACAGTTGACCTAGGCTCTGAATTTTAAAAAGCAGAACATGTGGCCCAACAGGAGCCCTTGCCCAGGATCATTAGTCATTTATGTAAATAAATGACTTTCTAGGGAAGGAGCAGATGCAAACTCATGCTGAGCCTTGGGGACGCTGGGCCGTGGCTGAGGGTGCAGCCCCGTGGCCTGTATCTTGGGGATATGTAGTGGGGTGCCCTTTAGGGCCGACACAGCTAGCCCGTGCCTTACCACTGGACAGCAGCCCAACTTCGGGCATGGCACCAGGCCTCACTCAACCTCAGTTTCCCTAGCATGATCATATGTACTTCACAGGGTTGCCATCCAAATGGGACGAGATGTTATTAGTAAAGGGCCAGCATGTTGCAATCCCTATCCATGTGACAGTGGATGGTGGTAAAGCTTCTGCTGCCCAGAAACTTCCTTCCCTCAAAGGGTTTTTGACCTATTTGCAAGTTGATACTCCTCTCTGAGGCCTGTTTTACAAAACAAGGGAAATCTGCTGCCCCTACATATTGTCTAAATTCCTGCTTTCTGATTCTCATAACCTTCTTTTTCACACATGTGGAGGAAATTATTATCTGTACCCAATATTATTATTATTATTATTATTATTTCGAGAGAGTCTCCCTCTGTCCCAGGCTGGGGTGCAGTGGCACAATCTCTGCTCACTGCAACCTCCGCCTCCCAGGCTCAAGTGATTCTCCTGCCTTAGCCTCCCGAGTAGCTGGGATTACAGGCATGCACCACCATGCCTGACTGATTTTTCTATTTTTAGTAGAGACAGGGTTTCTCCATGTTGGCCAGGCTGGCCTCGAACTCTTGACTTCAGGTGATCCACCTGCCTTGGCCTCTCAAAGTGCTGGGATTACAGGCATGAGCCACCGTGCCCAGCCCCCAATATTATTTCAATGTCTTATTTTACCCACTTTTTTAATGGTGCTTTTGGCATCCTAATTAAGAAATCTTTGCCTTGGCCAAAATCATGAAGTTGCCCTCCTATATTTTCTTCTAAAATTTAAATTGTTTTATCTTTCTCATTTAAGTTTGCTCCGTATCTGGAATTAGTTTTTAGCAATGTAATTTTAAGTATTAATTTGCCATTCAAATATAATTTAAATATTAATTTGGTAGTATTTGTCATAATTTTTGTCTTTTTTGTTTTCAAATAAGAAACCAGGAATTTAGAAAGTGCCAATTTTCTGGGTGGAAAAGATTACATGCACTAAAATTATAATATTGTGCCATATTAGAATAGTCAAAATGTCAGAAAGGAATTTTTCTATTTCATGAGACTCAAGAAAAGTCAATTTGCCATAAGTATTAATTACATACATAGAAAGAGAATGCTTGTATGAGATGAATGAATCATAGTGACTACTTATAACATTGAGGCTGCTTTAAAGGATTTATTCACCCATTCAACAACATTGTATTGATATTTATATTATAAATATATATTCATAATAAATATACATTTATTGAAAATATCTATGTCTCATATAGGACAGTCATACTTGTTATATTCATTATATTTATTTGTACATGTTTACATATTCATTAAAATATATTACATCCAAAACATTGATATCGATGTGTCTATGAAGATATGTAATTTGCTTGGGGGAAACTAGGGAGATTCCAAAAATCACTCAGCATTACACAGTGACATTTGAGGACAAATTTGATGATGCCGTTGGTATGCAATGTCAACTTCATTCCTTGCCTCTGTGCTTTGTCATTATTTCAAAGCACTGTCTTCTAGGTCACAGTGTGACTCCATGCGCACCAGAAAAGATGTCTGGTCTTAGTCTAGCATGAAAGACGTGGCATATGTGGTGCAGCTGTCACCAACATCCTGAGTCAGAACCAGAACATCAGAGACTGAGTTAAGACACACGCAGCAAAGCACAATTTCTCCCACTGGGAATTGATGTCAGATACTGGATTTCAGATGACCAAGCTACTAAGCAGGAAAGCAGTTTATTTATCCTTCTTTTGAATATGAAGATGAATGAAATCATGAAGTGACATGGGAGCCTTACGTCAAAAGCAAAACTATTTGCTGTCCTATTTACAGGGCCGCAAATCACTTTTTATTCCAAGCAATAAATGCTATCATCATCCGTGATCCTGGTGTGTTTACGGTGAAGCAAAAATCATGCTGCCTGAAGGAAAGTGTTCGGCGGGGGGAATCAGGGTTTCCATGTTATAAAGAATGGGGCAGGGCTAGGAGGAACCTGAGTACAGTTTCCAGCTGAATTTGAACTGCCAGCAGTTATTGAGACAGATAGAGCTGTCCAGTTACTCTGAAAACATTTAAAGTCTGTCTTTATTATCATCCAAATAAAAGTCTAAATTTCACATCCACGTGGTCTGTGAGCATCTGAGAGCACCCATATTTTCCTCAAACTCACTTTAACCAAAGCTCCTGGGGAAGACGCATGACCCAGAATACTGGCCCACACATTGTCTTGAACATGGTGATTGGAACTGGAAAACCTTCTTCAAAGCCAGGATTACTAGCCAACTGTAGCAAGCGCACAGGAATGTCACCATGGGGTATGCAGACGGTGTCGCCCAGGAAAGAATCGTGCCCACGTAGGGGCTACAAGATGCTATTTGGCTCCACTGTTCATGCCAACATTGAAAACACCTATGAAAAACCCAGGTTTTGCATAACTGTAATGCATTCTAAGCCTCTCTGCCTGATAATCATTTACCTGTATGGCTTGCTTCTTTTAACTCTAAGTTAGGAATCATAAAACTCAGACCTTGGCTCAAGGGAGGAGGCCCACATTCTTGTGCACAGCTATCTTCCACTGACCGCTTCAATCGCCCATCATATGTTGAAAAAGAAGAGTTTGTTTATGCCCTCTTTTATGTAGTGTTTCAGGTTCTCAGCATCCGAAGTTCATTATTTGTTGATTTGTAGCAGGTGTGGTCTAATCCACAGCCAGCCGAGCCAGTAGGGTCAACCCCTAAAAGGACAGAGAAGCTCTGGGAGCAGCCTCCCCTTGTTCTTAACTGGTATCTTGATTAAACTAAACAGAAAATGGAATGAAAGCTGTTAAATCCACCTGCTCTTTACGCTCATGTCAGTGGGAAGACCTCATTCGGCTTGCAAAACGTTCATGTCCTCCAGGACCCTGCTGGCCATCAAAGACAAATATTAGCATTCCTTTCTCTTCTGTGATGGGGCCCTTCAAAGCAAAAAAAAAGTCCTAATTAAAATTCTAGAAATATTACCACTTGAAAAACTGCATTAGCATTAGTGAATTTCTCATGCAAGTTCCTTTCTGGCTAGCTTGGCCAAAAAAAAAAAAAAAAAAAAAAGCTGTTAATTTTCAATGCAATTCCATGAACTGTGGTTCCTTGTTCAAAATGTATAGCAAAGAAAATGGAAACTGCCATAATGACTTATATTGTGGCCAAAACTCTTCCAACTCTGGTAGAAAATCACATTTCATTTCTTTGGCGGGTGAGAGAGGCAACACAATACATTGGAAATGAGAGAATGGAAGAGTCGGATGCCATGTTTCCTTCTAACTAGGATTCCAGTTTTCACCCACATCACTTCAGCAATGCAAAGTGGCATAAAAGCAGGTCACCGCACAGTGCCTGAGCAGTGAATGCAAATACAGTACTTGGTTCCTGACCACAGCATGTGAAAGCACATAAAAGAGAGAGGGTCGCATTTCATGTCGATTTTGCTTCTCCATGACCAGGCTACATGGAGGCTGAGCAGCCGCTGGCTGCCTTGTTCATCTCTTTGGCCCTTGTCTAAATCACAACCTATTTCAGCATGGAAAACGAAGGAAGAAACATCAGCAGACCATTTTCCAAATGTCGATCGTCTGCTTTAATTGTGGTTGTGCTGATTTTGTTGCTCTTGGCAAAATCTTGTTCTCCCTTCAGTGCAGCCGAAAATACTAGGTTGTATCAATTGCCATTGAAAACAACCCATTTACACGTCAGACAAAGGAAATAAAAATCGCTGACACTCTGTTTTGCAACGACAAATTAATTTGCCCCAGAATGGCATGTTTGCCACCAATCTCATTAAAAGTACTATGAGATTATCAGGAAAAATTAATACAAGCTGTTGGTTATCAGCGACATCATTTCAGCTCACAAAGGCAAGTCCTAGTTGTCAGTTTGCTGCTGGGGGCAAGGACAGGCATTTACAAAGAAAGTCATATTCAATTAGAAACCATAGCTGGAGCTGGCATTTGCGGTTCCTCTGCACCGGATCAGCTTGAAGAACAATTGCACTGCTTCTTTTTGGCTTGAACTTGAAAGCAAGGGCATTTATGGCAGCAAGGGGAAACAAGTCCTTTCTCAAATGTGCTTATGAGAGAACAGAGAAGTCTGCTTGGAAATGTGGAAACTGAGGCTCTATGGCACTGAGCATGCTCAGGAGACACAGGATTGGATAACTATTAAAAAGTGTCTTGGAACTATTCATCTACAAAACATGGGGCTGGATGAATCTGCTGATGACACCTCCCTCCTGTCTGTGTGCTTAGGTCCCTTCAGAACCTCTCCCCAGGTGTCAGTCCCATGATCTCTGCGCATGGCTCTCAGGCATTGCAGGCTCCTATTTAATGTCTGGGACACTCATTGACAACGACCACACTGATAGCCTTTGTGTGTCTTCTGGAGCATTCATTTATCAAACCTCTATTGAGCAATAGTTCTGAGCCCAACACCATTAGAGTGTACAGTAATGAGCAAGAACATCAAAGAAAGAGAAATTCTCTTCAAAAGCATTTTATTGCTAAACAAATTTCATTTGGTCTCCAACTTTCACAGATTACTAATCTAGGCTGTGGGTTGTTTCTGAGTTATATTCATCTAGCAACGTTCAGGAATCACCTGTTTTCCAGTGATTCTGCATAAGCAGCTATTGTATGTGCGCCTCTGCTCCTCCTTAGACCAGTACAGACAGTTTGTAAAAGTACAAATTTGGTCCCTGCTATAGGTGCCAGCACGTTAAAGGACCAAGGTCCTTCCAGGGTATTTATTAATAAAATTATATATATATAAAATAAATAAATGCGGTTTCACCATGTTGGTCTCCAACTCCTGACTTCAAGTGATCCACCCACCTCGGCTTCCCAGAGTGCTGGGATTACAGGCGTGAGCCGCCACGCCCAGCCTAAAGATATATATATATTTTTAAAGACATATACGGAAGTCCAGAGCAGTCTGTGTCCCTGCATCAGATTGAGCCTTGGTTAGCATTGGCTTGCCTCTCCTGCTGGACCTTCAGATCCTGGGCCGGGAGGGTGGGGGAACATGATGTGTCAGATCATGTCCCCATAGCACTTTGCACAAAACTTCACTATGGTAAACATCCAAAAAAAGGAAGTGTTGACTGTGAATTTGCTTCTTTATCCTCTCTGGACTCTGAATCCCAAGATCCACGATTAAGGCTTAGGACTCTCCATCCTGCAGCATTCCCTGCTTTACACTGAGAGGCAATGGGAGGGACTGGGCCTGGGCAGAGGGATCCAGGAGCCAGTTGCGTAACTGGCCTGAGATGTGCGTCTGAAAAGACTTTTTGCAGGCAAATGTGGCTCCAGCCTCCTGCTGCCTCCAGGCAGTCCTCCCTTCCCAGTCTGGGAGCCTGGCCTGTTCATGCTACACTGTTTGGTTTTGGCTGTGGCCTCCACCCTGGTGCAACCTGTGCATCTAAGGAGGCTCAACTGGAGGAATCCAGGCCCCTTCCCAGGAAAATGTGTTTGTTGGTGGCAGATAGCCAGGCTGACAGAGGTGTTCCCCCTCAGGTGAGGGGGCCTCATGGCCACAGCACTAATGGGGGGTAGGAAGGGGTTCACGTCCGCTTCCTGAGCTGAGCTGCCTCTGTAGCACCTGTGCCTCCTCTAGGGCGGCATCCTACTTCCAGTTCATTCTTGATCCCACAGAATGCAGGGACAGGGCACTAAGTGTTCAGCTCTGCTGGCCTCAGCCACTCGCTCTGAGCTCCCAGTGGTATGAGTCTGTCAGAGACACTGGTACCAAGAGGTCCAACATGTGACACTTCCAAGCAGTCAGTGTGGAAGTTTCTCACAACAGTCCAAGAAGAAGCAAGAACAACTCTCTTGGGCTGGAAAGGATTAGAGTTGATCCAGGCGCACAATCTTCAGATCCTGCCTTCAATCTTGGCCTCAGGAGACAGAGCCTCCCATCAAAGGACAGAGCCACCAAAACCAACTCCATTTACAGTATTCCAGTGGCTTCTGTGAGCCAGAAATTTCTAGAAGCTCTTGAAGGGCCTTTTGTGGCAGTGCACAAGGCTGAGTTGTCACAGCCCTACTTGCAGAGGTGGTGAACCCTGTGAAGAGCCTCCATCTCAAAGACACACACTTTGGAGAGCAGTAGACCTTGCAGGGGATGGGGGATTCATGCCCCCGTGAAACTGGGATGACGTAGAATTATGGAAGAGTACCTGTCCCTGAGTGTCCTTGAAAGTCAAGCAATTAAAACAGATGCAATCCCTTTGGATGGAGATGCAGCACAGCATCATTGCTGTGGAAGTCCATGGTACAGGGGTGGCTGGCAGTCACAGCAGACTCTGCAAAATGGGACTCCATCCTGGTTGGCTTCTAAGGATCAAGGTAGACCATTCTTACAATAATGACATAGAATAAGAGACATAGATACTTCCTCGGTTGAAAGAAACACACTGGCAGCTAGTACAGTGGAGAACATCTTCTCTTGTTCATCCTAGAGAAAGTGTCCCCGGGGTCAGGGGACAAGGCTGGGCCAGAGCTGCTCTCAGTTGAATATAAGTGAGTGGTGTTTGAATTACTGTAAGCTGGAACTCAAAAGCTCTCTGTGATTCATAAAGCAGCTCTTTTCATATGGGTTCCAAATTTCCTTTTCTGTTCATTCAACATCCTCTGACAAGCTCTCTGAACTTCATTCTGGCTTAAAAATCTAAGAAAGCCATGATAGTGAATACCCATGTCATGACTGTTTACCCTCAGTCCTCAGACTCGCCCTTCCCTGCTGAGGTGCCGCCCTGTGGAGAGGGATTAACCTCGAATGAGACGGTGGGACAGAGACCGATGCACTGTTGTGGTCACGGTTCCATAGGTGTGCTGTGTTTTTTCTCAGCATACCCATTTTAGGCTCGTGCGGTATCAAACTTTTCTGCCAGTAAGTAGAAAAGGCAATTTTTGTAAAAACTGAGAAACAAGTTGCAGGCGAGAGCAGATATTTCAGAAATGACTCAGAATCATGTTTTGCTAGAAGAATGCTAATGAAATACAGAGCGCATATTCATGAAACTGATAACACTCCCTCGGAAAGAAAATGACTCTTATTAGACATCTGAACTTGAGCAAAACATTCATGTCATCGATTATAATATAATGGATGGCTCCTACTCTGGCAGCAAAATTTAGCTTTAATGTAACTACAGAAGCAAAGATTATTCTTGGGGGAATAATGACAGAGTGTATCTTTCTGATCATCTGAAGCAGTTCATTCACCTCTGAAACTGACTGTAAACCTCAGGAAAGAAGCTTCTCAGAAATACATGACCCACTAAGCTAAGAGCCAACTCCCTAGTGAATCACCTTCCACACCCGTGACCTCAAGTCCAGGACCCGTGTAAAGCTAGTTTTTACCATGTCTTCTATGACTGCTGGGGGATGGTACACTATCATCCTAGATCCAATTACAAACAGAAAAAAGCAAAAAACAACTAAACCAGCTACTACTGAGCTTGAGCATGACTAGCACTGAACTACCTAATTTCTGACTGTTACAAATTAATCAAGTCACAGCACATTTGCGATTCATATCAGCTACCTAGGGCGTTTCTGTAGACAGCTAACCCATTTGGGAAGCAGTCAGCTAATACTATCTGGATGTCAGATGCATCTCATGTTTTGGCAGCTCTTTATAGTCTTTCAAGGGGATTGTGTTGACAGGCACTTGCCCTTCAACTTGCTGCTCTGTTTGGCAGCGGCTCTGTTTTCAGTCTTGCCTTCACTGCACTTGAGGATTTTCCACAGCCATGCATGGGGATGTTCTCGTGTAAGAGGGTCAGACGGGCAAAAATCCGGGAAGAAGGTAGGTGCATTCACAAAGCCATGCCTGGAAACTCTAGATCAGAGGGTGGACTCAACTCCTCCCAGAATCCAGAGGCTTGAAGTTGAGGTAGCTTAATCTCAGAGCGTACCTCTAGCTTCTCTAGGAGCAGTTTTTGGAAGGATCAGAGTCAGACTGCAACGCGGGCTTCAAACAACAGGAAAAGTCATTTAAAACCAAGAGTAATGAGAAGGGTGTGAATATTGGGAGGGTTTTTTAACTTCGTGAATTGGGTGTGATTTTTATTAAAATCATTTCCTAAAATCATGATGATTACGATTATGTCTATTAAAAATAAGAGTTCATATATATTTAGAGATATATACTAAAATATTTACAGATAAAATGATACAATGTTTAGGATACGCTTTAAAAAAATTAGAATGGGGCGAGATTGGGTTGTAGCTGAAACATAATTGGCCATAAGTTGATCATTGTTGAAGGCAAGTGACAGATGGGAGCTCATTATAATTTTCTCTATTTTGGTGTATGTTTAAGATGTTCTATGATAAAAAGTTAGAAATGAAATATGAGATATATGAATGCCTTTCTCAGAGACAATTATCTAATTTGAAACTCAGTTTCCTTTAACTCAAGATTTGTTTGCATATATCTAAATCACATGGTTTTTATCTTGCAAAAAAGAAACCACAGCTTTAAACCCGGGCTTCTCTTCTCGGTTCTGCTTTCTTCCAGGGATTCCAAGCGACAGGGCACATGGTACAATGCCTCCCATTCAGTAGATGCACCCCAGAAACATTGTTATGTTGCCCTCACCATGAAAACCACTCTTCACTGAGCACTGGCCGTTTAATGGGCCTGACGTCATATTGCCACGTGAAGCAGCCAGCCCTCTACTTTTGAAAACACCCTTTAAGGAAATGATTGCAAAGCTTGACTATAAAATATTTTCAGATATTTGAATGAGAAAACAAAAAGCCATGGTTCCCCACTGAGAGACACAGAAAGAACTCCTACAGCTCTGCCCCCTCCCCACACAGACCAGCCCTCCTTCCTTGAGGACAGGACTGACTAGGTCTGAACACAGCAGGTGCCCCACGCATGAGCTGAACTCCACTGAACTACAGCCAGTCACACAGACTGGAGGGTCTTTCTGTGGGATTCTCCCATTCCCACTGAATCCTTCCCATAGGCAAAAGGTAGTTCCCTAAAACAAATGAGAACAGCTGGAAGGGATCTGTTTACTGAATCAAGAAAACACTTAAATCTATTAACTGAATGAAGACAACTGAAAAACAAAACATTCCTGAAGGATTAAACTCTGCAGAAAGAAGCTGGCATTTGCCCAGGACAAGGACAGGCATCCTTTACAATGCTTATCTCAGTTAGAACAGCCTTGTAGGTAGACAGGGCAGAAGGATCTCTGCTGGGTCAGCCTAACAGGAGCAGGAAGGGTCACCTGGTGCAAAAACAGGGGAGGAAAGTTTCTGACCAGCTGATGTGAAAGCAAAGTTGGCCAGAGGTCACGTGAGGGAAGTCTGCTAGGATGCCTGTCTCAGTCTGTGTAGTTTTGCTATGAAGAAATATCTGAGGCTGGGTATTTACTTTTAAAAGAGGTGTATCTGGCTCATGGGTCTGCAGACTGTACAAGCAGGGTGTCAGCATCTGCTTCCAAAGAGGGCTTCAGGCTGCATCTGCTTACGGTGGAAGGTGAAGGGGAGCCCTGTGCAGAGATCACATCATGAGAGGAGAAGCAAGAAAGAGGACACGAAGGTGCCAAGCTCTTTTTTTTTTTTTTTTTTTTTGAGATGGAGTCTCGCTCTGACGTCCAGATTGGAGTGCAATGGTGTGATCTCGGCTCACTGCAACCTCCACATTCCAGGTTCAAGCGATTCTCCTGCCTCAGTCTCCTGAGTAGCTGTGATTACAGGTGCACGCCACCACACCCGGCTAATTTTTTTTATTTTTTTGTATTTTTAGTAGAGATGTGGTTTCGCCATGTTGGCCAGGCTGGTCTTGAACTCCTGACCTCAAGTGATCCACTCTTTTTAACAACCAGCTCTCACAAACTAACAGAGTGAGAACTCATTCTCCCTCACCCTACCCAGGGAGGACATTCATCTATCATGAAGGATTCACCCTCATGACCCAAACACCTCCCATTAGGCCCCACTTCTTAACACTGGGGATCAAATTTCAACATGAGATTTGGTGGAGACAAACATCCCAGCTCTAGCCATGCCCACCTGCTGAATGCTTATTCACTGTGAACAACTGCTGTCTTCTGAAAAAGTTGTGAAATGCATTTTGTGAAAAGAATTCTATTTTGAATGCCCGAATGGAATTTAATTTAGAGGAAATCTGTTGTGAGTTACCTTCAAGAACTGCCAGGTTAGCTGTGTGACCTCAGGCAAGTTATCTAACTTCTCCATGCATCAACTTCCCCATAGAAAAAGCAGGGAGAATAGAATAGCAGTGCCTACTTCATCAGGCTGTTGTGGGAATTAAATGACTTGACACATCTGAAGGGCTGATGATGTGATGCTTGAGAGACGCGGGATACAACCCTTGCAGCCCTTGGCAGGCTGACGGTGCAGGCACTTTCCCTCAAGTATCTGGGCCCTTCCGTGCCCCAGTGCCACCTGCCTCCCCAGAGCAATTACCAATCACATCAACAAGGGCTACCCAGGGTGGTCACTCCCCTGCTCAGCAGTTCTCTGCGTCTGTAGCTACCGTGCCTTCTCAGCACCCCGCACGATGTGTACCTCCTAGAAGTCACTCAATGAGCATTTGAAGTGAACAAACACCTGGCCGGATGCTAACCTGGAGGGTCAGATTTTACACACATGACTAATAAAGACCGTCCTGCCAAGTCTTTTTTAGTGAACTTACACAGCGCCACACACAGATAGGGTCCTCAATGAATAAATATTCCTGGGCGGATAAAATGGGACTTCATTCTATGTAACAAAAGTTATGCCTTTAAGATCTTTCCGTTCAATTTCCAGACAGTTTTGTGAGCTGGGGGGTCTCCCTCCAGACTCTGGGGTGCCCCAGCAAGCCCAGGTTCTGCGCTTGCCTGACCCAGGCCACGCTGGCCCCGGGGTGTCCTGTGCCAAGCTGGGATAGAGCCTCTCTCCCCCAGCAAGTGGACGGCCCACGCTAGGGCTCGGGTGCTGAGGTCTGAAGCCTGGTGGAGTCTTGGCTGTTCTTCAGCTGGGTTTTGTGACTTACCCATTGGGGGGTGTCTGGTGAGAAGCTGTGGTGAGCGGAAAGACGACATGAAAGTAGGTATCATTGAGAAGCAGCAGCAGAGTGCGTGAATTCTAAAACCATTGGTGGTGAGGTGGTTAAAAAACATTTTCCCTCCTGTAGCTATCATGACCACCAGACTTTTGTGGGGTAGGATAGAGAAAACCGTAAGCACAGTTCAGGGCCTTTCGTGGATGTGGCGTGGGTGCAGAGGGAGGCTCCCTGGTGGGACTCGCCCCTGCTGACTGGACTGCACGTCTCCGTCCACTGCATCCCTGCACCCATCACAGAGCGGCGCCCAAGCCCAAAAACAAAGATGTTCTTTTTTTCTATTTTTTTTTTTTTTTTTTTTTTTTGAGATGGAGTCTCGCTCTGTCACCAGACTGGAGTGCAAGGGCATGATCTCGGCTCACTGCAAGCTCCGCCTCCTGGGTTCAAGCAATTCTCCTGCCTCAGCCTCCCAAGTGGCTGGGACTACAGGTGCACACCACCACGCCCGGCTAATTTTTGTATTTTTAGCATAGACGGGATTTCACTGTGTTGGCCAGGATGGTCTTGATCTCTTGACCGTGTGATCTGCCTGCTTCGGCTTCCCAAAGTGCTGGTATTACAGGCATGAGCCACTGCGCCCAGTCAAAGATGTTCTCTTTTAAGATTACTTTTTAAAAAGACTCACACGGTACCTTCCCGCAAGAAGACATGGAGACTATGTGATGTAGCCTGTGGGTCCCTGGACACCGGGACTAGAGGACCCTTCCCAAGAGCAGACCGCAGGCAAGATACCATTCATTGGCCTCGCTGCCTGTGCCCGCGGATTCCGCACGTGGCCACACCTCTTCTCTACAAGGCAAGGTGGCCGTGAGTAGGAAAACATGCAGTCCTGACCTGGGCAGCTGGCATATGGGGGTTTCTGCCCCCAAGGCGCTTCTAGCACAAAACCTAGTGCTAGGTCTCAACCTCAGTAGCAAAGAGGGAGTCCCCAGAAGGTGCCATGAGGGTGGGCCCTGAAAAACAGCTGAGTAGGGTCGCCAGATTTTGGGGGTGGAGTGACAGGAAGACTGGTAAATTTGAACTTCTCTGCTTGGAACATAAGAAATACTCTCCATGACACAGGTGTCTGCACAAAATCAGGCATCTCTTGTCCCTGGAAAGTTATATCCCCAAGATAGAGCTGGCTGGCTCCCAGAACTAGGGTGAGCAAAGCCCCCACAGCAAGGAGCTCTGTTCTGATTTTGGCTTCCTGGGTGGCCCTGGAGATCCTGCAGCCCGGTGGTTATGGAGTGGCCTGGTGCTCCTCCTCATCAGAGATCCAGGCTAGCCTCCAGGGAGATAAATGAGAAGCACAAGCATTTTCCCCATTATGACCTAACTTAAAGGATTTGAAATGCGGTGAAAACAGAAGCCACAACAGAAATCCCAGAAGCATAAAAGACGAAGCGTCCAGTCTCTCCTGACCCACTATGGCCTGCCCAAGTCCTGTGGCTCATCAGCTGCACACTGTCACCCAGGCCACCGGTGTATGCCCGTCTCCCTGAGCCTGAGCTGGCCAGAGGGAAGCCGGGCTCAAAAGACCTGAAGGAAAAACTGGAAACAGACAAAGGACTTCAAGGACCCACTGGAAACAGCCCGCACTTCCTGTAGAACTAGAGAATTTCTCTCCTTCTTTAATCTTAGTGGACTCCAGAGAAAGTGGATAGAAATAGGCATGATATAAAATATCACATCAAATCCACTCACCTCTTGCATTCCTCTGTGAAGGTGGTTGCCAACAAGGGGAAGTTAGAAACCAGGCCTGGAGCCACACTGCTGGCCAGGAATCCCAGCTAAGTCCCTTATTAGCTATGCAACTTGAGCAAGGAGTTCTCCAGCTCGTGACCTCCATTTTCTTATCTGTAAAATGGGAATGAAAATAACATGACCGTGGGCCACACAGGGACGTCATAAGAAGAAATGAGTGAATACATATGTAGCCCTTAGAACAGCAATAGACATGCAATAAGCAATCAAAACGTTAGCTATTCTTAATAGCTCAAAGGACTTGAAGGCACTCTTTTATATATGTATTTATTGATTTTTCCAGAAGATGAAAATAGATCATTTGTCTCTAATCACATGCAGTGCCAAAAGCCACCAGGTTTCTTGGGGTTTGTGTCACTGAATCCACATAACCCAATGTGCTTTCTGACCATCGTCATTCCTGCTCATGGTTCCTGGGGCTCCCGAGCATCCCCTTAGTTACCAGACATAAATTCAATTATCCTCACCAAATGCTAGGAAAAGAGGATTGCATTTCACCAACCAGGAATGTCAGAAAAAGTTCATTCTCTCACTAGGATTTTCTTTCCTTTGGCTATATTAAGACACTGAGTTTTACTTAGAAAGCACTAAAGGTGAAGATATGGTCACAGGATGCTGTCAGTTCTATTGACACGACCCAGCAAAAATAATAATAATAATAATAAAAATGCTTGAAATGCAATACACATATGTGGACACAGAAATGCTAAGATGTGTTTCAGAACATGCAGTCTCTCCATGTTCAGAATTAACACCCTCAGTACATGCTTCTGTGCTTCTTTACCAGTGCCTACATCCATGCCATCCTGTTGTTATCCATGGATGAACAACTCAGAATTTGGAGAAATGGATTTGGGGAAATCTCTGAGACACATTTTGAAACCAGCGAGGAATTAGGCTGCAAGCGGCAGCAGCAGTAACAGTGACAGCAGCAAGAAACAGCCACCTGCATCTCAAGAGTGGCACAGGGCTTCCACCGGCTGAGGCGGACACATGGCGGATGTGTAAGAAGCGTGCAGAAAGTGGTCAGTCATGTGTGCACACACGAATACATGCTCAGTGTCAGGCCAAGGCCCTGTGGGCCTAAGGAAAACAATGTCACGTTTCAACATGATTTGGGAAACCCTACTCTCCACTGAAATCTCATATTGGCAGCAGAAAACTCTGCCGATGCCTCAGAAGCCAAAGATAACTAAATTGTGTTTCTTTTAGTTCTTGCATAGGGGCAAGCCCACTTCACATTTCATGATACACCAACTCCTAGAGAGCTCCTTTGGGGCCCTATTTAATTTACTTAACTTTTGTTGGCAATGGAAAGTGGGCCTGCCACATTTGATGACTAGAGCAGGTCCATCCCAGTCACCTGCCTTCCCAAAAGTGCATTGGAGAGTGGAACAGAAACCACAACCCACTGTCTCGGACAGGCGTCAGCATTGTAAAATACACTCTGGCACCCAGCCCTGGCAGAATAGTGGTCTACAGAGGCAAAACTTCAGGTTTTTACTATACCCAAGGCATAATGAACTTTATCGAGGGTAAATATTGCCCAGCCTTCTTTCATGTAGGAACCAAGAAAACTAGACCCAACAGTTTTGCCTTTCCTTCCTTCTCTGTACATGTTCTTCCTAGTTGTACTGGATTTTGCTAATATCATAAGCACAGCTGTGATACAGCCAGGTCTTTATGCATGGATTTTACTCTTTGAGCAGCTTGAAGACAATTCTGTCTCGCTCTCTCTGGGTTCTCACGAGCACAGACCTGTAACCATAATAAGCTCTCAATAAAGGTTGAATAGAGGCCACAGAGATCTTCAGGCCAGAAGTCAGAGGTCATTCCTTGAGGACATGTTAGTGACAGTGTCCTGTACAGTGGCTAGGCAGAGAAAGACTGCTGAGAACAGACAGACCTGGCTTTCATTAGTTAAGAGATGGACAGAGGAAGGAGCTCCACCCACTCACAAAGACAGTGGCCTCCATATCCCGAGAGGGGAGTCAGGAGCATGACATGTTCTACACAACTACAGTCTTCATCATAATCCCAAAGGCAGCCATAACCATGGGTAATTGGGATAATATTTAGAAAATATTTGCATGCCAAAACTGACATTTTTAGAGGCCATGGAGAAACAGGTTTCCAATGTCAAGTTTTGTTGAAAGAGGACACACATTATTCTAGATTCTGAAAGTTCCCTTCATCTTCAAAGAGCTAGGCCTTGCCAGTGTGACTGTGGAGTTTGCTATAAGCCTGAATAAAGAGAAGACAGAGGACATCAAGTTAGGGAAACCCCACCCAACAGGAAGGAGACACTCTTCTGGCCAAGAGGCAAGTTGGGGAGGGAGGGATGCAGAGAGAAGAGAAGATGAGAGAAGTTAAGGCTGAGCTAGTATCTGAGAATACCTCACATGTGCCCCACAGCCTGCCTCTTCCTCTGCTACACTGTGGCCAGAAAGGGGTCTCAGTGTTCTACGTGCCCCCAGAGGGTGTAGCTGCGAGTCAGACTGCTGAGAGGTCACCTTTGCAGAGCCTAGAGACAGATGACAGACAAAGCTGAGATTTAGAGATCTTTGGGGCCAGGAAGATCTGAGCAGTGGAGGTCCCAAAGCACCAGGAGAGACAGCTAGACCTAGTGGCCCCAGAATTGGATGCTCAAAGACATGATCAGGCCAGGCCCAGCTCAATCAGCACCTGCTATGTCTCAAAGGCAGGATGAGTTCAGAGGCACCACTCCACACTGTGAGAATCCATAATTGTTTCCCTCTTCCAGCTGCCAACCTGGGACATAGACGGTGAAGAGACATCCTTTGAGAAGGAAATCTTAATTTTTATTTAACTGTGTATTTACCCAAAAGAAAGTGAGTTAGACCAAAAGAGTCTAAGTTGCTTTCAATGGGCAAGTTTAAGGTTCTCCCTCCTTCCTCTGCCATCAACAGGAAATGATGAGATCCATATAGAGAATATTTAAAAGGAAATAAATTATCATTTTCTGCCCCTCTGAGTTGCAGGGTGTAAATTCTTCCTCTGCTAGAAGCGTGTGCAATGTGGGAAGCCCAGCACACAGAAAGAGCTTAATTCATGCTGCTGATTTAATAGATTTTTTTTCATGGATGTGCCAGAAAGCCCCATTCATGTAAACACTACAATTGCAAAAGTTTATGCCAGACAGAAGCCTGCATTTGTTGGGGATTAAAAGAAAGGGCACTTGACTTTGTAGCCCAAAGACCCAGGTTTTCCAGGTGCAGTCCTGGCATTGAGTTGTCATGTCATCCCAGGCAAATCATGGACTTGTTCTGGGCCTCTGTTTCTTTCTTCAACATGAAGGAATTTGTTAAAGAAATTTCTAAAATTCTTCTGTTAATGAGTAATGATGATAATATCAGTAGTCACAAGCATTTACTGAGCACTGACTAGCTGCCAACCACGGTGTTGTTTGCTTTGTTTATATAACCCCATTCACTTTTAAAATCATCTTATGAGGGAAAGAAACCATTATCACCCACATAAGGTATGACTGCTTATATAGAAAATACCCAAAATCCATAAACAAATGATTAAGAACAATTAAATTTAGTGAAGATATAAAATTTACATACATCAAACAGCTAGAAAGTTTAATTAAAAGACAATTTTTTTTTTAAATTTTGAGATAGAGTCTCACTCTGTCACCCAGGCTGGAGTGCAGTGGCGCTATCTCAGCTCACTGCAACCTCCTCTGCCTTCTGGGTTCAAGCAATTCTCGTGCCTCAGCCCCCTGATTAGCTAGGATTACAGGTGTAAACCACCACACATGGCTAATTTTTGTATTTTTTTTTTTTTTTTAGTAGGGACGGGGTTTCACCATGTTGGCCAGGCTGGTCTAGAACTCCTGATCTCAAGTGATCCGCCCGCCTCAGCCTCCCAAGGTGCTGGGATTACAGGCATGAGCCACTGTGCCCAGGCTGAAAGACAATATTCTTTACAACAGCATCAGAAAACATCAGGTATCTAGTGGGGCACAGTGGCATGTGCCTATAGTCCCAGCTACTCAGGAGGGTGAGGTAGGAGGATCACTTGGACCTAGGAGTTCGAAGCTGCGGTGAGCTATGATCGTACCACTGCACTCCAGCCTGGATGACAAAATAAGACCCTTCCTCAAAAAATAAAATAAAATAAAATAAAATATCAAGTCTCCTAGAATAAACCTAACAATGGACACATTTTCAAGACCTCTAGAAGGAAAAGTGTAAAACTTTAAGAGATATTAAAAAGGGCTAAGTAATTGGAGAGAGATATTGTGTTCATGGATTATATAATTTAATAGTGTAATTTGATCTATATATTCAGTGCAATTCTTGTCAAATTCCTAATAATATTTTTAAAAATAGAACCTGAAAAAATGATTCTAAACTTATGTGAAAGCATAAAAGACCAAAAATAGGATGTTTCTGAAAAGGTAGTGATCAGGGGTTTCCCTTATTGATGTCTGGACTTTTATGAAGCTGGAGCAATTAAAACCCTGTAGTTTTGGTGCAGAGACAGAAAAACAGACCATGGGGTATGAATAAGATCCCAGAAAAAGATGGATGCAAATAAAGAATGTTGGTTTATTACAGAGGATACAGGAGGTCAGTGAGGAGAGGAGGCTGATAAACAAATGGAGGTGGAAAAAAGTAGTTATTCATATGGGAAAAAATGAACTTGAATATCTCCCTCAAACTACATCCGAAAAATAACCCTAGATAGATTCAGGAATTAAATGTCAAAAAAGAAACTTTATAATTTATAGTAAAATACAGGTAACTATTTTCTACCTTGGAGTAGTGATATGGTTTGGCTCTGTGTCCCCACCCAAATCTCATTTTGAATTGTAATTCCATATGTTGGAGGTGAGGCCTGGTGGGAGGTGCTTGGATCATAGAGGTGGTTTCTAGTGGTTTGGCACCATCCCCCTAGTTCTGTATTTAAAGTGTGTAGTACCATCCCCTTCTCTCTCTCTCCTACTGGCCATATGCAGATATTCCTGCTTCCCCTTCGCCTTCCACCATAATTGTGTTTCCTGAGGCCTTCCCAGCCATGTTTCCTGTACAGCCTGCAGAACTGTGAGTCATTTAACCTCTTTTCTTTATAAATTACCCATTCTCAGGGAGTTCTTTATAGCAATGCAAGAATGGACTAATACACGCAGCTAAAGTTTTTCTTAAGCACTTAAATTGTTGACTATAAAATGATAAATTTAACTATGTCAAAATAAAGAACATTTGTTCACCAAGAGATACCTTTAAAAAGTAAAAAGACAAAGTAAAAACTGGGACAAGAGATTCATAATATCAACCACAAAGGTTTAGTACCAAGAATATATGTAGAACTGCTACAAATCAATTTTGTTAACAAAGCACAAATAACCAGTATAATAATGAGGAAAAAAAGCACCAATGGCATTTCACAGAAGAGGAAACATATATGCCCAATAAACTTATGAAAAGATTCAAAAAGAAAAGTGAAAAAAATTATGAATACCTAGTATATGATAGCACAAAAGGGTGACTATAGTCAAAATAATTTAACTGTACATTTAAAAATACCTAAAAGAGTATAATTGGATTGTTTATAACACAAAAGATAAATGCTTGAGGGGATGGATACCCCATTTCCCATGATGTGATTATTATGCATTGTGTGCCTATATCAAAACATCTCATGTACCCCATAAATATATGTACCTATTATGTACCCACAAAAACTAAAAATAAAAAAATTTGTTAAAGAAAAAAAGTGAAAATTAAAATCACAATGAAATAACATGTTATACTCATTCAATTAGCAAAAAGTAGAAAGCCTAACACAATTAAGTGCTGGAGAGGATGAAGCCTGTGGCATTGTAGATTAGCACAGAGTCTTTAGAGAATGTTTTGGCATTGTCTCCTAAAGTTGAACTTTCACATGTTCTCTGCCATGATTCTCCTTGAAGGTCCATACCCAAGAGAAACTCTTATACTTGTACAAAGGCTGACATGTACCAGTAGGACTATAACAGCCCTGTTCTAACTAGCAAAAGTCTGGACCCTCTCCTTTCCCAAGGACCCCTCAATGGGAGCATGGATGATTACACTATGGTTTATTTGTATACACTACTATGCAGCAGTCAGAACAAAGAAATTACAATGACACACAATACTGTGAATGACTCTTAGCAATATAACATTAAATGGAAAAAAGTAAGTCCCTAAAAGTTTTATAAAGTTAAAAAACAATTAAGATAAAAATATACCTACTTTCTAGAAATACATATGGAAGCATAAAACCAAATAAAATGGGAAGCAGGGGTATCAGGAACACAAGATTCATGATGGTGTAGACCTTAGAAGTGGGGAGAAGAGGTTAATAAGATACTGGGGACTAGCTGATAAGATGTAGGTTATTGTCCTAGACTTAGCTTTTGTTTGGTGGTAGATTCATGGGTGCTCATTACAATATTGGAAATAACTAGTTACATAACTAAATAAATGACAAAGTCATGGATGGATCCGTGGTGGAAAGTACTGTGAACAAGGATCAAGATTCATCTAATTTTTGAGCTCCAAGGAATTGGGGTTGTGGGGATCCTATGTCCTATGGAATAAATGCTGTTATTATCAGCATGTTACAGGCAAGGGAACTGAGGATCAGGTTGGTGGAGCAACTTGCCCTAGGCCACACAGCTGGTGAATAGCAGAGCTGGGCATTGATTACACCCACATAAACAGGTAGTCACGGGGCCACGTGTTTAGATCTGTTGACTAGAACATCCCGTGGTGTCCATAACAGGAGTTTCTCATTTTAAGCCTGAATCGTTTATTCCCACACCAACTCCTGAGGTTGTTCACATGCCATTATAACCTGAAGGTCTTGGAACCTTCCCATGATCTGATATTTCCCCCACCCCCGTGCACACACATGCACACACAGTCAAAGTATTTTCTGGCACCTTTTCAAGTCATTTTCATATTCTTTTTGAGCAGTTTCATTTTCTAAACCTGTTACTTCAGAACTCATTCATACGGAACCTATGAAAGAAATTCTGCTCGGTATTGACTAAGCATATGAGTAAGTTTTTATTTTAATAGCACCATGTGGGAGGTTTCTTTATAAATGAATGGGGAGCAGAGGAGGGAATGCTTGCAAACTTCCCACAGACAAGAGCTAAGCCTATAAAAGCATATGGTAACACAGAATCATTCTTTTCAGTTTCAGGGTAAGCTCTTTTGCAAGGTAATATCATTTGCAAAAAACAAAAAGTCAACAAATAACCTTTTTGCCCTGCAGCGCTTAAAAATGACAACTGTTCAATGAATGGAAATTTGTGGGCCACATACACAGACAGCAAATTTGCCAGGATCCCATTCTGCCTAAAATGTATGTGTAATGGATTGCCCAGCTCAAAATTGAGGAGGCTGGCCTGAGTTTAAGCACCATTATTTTGCATTGCTCCAAGCTGCTAAAATTCCAGATGCAGCTCAGTGGGGAGAAGTGATTTCACTTTCAGAGAGATTGGGCCATGATAGTGCGTATGATGGGCTGTATGTAGCATCACCCTCCAAAGGACGAGTCAGAGTCAGGAAACGTTAATCACGTGCCCGCTGTCCCCAGCTTGCACACTTAATCTCTTCACTGTCACTGAGGTGGTCCCATCTCTGGAAGGCAGCACCCAGGAGAGCTGTAGCTAAGCACATGGTGCATGACAACATGGAACCACAAGGAAAGGCTGGGGTGTAATGCTGGAGTTTGGTTAAGACCCTACCCCTCATCTAAATGAGGGCTCATTGTGCATTTTGTATCCTCAGAATGTGTCCCCTAGTTTTTAGTTCTCTTCCTCATAAGCTAGCCCCCTGAGCCTCTCACGGCAACGGGGAGGGTCTGGATTCTGCCGGGCCCTCCTTCGGTTATGCCCAGCAAGCACCTGTAGTCAGTGTCTCCTGGTGGAGGGCCCACTCACCCAGCCATGCCACTTTGCAAAATCTTCAGTATCCATCTCTCTCTCTTGGACTCCCCCAGACACAGGGACACTAAGGTCCCACATTCTCAGCTGATGGCCATTTCCCAGGCAGTGGTCTAATGAGCAGTGCTGTCCTAAGCCTCCTCAGGCAATTCCAGTTCCAAAGAATCTGCGTAGCCTCTTCCTGGGGACCTCTCCTCAGAATGGAGTGTCTCATCCCCACCCCTCTCTCCTCCTTTCTCCTTCAACCCCTGGCTGCCCCTTTCCTGTGGGCTTCTGCAGGTAGCCAGGCCAGGGACTGCACATGCTGAAGGCCACACTGGGGATAGAGGGCTGCCACCCTGTCCCACAGTCTCGTGGGAGCACCAAGTTGGGGTGGACACACAGCCCAGAGCAGCCTCCCACGGGGGGATTTTCCACAGAAGCATTTACCCCCATTTGAATATCTCTATGGTAATGGACTGGATGTTCATGTTCCCCACCCCCTGTCCCTGCCAAATTTGCATGTTGAAGCTCTAACCCCCTATGTAATTACCTTTGGAGATCATTAGGTTTAAATGAGGTCATGGGGGTGGGGTTCTCATGATGGATTAGTGCCCTTATAAGAAAAGGAAGGGATCAGAGCTCTCCCTGTCTCCACCAAGTGTGGACACAGAGAGAAGGCGGCCATCTGCAAACCAGAAAGGGAGCCCTCACCAGACACCAGATCTGCTGCACCTTGATCTTGGACTTCCAGCCTCCAGAACTGTAAGAAATAAATGCCTATTGTTAAAGCCCCCCAGTCTATGGTATTTTATGAGAGCAAACACAATGGACTAAGACACCTAGCACGCCCCCACCTCCCCATGGGAATGAGTCATATCACTCCTGAAGGACCGCTGTGAGTTCAGGCATATAGGGCAGAAAGACAGAGGCGCACGCTGCCATTTGCCCATAGGTTGTTACTGCAAAGCAGCCCGGGGACAGCTGGAGGTGGTATGGAGGCTGGGCCACCTTGTATTGGATTGTCCACAGACCTTCTTGCTTTCTAAATAGATCTGATTTCCACAGCAGAACTCAGCCCCTCTTCCTTTATTTTTTTTCTTTTTAATAGATTTTTAAAAATTAATACAAGTACATAATTATTATAGGTATTCAAAAGCTACAGAGCTATATAGGAGAAAGTCAGACCCCAGAAGTGCCCACATTCCACAGGTGAATAGGCAGCACCTCCCAGTCATTCTGTGTCCCCTAAGAGGCTACAGGTATGGAAATGGGGGCCCAGAATGGACCCATCGGCATCTCTCTGGAGGAAGCTGATATTGCACACTCCCTTCTCTGAGGCTACTGGCCCACGTGGTGCTAATCCAGCTGCAACTGTCAGAAAATGATGCTCCCTGGGAGTTTTCACTTAAGGATTTAGGTGGGGCTCCAGAGGCCCTCATAATGTAAGAGTGCTTTCCCCTCCAAATGCTGCAAAGTCAGAGGAACAGGGGCTGTTTGAGGATCTTTAATGCTATTTTTATTTTCTCAGCATCATCTCCAATATTTCTTGGGATGCTTGTCGTAAAATTAGCAGGCTGGTATTTATTTCCTGGTGTTTTTAAATCTTCAAGATATTTTATCTCACCTAACTTTCTTTCTAAATTTACTGATTGTGGGTGTATTTTTTTTAACAATACCACTGGAATCACCTCTTAATGACAATTAGCCTATCCTGCAGTAGAATACACTATTTGTTTTAAAGATCATAACACAGCAAAAGTTGAAATGACTTTGCAATAATTATCAAAAGCACAGGAGTCTAGAAGCAGTGATTCACACCCATGAGACAATGGATGGTGACATTCCTGTCTACCTGCTTACCCCCTGAAGTGGGAGACAGTTCACGCTCTGCACCTCACCCCCAAGAACAGCTTGAAATTATGTATTTTTTGTTGTTTTTCAACTAAGAAAATGTTGCATTATTTCAAGTTTCAAATCAGATTATACAAAATCATGTATAATATTCTCTCACTGGTTAGGTAGGAGCTGCACTCCTTTCTCTAGTGTTGCCAAGATTTCCATCACTGGAATGTGAAGCCCTTCACCTCTCAGAATGCCAGAGAGAAGGAGTCCCTCCTGTGGTCCTGCAGTGTCACCCCAAAAGCTGCCCAGGTTGCCAGATGTGTCTGAGAGAAGTGAGGCCACCTGACTCATTTAGCCCAGTGCAGGGGAACTTCTCTGAATGTGGCCCGGGTGCTTGAAAGAGCTCTACCCCACAAGTGGAAACCCCTCTTCTCCACTAGGTATTCTGCTCTCAGATCCACCCCTGCTGAGAATACACTTCTGGTGGAGAGGCACTGCTCCTAAGTGCTGTCAGCAATGAGGACTTCCTGTCTGGAGTAGGGTAGTCCCAGTGAAACTGACTATCACTACAGGGCCCGGCCCACCTCCGTTCGTGTACCCCAGCACACCAGGCACATCGCTTACTGCTGGTTCTTTACATGCCAGCCAGATTCAGCTGTGGATGCTGTAGGCATTTAGTTTAGAGATCTTCCTCCACCCTGGGCAGTAAAACAGTGTCTGAAGTTGACTTAATGGCCTCCCAAGCCTGGTCTCCTACCCGCTGGGCAAAAGCTGCAGGATGGGTCCTGCCTCGGTCATGGGAATGAATATGAAACCGAAAGAGCCAGTCCTTCAAGATGGATCCCTAGTGGCTAACTGGGCCTAAATTTAACATTGAGCCTAGTGGTCATTTATTGACTAGACATCACAGATGTACTCTGTGTCAACAGAAAACCCATACCTCTGTTCAACTTTGGGACTTTCAGAACTCACCTGAACCAACCAATCAGAACTTAGCTTCATCAAGTAATTAGAACTAAGCAAGTTTGAATCCTTCATTTGCATAAATGGACTTGAGTGGGAACCCGGACAGGAACTTTTGCTGTCAAAACTGAAACCTCCTTTTGCTCCCTGGAAGGAACCTTCATTTTAGACCACAGGTCACATCTCCCCATTTTGCAAACTGCTTAGTGGAATAAAGTCTCTTCCCTTCCAATTCTTTTACAGAGAACTTTTGTTCACCGACACCTTACCTTGCACGCTCCTTATCCCTCTCCAATAACATGCTCCCATCTGGGCTGTCTCTTTGTTCCCCAGATCATGCTATATCCACTAAAGGGGCTAGTTCTTTCTCTTTGTTTAATATTCAAATCTTACCAGAGATATTAATATTCATTTCTTCCCAGAGAAAATGGATAGAAGGGTTCTGTCATATTTATTTGGACACTATTCTCATCACTTTAAAGACACACCTTTAATCAAAATAAAGGCACAAGGGTGTTGAGTGGTGTGGGTGTCAAATGCCATGGGTATCAAATGTTGTAGGTGTCATGCCCCTTCCAGGTCAAAGAAGAGGATTAATACCATTTGTTGAAAAATTCAGAGCAGAAAGGGATTTAGTCCTGACTCTGCTGCTCACTGGCTGTGTCCAGTTCTTAGCTCTGAGCTTCAGTTTTCTCAACTATAAAATAAAGGCCATAGAGCTACATATGTGGTCTTCAACCTCTTACCAGAAGCATTATTTTATTAAGTACAATTTTGCACATAGCCTCAGTAATGACAATGGCTAATATTTATTAGTTGAACACTTTTCGAAGAGCTTTATGTGCATTAACTCATTTAAACCTCACAAAAAACCTTATAAGGTAATAGTATTATCCCCATTTTTCAGATGAGGAAATTGAGGCACAGAGTGCCCAAGGTCACTCAGCTAGTAAGAATACTAAAGCCAGGTTAAAACATTGCTCTGAAGGCCACAGTTTCAACTCCTATTTCTGGACAGTGAAATGCTCTGCTAGGTCTGGGCTTAGAAGGGCTGTGGGTGAGTCTCATCTTCTCTGGTATCCCTTCTTCTTCTCTACTCAGAAGCCCCTTGGCACAACCACAAAGCCCTCAGGTTTCACATACCACCTAGGGCAGTCTAAAAAGTTCCCTTACAGTACTTAAATTCAACCAAACACTCATTTCTCATGGAGGTATCAGCATTAAATGGGACCTGCCCATGGAGTGCTCCGGGGTCTCTGGCATGGGACACAGGTGGCACAGGTACAGGTGTAGATAAATATCACTAACTCTTTTCGGCAGCAGCAGTGGTGGTGGTGCTGTTAGCACAGCCTGGGAAGGTCAAATAAGCATATCTAAATTGTGCCCAGGAAATGTTATGATAAATTCAGAATCAGGAGAATGAGAAGAGAGAGATGGATCACAAACCTTGGCAAGAAAAGGGAAACCCTTTAGCTGAGAGGATAAAGGAAGGTACATAATGAATACTTGAAAGAAACAATGGGGAAAGGGGCAGAAAACCTGTCCAGGTCGAGAGACTGGAAAGCAGGCAGGGAATGGAGTAGAGTGGGTGAGGGGGATGAGCTGCCAGAGAACTGAGTAGGAGAGGGCAGCAGGAGTCAGGGCCAGGCAGAGGGGAAGTGTGCCTGCATTTAAACCAGAAGTGTTGTGAGCTAGGCTTCCATTGATTTGCACAATGCTTGAACAATGTGATTAGGCCAGGCACGATGACTCATGCTTATATCCCAGCACTCTGGGAGGCTGAGATGCAAGGGTCACTTGCATCTCTTGCCAGGAGTTCAAGACCAGCCTAGGCAATAAAGCAAGGACCCATCTCTACAAAAAAGCATTTTTTAAAAAAAGTTAGTCAGACATGGTGCAAGCACCAGTGGTCCTTTCTACTTAGAAGGCTAAGACAAGAGGATCACTTGAGCCCAGTAGTTCCAGGCTATGGTGAGCTATGATTGTACCACTGCATTCCAGCCGGGGCAACACAGCAAGAGCCTACCTCTAAAAAATAATAAAAAATAAAATAAAATAAGAACAATGTGATTAAAGGGCTCCATTTATTTTTTAATTTAATAAGCTGATAGAACTCAGGTAATGGTGTGTGCTGGTAAATGTTTAATAACCAGCTGTCCAAATAACTAAGCATGATTTGCTGATTTCCATGGTGAAATACTCCCACACAAGTAGGAACTGGGGAGAGAAGCACAGCTGCCCCGTCGCCCAGTACAGTATTTCCACCACACAGGTACCATAACGTAAAGAGCCTCAAGGGCACAGGAAATGGTAAAATGTCATAAAAAAGGTAGTATAAGTTTTGTGTATCCATTACTTTTGTTTGCGATTTAATTTGCTTACCTGAGGTTCTATAATTTTTAATAGTTGCTCTGGTTAACAACCAGGCCAAAAAGTTCCTGAAGATCTTGTAGCCAGCGCTGGTAAGCTAGTACTGGCAGCTCTAGCACCTCTGCACATGGATGTTGCTGTGGAGGAAAGAATCATGGCCAAGAGAGCCTGCCGCCAGGGAGAGTTGGTCCCAGGAGAGGCCCACCCAGGAAAACCTGCTCCCCACCCCCAGAGCCCACCTCCCCAGGAGAATCTGCCCCCTCCTCAGAACCCCTTCCCCAGAGCCAAACCCCCAGAGACACCCCTCACCCAAGGAGATCCGCCCACCCCCAAGAGCCCGCCACCCCCAGCCTGTCCCCGCCCTGGGGAGAGCTCGCCCCCAAGAGTCTGCCACCTAGGAGAGTCAGCCTGGGGCTCCACCACACCCAGCGCTGCAAGCACTTGGCAACCACATGTCTCAGAGCTCAGGGGCTCCCAACAGGAAACAGGTCCTGAGACTGGGAAATCATGTGGGCTGCTAATCCCGGCAGACAGCTCCTGTTCCCACATACCTTGAGAAAAGGAAGTACACTAGCCAGGGGGAGATCCCTCGGGAATTTCAGGGATGTGCCTACAACAGTCCCCAGAAGAATCTAACTGTGGGAATGTGCTGGAGGGACGCACTGGAGCACAATGGAAGGCGTATTGGGGGAGCAGCAGAACCTCTGGAAAGGCCCGGAAAGAAGCGGTAACTCTGACCCCACCGCCTCCCGAACTGCCAACTGGATTCCCAGCCCTGAGCAAGGGGCTTACTTGGAATTTCTCAAGGCTGAAAATGTTGGGTGGTGGCAGGGAGGCATGAGAAGAGGGAGATGAAGAAGAAAGGTGGCCAGCATGGGACCCTCACTCCCTACTCTGGTGTGTCTGAACTATCCCAAACAGGACTACCCACCTGTAGGAACTTGTGTACTGAGCACATGGCCCAGGAGACTCCAAGCTCTTTCCCTATTTAACAGACCTCTTCACTCTTGCCTCTTGGCAAGTTTGGTTTATAAACTGTCCAGGTCCAAGGCAACAGCAATCAAAAGAGGACCTACAACGAGGCTGACAGAGGTGTCGGGGTCTGGGAAAGAGAGCCTGAGTGGAGCCTGTGGACTCTAGCCTGGCCTCGCCCAAGATGGGATGTGACAGTCATGAACACAGGAGAGCCTGGAATAGGCCCCCTCTAAGAATCTGCAGCCTTCACACCCTCACAATGCCACAGCCAGCAAAGGTGACTGCAGAGGCCAGGACAAGCAAATGCATGGCGCTGAGAAACTGGAGGGTCACCAGATAAAACACACAGGGCCCCCGCTAAGCCCCCTCACTACGCCCCAACAACCAGACTAAAAATCAAAACAGAGTTATCTATGCGACAATTCCACCAAACTGAAACTAAGTTGTTATCTGATCTTCCACAAAATTAGGAGCATGAGGTAACAGCTGCTATGGTTTGGCTGTGTGTCCCCACCCAAATCTCATGTTGAATTGCAATCCCCAACACTGAGGGAGGGACCTGGTGGGAGGTGACTGGATCATGGGGGCAGAATTCTCCCTTGCTGTTCTCATGATAGTGAGTGAGTCCTCACGAGATCTGGTTGTTTAAAAGTGTGTAGTGCTTCTTCTTTCACTGTCTCCTGCCACCACGTGAAGATGTGCTTGCTTTCCCTTTGCCCTTCTGCCATGAGTGTAAGCTTCCTGAGGCCTACCAGCCATGCTTCCTGTACAGCCTCCAGAACTCTGAGTCAATTAAACCTCTTTTCTGCATAAATTACCCAGTCTCAGTTAATTCTTTATAGCAGTGTGAGAACGGACTAATGCAACAGCCAGTTTCTCCAACCCTCCAGGCTGGTCTCAAACCCCTGACCTCAGATGATCTGCCTGCCTCGGCCTCCCAAAGTGCTGGGATTACAGGCCTGAGCGATGGTGCCCAGCCCCTAATTCTTAAACAGGAAGATAGAGTCATGGTTACCCAACAATGAGAAAAATCTCTCAATGTGAGAAACTCCAAAACAAACAAACAGAACACAAGAGAAGCAGTGGAAATCATGCAGAAACCAGAAGGAAACAAAGCAACAGTAATTAAGTTTTAAATTAAAATGCAGCTACAATAAATAAACTCTACCATAAAGATACAGATCTATCTAAAATCGTCTTCAATTAATAAATCATAGATTAGCAATCAAAACATACTATATACATTGTGGAAGTCAATACCAAATAAATACAACCAAAATAGATGAAAATATCTGCATGGGGTAAGGGGGTTGTTCTTTTCCAGTATTTTTTAAATTACACTTAATTTGAGGTAACTGTAGATTCATGAGCAGTTGTAAGAAATAATAGAAACATCACATGCTCTTAACCAAATTTCCCCTACTGGTAATATCTTACAAAACTGTAGTACGATATCACAGCAAGAACACTATTATTGAAAGACAAGCTATTGGCCAGGTGCAGTGGCTCAGGCCTGTAATCCTTGCACTTTGGGAGGCTGAGGCGGGTGGATCAACGGAGGTCAGGAGTTTGAGACCAGCCTGGCCAAGATGGTAAAACTCCGTCTCTACTAAAAATACAACAAATTAGCCAGGCGTGGTAGTGGCACCTGTAATCCCAGCTACTCGGGAGGCTGAGGCAGGAGAATCACTTGAACCTGGGAGGTGGAGGTTGCAGTGAGCTGAGATTGCACTACTGCTCTCCAGCCTGGGTGACAGAGCAAGACTCCGTCCGTCTAAAAAAAACAAACAAACAAACAAAAAGAAAGTCAAGCTATGAAACAATTCCATCCCCACAAGCATCCCTCATGTGGCCCTTTTGCAACCACCCCACTTCACTGCTGTCCCACCAACCACTAATCTGTTCTTCATTCCTGTAACTTTGTCCTTTTTAAAATGTTGTATAAATAGAGTAACACAGTATGTAACTTTTGAGGACTGGCTTTTTTTCACTTAATGTAATTCTCAAGATTAACCAGGGTTTTGTGTGTATCAATAGTTGGTTCCTTTTTATTGCTGAGTAGTATTCCATGATGTGGATGGTTTAACCCACTAAAGGACATTTTGCATCTTTTCAGTTTTTAGCTATTATGAATAGAGCTGCTATAAACATTCTTGTACAGGTTTTTGTGTGAACATACATTTTCATTTCTCCGCAATAAATGCACAGGAATGCAATTTCCAGGTCAAACAGCAATTGCATATTTAGTTTTTAAAGAAACTGCCAAACTGTTATCTGAATGACTATAATATTTTTTGTTCTACCCAGCAATGTAGGTGTGATCCAGTTTCTCCACATACTTGCCAGCATTTTGTGTTATAATTTGTTTTCAATTTTAGCAACTCTGATAGGTGTGTAGTAATATCTCACGGTGGTTTTAATGTGCATTTCCCTAAAGGCTAGTGATATCGAACATCCTTTCCTGCATTTCTTTACCATCTGTATAGTCTTTTTGGTGAAATTCATGGGCATATTTTCCCCTCATTTTCTGATGGGATTCTTCATTTTTCTTCTTGTCTTTTTACTGTTGAATTTGATAAATTTTTGTGTATTGTAGATATAAGGTCTTTGTAAGACATGGATTTGAGGCCGGGCACGGTGGCTTACGCCTGGAATCCCAGTACTTTGGGAGGCCGAGGCAGGTGGATCACGAGGTCAAGAGATCGAGACCATCCTGGCCAACATGGTAAAACCCTGTCTCTACTAAAAATACAAAAATTAGCTGGGCCTGGAGTCCCAGCTACTCTGGAGGCTAAGGCAGGAGAATCGCTTGAACCCGGGAGCTGGAGGTTGCAGTGAGCTGAGATTGCGCCACTGCACTCCAGCCTGGCAACAGAGCAAGACTCCATCTCAAAAAAACAAAAAAAAAGATATGGATTTGAAAATAATTTCTCCCAGTCTACAGTTTGTCTTTTCATCCTCTTCACCGAGTCTTTTACACCACAAAAGTTTTTAATTACAACGAAGTATAGTATATTGACTTTTTCTTCTCTCTTTATGGATAGTGCTGCTGGTGTCATGTCTAAGAATTCTGTCTAGCCTTAGGTCCCAAAGATTTTCTCCTGTGAATTCTTTCTAAACATTATATATTTTTATGTTTTATGTTTAAACTCATGATTTTTTTTTAACGGAGTTTCGCTCTTTCCCCCATGCCAGAGTGAAGTGGCATGATCTCACCTCACTGCAACTTCCATCCCGCCAAATTCAAGTGATTCTCCTGCCTCAGCCTCCCGAGTAGCTGTGATTATAGGCACTTGCCACCACGCCCAGCTAATTTTTGTTTTTTTAGTAGAGACAGCATTTCGCCATGTTGGCTAGGCTGATCTCAAACTCTTGACCTCAGATGATCCACCCACCTCAGCCTCCCAAAGTGCTATAATGTTTTAATAGACTTTATTTTTTATAAGTTTAAAAAAAATGAGATGGTAGAACAGAAAGTTCCCATATACATCCTCACTCAGTGTCCCATCTTATTAACATCTTATATTAATTAGCACGACTGTTTCAATTAATGAGCCAATATTGATACATTATTATTAACCAAAGTCTATATCTTATTTAGATTTCCTTAGTTTTACCTAACATCTTCCTATGGCCCAGGGTCCCATCCAGGACACTTACTGTGTTTAGTCATCACATCTCCTCAGGCTCCTCTTGGTTGTGACAGTTTCTCAAACTTTTCCTGATTTTTAGGACCTTGACAATTTTGAAGAGTCCTGGTTAGGTATTATCCTATATTCAATGTATTCTATGATACCCCCTTGTTGAAATTCACCTGAGGCTTTTTTCATGATTCGACAAGGGTAATGGGTAAAGCAGTGAAGTGTCATTTTCATCACATCATATCCAGGGTACATACTCACACCATGATTTATCACAGCAGGTGTTGACCATGATCACCTGGCTGAAGTAGTGCTTGGCAGGTGTCTCCACTGTAAATCTACTTTCCCCCACCCCTATCTATTCTATACTCTTTGGAAGAAAATCACTATGTAGGCCCATACCTAAGGACCAGGAACTTACACTTCTCCTCCTTCAGGCTGTAGTATCTGTATTAACTATTTCCAGTTCTTCATAAGAGAGAGTTGTCTTTTTTCCCCCATTTATTTATTCGAGTATTTACTTATATCACTATGGACTCGTGGATATTTATTTTGGGTGATAATACATTACTACTTTATTATTTTCTTGCTCCAATTATTCCAAGTTTGGCCATTGAGAGCTCTTTTGGTTGGCTCCTGTGTCTCTTCACACACACACACACACATTTCCTTACATTCTGGTGCTACAAAATGCTCCAGGTTCATCTCATATATTTTTCCCCCAAGGCCTGGAATCAGCCATTTCTCCAAGGAGCCCTGATTTGTTTTATTGGTGAATGGTGTTAGAAACCAAGATCTGTGTGTCCAGTGTGCTAATTGCTAGAGGGTTGTCATTGCTTCTTTGTTCTCTCAGGTGACAGAGTAAGGAAAACTATGTATGTATACTAACCCACACATACATTCATATCTATAGTACATTTTTAATATATCTCTTCATCATATAGTTTTTTACTAATTTCCCTAGATATTACAATATATATACATAATATGTCATAGCTAACTGTATCAGCATTTTACCTCTTCAAGTGAAGTATAGAAATCTGACTTTTATTTAGGTCTGTTTACCCTCCCCCTTAAAATACAAATATGTTAAATAAATATTTCCACTACAGACACTGAACATCTCACCAGATGATGTTATATTTTTTTGCTTCAACACAATTTTTTAAACACTTGAGGAGAATTTTTAACCATTGCATTGTTTTGTTTCCTTCCTGAAGTTCCAGCCTCCCTTTGTTATTATTCACTTTCTGTTTAGAGACATCCCTTTAGTCATTCTTTAATGCTGGTGACAAATTTCTTATTTTTCTTCTATCTGAGAATGTCTTAATTTTCCATTCATTTCTGAAGGATATTTTTGCTAGGTATAGGATATGAGATTGACAGATTTTTTAAACCCCTTGGTCAATTTACATCATATTTTCTTTTTAAAAATTTTATTTCTAAGAATATTTCCCCCCTCAATGCAATCTCACGGAAGGTAAACCATTCATATTATCAGTGCCACATTCACTGGGATCCTCAAGAGGAATGTGGGGCAGGGTCTTTGAATAAGTAGTCTTCTGGAACCTGTTTTTGTTTTTAAACCAGAACCATAAGCAAGTATAGAATAAAGGCCATTTTTTTTTAGTTCCTTTCTGAAGAAAATGCCTTTTGTTTGAGGTGAGATGTGATATTATCCTGGTTGAAACTAGAAACTTGCATCAATGTCTGTAGTTTTTCAGAATCATTTTAATTTATAATCTCCTTATATTCAGGAACATCAAGAATGTACCTAGTTTAATGATATGTGGATATAGCTATTAATATTCTGTTTTATGCCATTTGCAGCTAGATTCAACCTGCAACACACTACTTGGAGGCTATGGGGTGATTCTGAAGTAAAGACTTGTGTTTTCCCAGTTCCTGGGCTTCTTCATGCTGAAAGTCTTGCTCCATCACCTGTCCCATATTAATTTCCAGAGCTCCTTCTGAAAAGCTTGTTATCACTCAAGCTATTCTTTCGGTTCCGTCTTTGAAAAACATTTATAAAGGGCAGAAAACCTCCAGTGCTGAATTTTATTATTTTCGGTGTGATCGTTTCTTATTCCACAAAGTAAAATACCTTGGCTTTGATGATCTACTCATAAAGTTGCCAGTTTAGAAGAGCAACACTATTATCACACTCCTGCAAGCAACACCTACCATTTTCTTTTGTGCATCTCTTTCAAATGGAGTGGAATAGGCATTCTACCATCTTTATTATCATTTGTTTGAATTCTTGGTTTAAGATGAGTTTGCTTTGGATGCTAGATAGCTTATCCATATCAGAAAAAGTACAGAGCTACAAAAGAGAGTAATTTATTAAAAGCACTTGCTCAACTGATGCTGCAGTGCCTTTAAAGCTGGCCAATGCCTTTCTCCATACAAAAGGCGTTTTGAGTTTACCACTTTTTTCCCATATACCAACTCTCTTCCCCACAGCTTTCCCAGAAGTGTTTGACTTCTTAAGTACATACAACCTTTCATGGTTGCTGCTTTTGTTGCCCAAGGTTGTATCTAATTCACGGTCCTTGATCTTTTTTTTCAAGTGTAATTTCCCTCTGTTTGCACACACTTGAGCCTGGAGCCTTAAAAGAATGCTCACTATGTCTGGGATGTGGGACAGTGATTTCAGCACTACCTGCTGATTCTAGACTTGGCACAGGAGAAATTTGACCCAAAGCTTGTGCCAATTTTGCTTCCTTTTTATTTGAAATAAGATAACTGTATCTTATTTGGGAAGATTGTCAGCTCTCCCTCCCAGATCTTCGATGTCCTTTTGCAGTGTTTCAGATACCATGACAGAAAGCACATCAAGGAAACATGGTTTACCACAAAGTCCTTGTTTTTAAATGTTTCCTATTTGTTATCCATTTTCACACACTTTGAACATGGTGTCTTCTTTGTTCTGGAGCTTGTTTACTTAGATTTTAGCCTGGAAATGCCCTTTGCTGTGAATGCTAACAACTCCGAGATTCATGGCAGCTGTCAGTACCTACATCCTGGGTCCAAAGAAAGTGCCCTGGACTGGGGACCCAAGAAGAGGTGGCTCTCCATGCACTTGAGATGCCTGTCCGCCCCCTCACCCTCACCTCCTTCCCTTGGCACCCAGGCACGCTGGCCTCCTTTCTGCCCCTGAAACACAATGACTCTGCTACCACTTCCAGGCCTTTGAACTTGCCATTCCTCTACTACAATAATCTTCTCCAGATCTCCACAGGACAGCTGTCCCTCCTTATTCAGGCCTTATCTCCTCCCCAAGACACACACATGCATGCGCACGCGTGCGTGCGCACACACGCGCACACACACACACACACACACTTGTCGAGACCCAGTAATCTACCCTGCTTCTTTGGTGGTGATGGTAATTGCTTTGGAAACTCTTATAAAAATGAAATTACCCTGTGTATTTATTAGTTAGGTGCTCAGCATCTCTCTTCCTGGTAAAATTTTAGTTCTGTCCAGAGCAGGAAACTTAACCATTCTCTTCTCAGTCATGTGCCCATAACAATGTCCAACACACTGTGTAAACATCTGTTCAAATGCACTGCATTGAATCCAGTTGAAGTGATTTCAAAGGAAATAAATGAAACTGTTAAAAGATGGATATGTTTTTGGCTTGAGGGCTCATTCAAAAGGAACAAAGCTGCTAAAATTAAGTATTGGCCATGAATTACTCTAGACTTTCAATAGAAAAGAACATCCACCAGGCATGGTGACTTGCTCCTAGAGTCCCAGGTACTTGGAAAGCTGAGGTGGGAGGATAGTTTAAGCTCAAGAGCTGAAGGCTGCAGTGAGCTATGATTGTACCACTGTACTCCAGCCTGGATGACAGGGTGAGATCTTGTCAAGAAAGAAAGAAAAAAGGAAGGAAGGAAGGAAGGAAGGAAGGAAAGAGAAAGAAAGAAAGAAAGGAAAGAAAGAGAGAGAAAGAGAGAAAAAGAAAGAGAGAGAAAAGAAAGGAACATCCTACTAAACTTGGATTCAACAAAGGAAAAGGTTCCTGTCTATCTCTCCTTTATTAATTAATTAACTAATTTATTTATTTATTTATTTATTTATTTATTGAGACATTCTCTTTTTTGTCGCCCAGGCTGAAGAGCAGTGGTGAGATCTCAGCTCACCGTAACCTCTGCTTCCCAGGCTCAAGCAATCCCCCAACCTCAGCCTCCCAAGTAGCTGGGACTATAGGCATACACCACTATGCCTGGCTAATTTTTAAATTTTTTTTGTAGAGACAGGGTTTTGCCACATTGCCGAGGCTGGTCTCAAACTCCTGGGCTCAAGCAATCCACCTGCCTCAGCCTCACAAAGTGTTGAGATTACACGAGTGAGCCACCACACCTGGCTATCTCACCTTCTTGCCTTCATCCAATGTTTCATGCATTTGACTAACAGGTAGTGGAGGACATCCTGCAGCCAGCTGCTTGTCAGGGGCCAGGGAATGGGTTGAGGACCCCCTATTCCTGCCTTCAAGGCACTCACTGTCTGAGCCCATGGTGGGAACAAGGACAGGAAAATGCACCTGGGGGACTCGGAGCCTGGAGCAGAGCAGGTCACCAGAGTTCAAGCTATGCAGGGGTGTTGAAGAGGTAGCTGGAAGGTACCAGCTATACGTCAGCTTCCAAGGGTCCAACCTTGAGGAGATGGCACAACCAGCAGCAGAGTCCATTGCAGAGGCAAGAAGAAAACAGGTCAAGAGCAAAGACAGGAGCAGGAGAACAGGAAACCAGCATCCAGACTGAGTAGGTAGCCCGCAACCTACACAGGGCCTATTGGCCTTGGCCAGGGCTGGCGCTTGCACCTAGTGTTGTTGTTGTTGATGATGATGATGATGATGATGATGATGTTGTTAAGAAGAAGAATGGTCAGCATTTACTAAGCACTTATTTTTGCCAGTTATCATGGTGACACATTACATGCTTGATCTCATGTAATCCATCACAACAGGGTGATGACTTGGAGACTCTTACTTATTGCACTAGACTTATGCAAAATTAATTGACTTTTTCAAGTTTACACAGCTAATAAGTGGCAGTACTGGGCCCAAACTCAAGGCTGTCTCCTCTGGGTATGTCAGAGGGGCTGGAGCATACACTGATCTCACAGATCCAACAAAATTCCTTATGGGCCTCCTACAGCAGCTCCTTTCTCTGTGCTCAGCCTTGACCTGGCCTGACCTTGACACATCTGTATAGGGAGCTCCAGGCTGGTTTCAGACAAGGACAGCACACGCACAAAAGGTCGGGTCAAGGAGAGCGCACAAGACTGGAGGAACAGAACTGAGCTCCAAGCACCTGCAATGAGAGTGTCTGGAAAGTCAAAAGCCCAAGGTGAGTTTAGCAAAAATGCTAATCACAATAGAAAAGGTTGTTTTTGTTTGTTTGTTTTTTGCTTTGGTTGGTTTTGTTTTCAAAATTATTTATTTGTAGCAATCTTGTGAAACTTTTATTATTTGCCTGATATCAATCTCAAATGAGCATTAAAAATAGTTTGTACATTCAGGAGTTGTTCTTGGCATCCATAAGACAATAATATTTTCACTGGATAAGGCATGTGACTCGTCCGCAACTGGGTAATCCTCTACCACAAACCCCAGGATGGAAGGAGAGACAGAAGGGGCATGGGGTGGAAAAGAGCTAGAAAAGCCTGTAAGAGAAGAAATGAGGGGGCAGGGGTAGAGGGGAAGGGGAGAGTTCTCCTCCTGCATTTGAGAACAGTTTGGTTGGATTTTGGGGAACCCTAAGTTACCTTCCTGGTGAAGTCTGGGGTGTGGACATAGCCAAAATCCTCATCTGCAACTTAAATAAATTCAGGAATAAAGAAAAGAACTACAAAAGAACAGTCAAAGGATAAAAACAATGATCAGAGGAAAGATAGAAAGAAAAGTGAATTCTGGAGGAGGCGGAAAGAGGCTTTCAACTACATGACAATAAATAACAGCTTCTTAGATTTCTAGCAAATAATTAACAAATGTGAATTTCACATATCAGGTGGTGGTTGGTCTGATGGCAAGATGCATGCTTGACCACAGCGATTTATGGAGGCTGCAGTGGCCACTGGGGCCTCTCCTTTAGCAGAGACCCTCAAGGACAAGCTGACTTGACATCTGCCTGGGTTTCAGGGTGGTTTTGCTAAAGAATCAGAGATAAACGAGGAGGCATATACAGATGACTCTCCTAACCCTGACTTCCTTCACACAGAAAGAGATAAATGGGCAGTCCATTTTGGGATCCAAAGGGCGTGGAGTGGAAAGCTATCTGAGTGATGAAATTCCACCACTGTAAACCTCCTGAGAGGCATAAAAAGGGGCATGTATAGCATGTGCTCAAGTAAGCAAAAAGTAAAAATAAAAGGTAGATAAAGAGAAGTGTAGTTGTAGGAAAAAGATTGGGCCAAAGGTTTTATAAATCACAGTTACAGTATGAGTTTTCATATTGGATGGAGATGTTTATTATTAAAAACATGCATTGCATGGTCAAATGAAGAGAGTGCACTGATATGATTTGGCTGTGTCCCCACCCAAATCTCAACTTGAATTCTCTCTCCCAGAATTCCCACTTGTTGTGGGAGGGACCCCAGGGGGAGGTAATTGAATCATGGGGGCTGGTCTTTCCCATGCTATTCTCATGATAGTAAGTCTCACAAGATCTGACAGGTTTCTCAGGAGCTTCTGCTTTTGTATCTTCCTCATTTTCTCTTGCCGCTGCCATGTAAGAAGTGCATTTTGCCTTGATTCTGAGGCCTCCCAAGCCATGTGGAATTGTAAGTCCAATTAAACATTTTTTTCTTCCCAGTCTCAGGTATGTCTTTATCAGCAGTGTGAAAATGGACTAATACAGTAAATTGGTACCAGTAGAGTGGGGCATTGCTGAAAAGGCACCCCAAAATGTGGGAGCAACTTTAGAACTGGGTAACAGGCAGAGGTTGGAATAGTTTGGAGGGCTCAGAAGAAGATAGGAGTATGTGGGAAAGTTTGGAACTTCCTAGAGCTTGTTGAATGGCTTTGCCCAAAATGCTGATAGTGATATGGACAATAAGGTCCAGACTGAGGTGGTCTCAGATAGAGATGAGGAACTTTTTGGGAACTGGAGTAAATGTGATTCTTGTTGTGTTTTAGCAAAGAGACTGGTGGCATTTTGCCCCTGCCTTAGAGATTTGTGGAACTTTGAACCTGACAAAGATGATTTAGGGTATCTGGCAGAAGAAATTTTTAAGCAGCAAAGCATTCAGCAGGTGACTTTGGTGCTGTTAAAGGCATTCAGCTTTATAAACGAAGCACAGCATAAAAGTTTGGAAAATTTGCAGCCTGACTGTGCAATAGAAAAGAAAAATCCATTTTCTGGGGAGAAATTCAAGCCACCTGCGGAAATTTGCATAAGCGGCAAGAAGCCTAATGTTAATCCCCAAGACCTTGGGGAAAATGTCTCCAGGCCATGTCAGACACCTTCATGGCAGCCCCTCTTGCCATCACAGGCCTGGAGGCCCAGGAGGAAAAAGTGGTTTCTTGGGCTGGGCCCAGGGTCCCTGTGCTGTGTGCAGCCTAAGGACTTGGTGCACTGTGTCCTAGCCACTCCAGCCATGGCTGAAAGGGGCCAAGATACAGCTCGGGCTGTGACTTCAGAGGGTGGAAGTCCCAAACCTTGGCAGCTTCCATGTGGTGTTTAGCCTGTGGGTGCACAGAAGTCAAGAATTGAGGTTTGGGAACCTCCACCTAGATCTTTAAGATGTATGGAAATGCATGCATCCTCAGGCAAAAGTTTGCTGCAGTGGCAGGGCGCTCATGGAGAACCTCTGCTAGGGCAGTGCAGAAGGGAAATGTGGGACTGGATCCCCCACACAGAGTCTTTACTGGAGCACTGCCTAGTGGAGCTCTGAGAAGAGGGTCACCGTCCTCCAGACCCCAGAATGGTAGATCCACTGACAGCTTGCACCATGCACCTGGAAAAGCTGCAGATACTCAATGGAAGCCTGTGAAAGTAGCCTGAAGGGAGGCTGTACCTTGCGAAATCACAGGGCGGAGCTGCCCAAAACCATGGGAACCCACCTCTTGCATCAGCATAACCTGGATGTGAGACCTGGAGTCAAAGAAGATCATTTTGGAGCTTTAGAATTTGACTGCCTAACTGGATTTCAGGCTTGCATGGGCCCTGTAACCCCTTTGTTTTGGCCAATTTCTCCCATTTCATAGATACCTGTACCCCCATTGTATCTAGGAAGTAACTAGCTTGCTTTTGATTTTACAGGCTTATAGGCAGAAGGGACTTGCCTTGTCTCAGATGAGACTTTGATCTGTGGACTTTTGGGTTAATGCTGAAATGAGTTAAGACTTTGGGGAGCTGTTGGGAAGGCATGATTCATTTTGAAATGTGAGGACATGAGATTTGGGAGGGGCCAGGGGCAGAATGATATGGTTTGGCTGTGTCCCCACCCAAATCTCAACTTGAATTGTATCTTCTAGAATTCCCACATGCTGAGGGAGGGACCTAGCAGGGAGGTATTTGAATCATGGGGGCCGGTCTTTCCCATGCTATTCTCGTGATAGTTAATAAGTCTCATGAGATCTGATGGGTTTATCAGGGGCTTCCACTTTTGCTTTTTCCTCATTTTCTTTTGCTGCCACCATGTAAGAAGTGCCTTTTGCCTCCCCCCATGATTCTGAGGCCTTCCCAGCCATGTGGAACTGTAAGTCCAATTAAACCTCTTTTTCTTCCCAGTCTCAGGTATGACTTTATCAGCAGCATGAAAATGGACTAATACATGCACTATGAATCATAGGTCACAATTAACCCAGTTTCATACACCTGAGGTCCGATTTACAAAATAAAATGATTGTCATGATATATTATTTAAAAATAGGAGAAGTTTGGCATACAAAAGACACTCCTTTAAAAATAGTAGAAGTTAAATTTCTGGGTGAAATTATTGGAAGAAATTTTTATTTACTTTTCAAAGTTTTCTTGGATAAGCATGTAGTATATTCATATGCAGAGAAGGGCAGGAAGGTTTTTTTTTTTTTTTTTTTTAAAAGTACACCCCATGACCCTTCATTTAGGCCCTCCCCTTCTCATTCTAATTTTTATCAGTATCCTAATTATATCAGTTCTTCGACATGGGGTTTCCTCTTGGGCAATAGGGCATTTCCTATGCTGGGTCCAGTTCTCCCGAGAATGTGAAGCAGGCCTTGCTGGAAAGCCAGGCCTCCCAGAAGGTGCCTGGCAGTGACTCCAGCCTCAGGTCCCTGCCGCGGATACCAACATCTAATGTGCAATGTGTTTTCCCAAGCCAAGGCGCCTTCTCAATAGTGGGCTCATTGCCACACTGGCTGGGAAGAAGCACTGTCCAGTCCTCGCCATTCAACTCAGACATTGGCCCCCAGCCAATGTCCGTCCAGTGAGACCAGGGACTGCCAGCCACTGGTCAGGAAGCTGTTTATCAAGCTGGGGAAGTCTGGAGCACACACGGCTCACTCTAAGGTCCATTTATTCTCCCAGCACTTACAATCCTCTCTCAAAAGACACAATGCTTTCCTAAAAATAATTAATCATGGCAGCAAAAGTGAAAAACAAGCTCCGTCTCCTTCCTTCCACAGACATAAAGAACTTCAAGGCTGTCTTGATCAAAAAATGGGAGGTGCAGGCTGAGAGCAGGGACGACCTGGAAGGGGGGATGAGAGCTCTCCTGTAGAGTTATTCAGGTTCAGTGCATTTCCTACAACATAAAGGAACATGCCTCCTGTCAAGCGAAGACACTGTGTCTAAAGACTGTAAAACAATAATATATTGGGCAACTCCATGCCCCACGGACAAAGAGCATTGTGACCATGACAGACCTGAATTTCCACCTGGCTCTACTGTTGCCTCTGTCTGGTCTTGGACTAGTCCTATAACCTCTCTGCACCCCTATAAAATGACAGTAATAATATTAACACCAGACAGGGTTGGATGAGGATTGAACACATAGCACATTAACTGGTATATAATATGCCCTCAATATTTTGTAGTTGTTATACTTATCATATGCTTTTCTAAGGGTAAATCTTGACAGAATAAGGCCTACCAGCCAGGGGGAGATCAGGTTACAAGCATAGGGTGTTGGGATGAGTGATCACTGCCTTTCATGTCTACCCCTTAAAGAGTACCTTGGAAGGAAACTATCCAGCCACCACCATCTCGGGTCATACCTGTAATAGGACAGTGACATGAGCCATGGACTGGGAAATGGGAAAATCATGTCATCTCAAATGCTCTTCATTTTATTGAGGACTTACTATGTGCCAGACGCACTACTAGAAGCCAAAGTCGTAATGAGGTAACTTTGGGTAAATTACATATCATATCTGAGATCTGGTTTTCACATTTCTAAAGTCAGAACCAAAAATGAGATGCTAGAAATAAAAGCTCACTCTAAGCGGTCAAGTGGCTTTTAGATACACTGAGTTAGAACTTTCCGCATGACCGTATTCTGAGGCTACACCACATAGACCACATGCACAGCTTCTCAAGTAATGCTGGAAATGTGTGGCTGCTGACTAAATGTTAATGGGCATTGTCAGGGATGATGGAGATGCAGATGAAAGTCTATCTGAGGGGTTCATACCTTTGAATGTGGTGTCTCAACTAATATTTCTTGAACACAAACCACACTCCAGCATCATTCTTAGAGCTTTGGGCCTTGAAGTCTGATGGAGAGAGCAATGCAGGACTAAGCCAGTACATGCCTACTATGCTTTGAATGTGTTCCCCAAAGTTCCTGCATTGGGAACTTCTTTCCCAGTGCAACTGTGTTGAGAAATAGGATCTTTAAGCAATTATTATTTCATGAGGGCTCTGCCATCGGGAATGGATTAATGTCATTATTGAGGGAGTGGATTCTTTACCTTGAGAGTGGATTTGTTATAAAAGCAAGGTCAGCCCTCTCTATCTCTCCCCTGTAAACTTTCTTGCCATATGAGAGCTTCCCTTATCTGATGCAGTACCTCAATATTGGACTTCCCAGCCTCCAGAACCATAAGTCAAACAAATATCTATTCATTATAAATTACCTAGTCTGTGCTATTCTGTTACAGCAACACAAAATTACTAAGACAATGCCCACATGGGAAGTCAAACACAAGTGAAGAAACTCCCCAGTAGGAAATAATACTAGTCACAGAAAAGTGGTGGGGTTAGCCACCACTGAACTAGTGATGGTATCTTGATAAATATTTTATAACCTCTATGCATACTTCTTTTTAGCTGAAGTATGCCAGGCCTGTCTCTAACATATTATGCATATTTGTGATACCATTAAGTAGAGAGGGTTTTTAAATAATAATCTGACTCAAAAGAAAAAGACAAAATTGAATATAATGAACTCCAAGGAGATACAGGAATTGTACAGATTGCTTAGAGTATGTGAAACTTGATTGTGATTAGAAAAAAAATTTATTTAATCCTGTTGTTCCTAGTTATTCAACATTTGGACGCCATAAAAGAAAAAATGGGCTGGGCACAGTGGCTCACACCTGTAATCCCAGCACTTTGGGAGGTCAAGGCAGGCAAATCACTTGAGGTCAGGAGTTCGAGACCAGCCTGGCCAACATGGTGAAACCCCCATCTCTACTAAAAATACAAAACAAAACAAAAATAAGCTGGGCATGGTGGCACACACCTGTAATCCCAGCTACTCGGGAGGCTGAGGCAGGAGAATCGCTTGAACCTGGGAGGTGGAGGTTGTGGTAAGCCGAGATAGCATGCCACAGCACTCCAGTCTGGGTGACAGAATGAGACTCCGTGTCAAAGAAAAAAAAAAAAAAAAAAAAAACCAGAAAAAATGCAAAAAATAATTCAACTATATTTTGAAACAATAACAACAACAACTTCATGGCAAAAAAAGAAAAAGAAAAAAAGAAAAATGCCATGGGCAAGCACAAAAGATAAATAACAAACCGGGAAAAAACACTGCAGTTTATAACACAGACAAAAGATATGCGGAAGGAGCTTCATGTATAAGGATCTCCTAGAAATCAACAAGAGAATAAAACTCAGTAGATAAATGTGCGAAGGACAGAAACATATTTCACAGAAAAGGAAATGCAAATCGTCCTTAAACAAGTAAAACAATAACAATAAAAATGACAACTACATTGGGATGGCATTCGCTACCTTTCAAATTGGCAGCATTGCAGTAGTGTGCTGGAGCTGACTCTTGACAGTTGACCATGAATAATTACCAGATTTTTAGGAGCTGGTTTTATGAGTAGGTTGTTAAATGCAGATTGTTGCTAAGATTTAATTATATAAATTTATAACTAAATAAATCATACAAATACAAAGGAAATAAAAACTCTTAAATTCCTTATTATTTTACCACATTTCACAATTATCCATGCTACTTGCATCTCTTGCATCTGTGTGGTAGAAATACTATACAGTGGGTGCTACGGCCCATCTCTTCCCAACTCCATGGTCAGGGACATCATGTTGATAGCTTGCAGTTGGCCTGGGTAGAAGTATTTATGCCATGGAAATCAGCAGATACTACAACTAGGGCTTCTTGTTTTTTTGGTTTTGGGTTTTGTTTTGTTTTGTTTTGTTTGGAGAAGTGGTTGTTAAACATTTATTAGCACATCATTGCGGAAATCCCAAATGTTAGCAACAAAGTTGCTGGGATTACAGGCATGAGCAACTGCACCTGGCTTCAAATGTTGGTAACATATTTTATTGGAAAGGCTGGGAGAAGCAGCCACTCTTACTGCTGACAGGAGTGCCCAGCAGTTGATAGAACCCTGTAGAAGGCACTCTGGCAATATGTGCCAAAATTATAAAGAGATTTACCCTTTGCCCAGCAACTGCCCCACTGGGAGTCTATTCTACAGCTCTGCCTACGTGTGCATGCAACAAGGTGATTGTGAGATCATCCAGCAAGGTTTGTAAAAGCAAAAGACACAGGTCAGCCAGGATCCTTCCACAGAGACTGATGAAACCAAACACAGTCCATCTTGACACTGGACTCTCACACAGCTGATAAAGAAAGGGGAAGCTCTCCATATAATGATGCGAAAAGTTCTCAGACATAGTAAGTGAAACGAAAGCAAGGCACAAAACAGTGTGCCTCCTTTTGTGTAAAAGGGGGGGAAACATGAATGTATTTATGCATGTTTATATTTGCATAATGAAATTCTGAAGGATAGACTGATACAATAAAACTAATTACTTGATTCAAGAGGTGATTGATTGGGAATGTGTAATCTGAAAAGACTAGTGATATAAAAGCAGACAAAATTAAGCTTTCCTTCACCAAGAACACAGAAGCAAACATTTCCCAAGGAGCAATTAAGAAAGAAGAATAAGCAGTGGGTTTTGTCTTTGAATGACATTTCCCTACAGATTTACACAACAGCGGACGGCCAAAGGAAGATGGAGCTAAGGGGAATTGGCAAGGAGAAGGCAGAGCTCAGAGGCTTATAGGAAATGAAAGAGAAGTCATTGCATGACTGAGAAGGTCACACAGAGAGGCACTGCGGTTTCATTTGAGAGGGAGGAGAAAGTGCAGTAGCAGAGACTCAGCCTAGAGGTGTAAATCTTCCCAGGAAGGCTTGCAGGCTGTGCTGCGGTGCTGTGTGGTTCCAAGGCTGAAGACAACAGTCAGGAACATTCAAGACCAGGATAGACCCGAGGGTTGAGGCATAGCTGCTCAACTGGACTGCAGAAACACACATACAAGAAGCAAGGAACAACCCAGGATACACAGCTGCCCTCTTTTGGTTTTTTTAGGTGCCATGCATATGCCATAAAATTCATCCTTCTAGAACGTACAATTCAGTTAGTTTCAGTATATTCACAGAGTTGTACAACCATCACTACTATCTAATTTCAGAACATTTTCACCACCCCAAAAAGAAAACACCACACCCATGGGTCATCACTCCTTAAATCCCTCTCCTTCTAGCCCTGCCACAACTAATCTACTTTCTGTCTCTACAGATTTGCCTGTTCTGGATGTTTCAGATAAACGGAGTCATACAATATGTGGCCTTTTGTGTCTGGCTTTTTTTTACTCAGCACATTTTCAAAGCTTACCCCAATTGTCCCATTTATCAGTATTTCATTTCTTTGTCTTGCCAAAGGATAGTTCTTGGTATGAATATGCCGCATTTTATTTATTCGTTCATCAGTTTGTAGACACTTGGGTTGTTTCCACTTTGGGCTATCATGAAAAATGCTGCAATGAACATTCGTGTACAAGTTTTGTTTTTGCGGGGGCATGTGTTTTTATTTCACTTGAGTATATACCTAGGAGTGGAATTGCTGGGTCATATGGAAACTCTACATTTAACTTTTCAAGGAATTGCTAGACTGTTTTCCAAAGTAGCTATGCCATTTTAAAATGACATCAGCAATGTCTCTATATCCTCACCAACATACATTTTTTTCAGTCATGCTAGTAGGGGTGAAATGATATTTCCCTGTGGCCAGCTGCCCTTTTTTGATTGACCTTCATCCTGCCTGCCAGACTTTTCACCTTTTTTCTCCATCATCCCCTTCTGTTTGAGAAGCTCTAAGCTTCCTGGGCTTACAGTGTTGCTTTTCTTGGTAATATATGCTAAATGTTTACTAGTGCTCACATAAAGCAATTTTACCCAATATCCTTTTCAGCAGGAGATTCCCCAACCCATGAATACTCTCAGAGGAAACTGCAGAATGACCACAGAGTTCACAGTCCTTGGGATTTAGATTGCCAATGCAATGCACCCAGGGTTGGAAATCTGGGGTGGCCTACCTACTTGGGGACAAACATTGAAGTCTTCTGTTGGTCACCTCAATCATTCTTTTTTCAAAACAACATGAATTCATCATGTATTAATTGACAGCAGCAATTATGAATCATTGAGATTCTCAAATTTGAATTTATTGGATGCCCAAGGCTATGTCATCTCTAAGCCCATGTTGGTCCCAAAGAGAAGGAAAAATGGATTTGCTCACAAGCCAGGCTGTGCAGACCCACCACGTGGAACAGCAGGTGGAGGGTGGAAGTTGGCTCTCCTACTGCTGACCACACTGCTCCATTTTCCACTGCACATAAACTCGGGACTGGTGGTGTCGACGAACTCCCCACACAAGACTCCAAACCTGCTTCCTAAGCAACGTGACAAATGACTGTCCTAGTGAGTACATATTCCTGGGATCCAGGGAATTATAGTACAACAATGATTCATTCTTTGTTCACATTTTATCACATTTGTGCTCTTTCTCTTTTTTTCTTTTTTCTCTCTTTATGTCGTTGAACCATTTGAGAGTAAATTGACCCTTTGCATCTCAATACTTCAGCATATGTACTTCCTAAGAACAAGGAATTCGCTTATATAATCACAATACACTGATCAAATTCAGAAAATTTATTCATTTGTATGGGTTTTTTTTTTATTTTTGAGACGGAGTCTCACTCTGTCATTCAGGCTGGAGTGCAGTGGCATGATCTCTGCTCACTGCAACCTCTGTCTCCTGGGTTCAAGCAATTCTCGTGCCTCAGCCTCCCAAATAGCTGGGAATACAGGCACCCGCCACCATGCCTGTTGTATTTTTAGTAGAGATGGGGTTCACCATGTTGGCCAGCCTGGTCTCAAACTCCTGGCCTCAAGTGATCCACTTGCCTCAGCTTCCCAAAGTGCTGAGATTACAGGCATGAGCGACCACACCTGGCCCAATTCAGGAAATTTATTATTTATGTATTATTATTTAATATACTGTACAAATTTAAATTTCATCAAATTGTTCTAATAATATCTTTTATAGGACCTCACCCCCAATTCAGGATCCAATCTAGGATCATGCACGGAATTTAGTTCTTTATTTTCCCAACTTTCAGAAAGGAAGGAAGGAAAGAAGGAGGGAGGGAAGGAGATAGGAAGGAGGGAAGGAAGGAAGGAAGGGAGGGAGGGAGGGAAGGAGAGAGGGAGGGAGGGAGGGAAGGAGGGAAGAATGGAGGGAGGGAAGGGAGGGAAGGAGGGAAGAATGGAGGGAGGGAAGGGAGGGAAGGAGGGAGGAAAGAAAGGAAGGGAGGGAGGGAGGGAAGGAAGGAAGGAAGGAGGGAAGGAGGGAGGGAGGGAAGGAAGGGAGGGAGGAAGGAGGGAAGGAGGGAAGAAAGGAAGGAGGGAGGGAAGGAAAGAAGGAAGGACGAAGGAAGGAAGGAAGGAAGGACAAACAGATTTAGTACCTTGGCCACTTTAATAGTCACAAGATGATCTTTCCTATAATGGCCTCTCAGCTCTTGAACGCGCTTTGCCCCTCCCTACTCTGCATGGGCCACTCCATCCATGCCATGCCCTAGTTGTGGACATTGCTGCAGTAGGGCTAAATTAGTCCCAAACTAAATGCTGCTCTGGGCCTGCCATAAAACATAAAAGTAAGCTTTGAAGTGGTCAACCTGATCCCAAGCAACTTAAGTGTGTTCCAAAAGAAAGTCCAACACTCTTTATGGAAATGCAACAAAATCTAGCCCTCAACAATGAAAAGTGCGCTATATAGAGCATCTAATAAAAAACTGCCAGGCATACAAAGAAGCAAGAAAACCATAACCCATAAACTGGATTTTTAAAAAAGACAGTCAATAGAAATTACAAAGATGATGAAACTATCTGATAAGAATCTTAAAACAGTTATTTTTAATCTTACAAATATTTTCTTTTTCCTTTTTTTTTTTTTTCTTTTTTGAGGTGGAGCTTTGCTCTTGTTGTCCAAGCCAGAGTGCAATGGTACGATCTCAGCTCACTGCAACCTCTGCCTACCAGGTTCAAGTCATTCTCCTGCCTCAGCCTCCCAAGTAGCTGGGATTACAGGCATGCACTACCACGCCCAGCTAATTTTTTGTATTTTTGGTAGAAAAGGGGTTTCACCATGTTGGCCAGGCTGGTCTCGAACTCCTGACCACAGATGATTCACCCGCTTCGGCCTCCCAAAGTGCTGGGATTACAGGCATGAGCCACCAAAAAGGAAGGCATAAACATGACAAGCAAAGAAATGGAAGATACAAAAACCAAACAAATGAAATTCTAGAAATGAAAAGTAAAATATCAGAAATGGAAAGTTCACTGGATAAGATGAATGGTACATTAGATGCTGGAGAAGAAAAGATCAGCAAACTAGAAGGCAGCCCCATGGCACCTATCCCAAATGAAGCATAGAGGGGAGAAGAACTCAAAAAAAAAAACAAAAAAACAAAAAAAAAAAACTTTTACAGGGTCTCAGTGAGCTGTGGGGCCTCAGTGAGCTGTGGAGCAATATCAATTAATTTAATATACATGTTTGGGGTTTGCAGGTGGGGCAATATCAATTAATTTAATATACATGTTTGGGGTTTGCAAGGGAAGGAATGGTATAGATGGAGCAGGATTGGTCAAGATCGTTGTTGAAGTGGGTGGTGGAGACACAAGCATTTTGTTCTTTCATCCTGTGTTTGTATATGTTTGAAATCTGCCATGAAAAAGAGTTAGAAGAAGCCTCTTTTCTTTCCCTTTTTTTTTTTTTTTTTTTTTTTGAGACGGAGTTTCGTTCTTGTTGCCCAGGCTGGAGTGCAATGGCACAATCTCGGCTCACTGCAACCTCCGCACCCCCGGGTTCAAAAGATTCTCCTGCCTCAGCCACCTGAGTAGCTGGGATTACATGCATGCACATCCACTCCCGGCTAATTTTGTATTTTTAGTAGAGATGGGGTTTCTCCATGTTGGTCAGGCTGGACAGAGCCTCTTTTGGCCTACATCCTCTCCACCCAGCCCTTTGCAGTTGTCTGTGTCCACAGTCCCCAATTCTCTTGAACCCACCCCACTCAGGCTTTTGCTGCAAAATCTCCCTCAAATGAGCTCCAAATTGCCAAGCCCCCAGATCACCTGACCTAAGAGCTGCTGTGACACAGCCAGACACCCCCTCCAGTCCACCGCTGCTTTCCTGCTTTCCTCTCCCCTCACTGGATGCCCCTCTACTGTCTCCTCCCCTGGGTCAAGCCCAACCTCAGAATGTCAGAGGCACTCCCTAGATAACCCCATCCACTCTCATGTTTGAAATACAGTCTGTATGCTGATGACGCCCATGCTTATATTTCCGGGCTGGACCCCTCCCTCAACTCCACATGCAGATATCCAGCTGTCTAACAGCTTTCCGTGGCATTTCCCAGTGTAAAGTATCCAAAAATGAGTTCCTGTTCTTCCCTGCAAAGCTGCTTTCCTGTCACCTGCCCCACCTCAGTGAATAGCAATGTCACCATCCTTGGAGTCAGAATCAATTCTTTCACATCCCTCATCCTATCCGTGAGCAAATCTTTGGGTCCCACTTTCCCAATTGAACCTTATTGTGACCACTTTTCACCACGTGTGGAACAGCCACTCTGGTCAAAGTCACCATCTGAATTATTGCTTGAATTATTGCAATAATGTCCTAAGGGTCTTCATGTTTCTGTCCCACAATTATCTGTTGTCAACTGGGCAGCCAGAGCGATCCTGTTAAATGCAACTCAGGGCATGTGACTCCCCTGTTCCAAACCCTCCATGGTTTCCCACCTTACTCAGCAAAGAGTCATTCCTCACCATGGCCTGTGAGGTCCACCTGAGCTCATCCCCAGAAACCCCCCTCTGACGCCAGCTCCTATGACTCCCCCTCACTCAGTCACTTAAGTCACCCTGCCCTCTCTGCATTTTCTCAGCCTTGGCACACTGCTGTCACAGGGCCTTTGCACGGCCATTTCCTCACCTTTAATGCTCAATCCCACCCCAGGGTCATGCTCTCATCTCTTTCAAGTCTGTCCTCAAATGCCACTTTCTCATAGGCTTTTCCTGGTCAAGATATTTACTCTTGCAAATACCCCTGAAACCACAACCCCTGTTTCTTCTCTGTTTTATTTTTCTCCATAGACCACCTTCTAGAATACTCTATGTGTTCACTTTGTTCATCATTCATCTCACCCTGGGGCACCATCAAGGCAAGAATTTCTGTCTGTCTTTTTAACTGTAATACCCTGGCAAGAATAGCATTTGGCATAAAACTAATATATAATCAATGTTTTCTACTAGTCACTTAATTTGCATTTTATCTTTTGAGAATTATCTAGTCCTGTGGCCAGTTATTAAGAAGCGGCTCTGACACTAGCTGCTACCCCTGGACAAATTATTTAACATATCTGAACCTCAGCTTTCAAATCTATGAAATAGAGATGACATGTTATTGTGAGATTTAAATGAGTTAACTGGTGTTTCCTTCCCTTGCTCTCTCCTTGGATATTGTACGATGCCCTCCCTGATCCAGAGCTCAGTAGCTGCTGTGCAGGCCTGCACTCCACCTTTCCTGTCTCCTTCAGTGAGCATTCAGGGACTCAGTGCACTGAGTTGAGGAGGGTTCCAGCATTTCCCACAACTTGATTCTCTTGACATTGAACCAAAGAAAATCACAAAACCCTATATTTCCTTAGGAGGGAGATTCCTTGACCCCTGTCCACTGGGGTTTGCTCATTGAGTCCGTATCTCCTGGGGTGTAACGGTCACCGCGTGGCCCTCCTCTGACTCCCCCAGGGTCAGACTGCCACTGCTGTCCCAGGCAGCTGAGGGTCAGCAAGCTCTGGGTCACATTCACCGGTCCTGTCCTCAATGGCCTGTCCCAAGTTCTGGAGAGAGACTAATGTCCAAGCCTAGCTAGCGCCACTGCTACACATGCTGTCTCCCACAGTAGCCAAAAACTGGAAATAAACAAGGGCACAACAACAGGAGAATGAATAAAGAAATTATAGGATAATTATACAATGGAACATCACCCAGCAAACAAATAAACTACTGACAGACAAAACAGCAGGGATGTGTTTCTAAAACACTGTACTAAATTCAAGCCACTAGGCACCAAATAGTGTGTACTATACAATTCCATTTATGTGAATCTCAAAAACAGACAAAATTATTCTGCGGGGTTAAAAATCAGGACAGCAGTCACCTGTGAGTCAGCAGAGGTTGGGGTAACATACAGGCAATTTTACTAGAAAGGGACAGGAGGGGAGGGGAGTTGAGTCGTGCTGGTCAGACTGCCATCTGGAGCAAGAATGCAACGAATGCGTGCACAGGCAGCACTCACGGTGTCGACGCTGCTGGGAAAGATCCAGAAGACTGCACCGTGGCTGGGGCACAAAGTCAGAAAGGCCATCTCTTACTAAATGCCGAAGACGAGTTCCACTGCCTGTGACCTGAGTATTAGCAACTAGCAGGACAAAGGGTTGAGTCTATTGAGGAAGACATGGCGAGGGTGTGGAAGCAGAGCTGAGTAACTGCCACCACCTCCTGGAAGTCAGGAAGGCAAGAGAAACGGGAACAGGAATGTTAATTTCAGGCAGTGAGAACAGAGATCCAGCTGTGCAGTGGGAACCACAGGAACACAGGAAGGTACCACACCCTGTGGAGGTAGAGGGATGAGACGCCAAGAGAGCCCTGGAGGAAAGCACCATTTGAGCCCAGAGAGACACAGTAGATAAGGTGGCTGGAGGGCAGGAGCCTCAAAGGACGCAGCGCCTTCTCCATTTTTTTTTTCCCATTTGCTGAGTGAGAAGTGAACTGTCTGGGCCTGGGCTGCATCTTGCTAGGTGTTCAGAAAGTGCAGGCAAGTTCGACCTGAATCCGAGGCTGGGTAGCAGCGTGATAGACAGCCGAGGCCACAGCCAGCCCAGCTCGCCTGCTTAGCCATCCATACCGTCTACCTCCCTTCCAGGCTTGCACCAGCCAGAGGCAGTGTTGAGTACGCAGCATGGGCACATCAGCCCAGGAGGATATGAGAAGCCAATGGCGGAGAGGAGGGGAGCACTGCTGATGGGCAGAGCAGGGTGTGCGTGGGCCAGAGGACTCTTGTGGTAATGGTACGATCCACGGAGAGACTCACCAGCTCTCCGGTGGGAATACATGGCAGTTTCCACGGTCTTTTTATTTTCATTTTTTATTAATACATAATAATTGTACATCTTTATGGAGTCATTTTTTTAATGTAACACATACTAAGGCCAGGCACAGTGGCTCACGCCTATAATCCCAGCACTTTGGGAGGCCGAGGCAGGCGGATCACCTGAGGTCAGGAGTTCAAGACCAGCCTGGCCAAACGACGAAACCTCGTCTCTAGTAAAAATACAAAAATTAGCTGGGCTTGGTGACGGGTGCCTGTAATCCCAGCTACTCGGGAGGCTTAGGCAGGAGAATCACTTGAACTTGAGGGAGGCAGAGGTTGCAGTGAGCCAAGATGATGCCACTGCACTCCAGCCTGGATGACAGAGTGAGACTCTGTCTGGAAAAAAAAAAAAAAAAAGAATAGAATGTAACACATACTAAATGATTTCTGGCACTGCTTTTTAAATTCCACTGCTCACTGTCTAAATGCAAAATCCTCTTTTTCTATCATTTTAATCTCCTTAAATGAACAACAGGCACTGGCAACTGCTTTTCCTTTTAACCTGTGTGAAATGATGCATTGCACAGTGAGCGCGGACCCCATCTGAAGGCATGGAATGGCTCCTGGGCGCCCCCATTTTCACCAACCCGTTGTTGACCGCGTATTTAGCTGTTGAAATGAAGGATGTTGCCGGGAAGCCAAGCCCGGCACTTCAGGGAGATGGGTGCAGAGGTGAACAGAGGTGCCCTGCATAGTCTGTGGTTCTGCCTGGGGCGGTCTCTGGCTCTGAGGCTCTGGTGCAGGCCGGCCTGGTTTTGAAGTCAGCCATGGTCAGGGGAAAGTATACAGAGGTGTTTGTTTATAAGAAATGCAAGCGCTTGATTTGGATTCCCTGCAATTAGAGGAAATACTTTCGAAACATAATAAATTATTTTGGAAAAAAAAAAAGTATTTCCCGCTTAAGAGAACTATTTTCAAGCACTTGAGAGGTGGCCCTGCATATCGACAGCTGCTATTAAATTACTTTATCTTCTCATAGAAGCAGCACAGCAAAGCGGGAGGCAGGCTATGGAGGTCTCAGGAAACACGGGGTCCTGGAGTCCAGCTGCCTCCTCCAGAGAGCTGTAACCTGGGAAATGTCACTTAGCAACCCAGAGCTCATATCCTCCAATGTCAAATGGGGATGTCGGTATAGCATATGATAATACACATTATATCATGGCTGGCAACAAGCTCTGATGTGTTTACTTAACACATTTGTGTTTGTGCATAATATATTATTGTATATTTCATTATTCAGAAAAGTATTTACACTAATATATTATTGCTATTATTAAATAAAATTTCCAATAATTTTAATATTTTAATTATATAACATAGTAATTTATTGATCACAAGGATTTTTGAAGGGTCAAGTGGAAATACAAGTCCAGCATTCCTGACCAATGCCCAGCATTTTGCCAACACCCAGTAAATGCTATTTGGTGATAATAGGAGGAGGAAGAGTATCATTATTATTGTTATTATCATTTAATAATTATTTGTGAGATGAGTTGCTGTAGGAATTCAAAAGAATTAAAATTTGAGTCTTCAGAAATAGTCTAAGTTTCAGAAACTGTTTTCTGCAATCCAATCAAGCCTTTCCTTAAGTACCCCAGACTCTCTCGCAGCATCCATATTCTGTAAACAGAGGTTAAACACAGAGCTTCAGTCTACCCGCACCTCTGCTCATTCCACACTGCTGATAGGAACGCAAGCCTCTCCTCCTCATCTCCAACTCCACACCAGAGGTGTCCAAAGACAGGCAGAGGGACAAAAGCCGTCGGCATGAGCATGGCTGGAGCACTCCAGGCATTCGGGTCCTCCTGGGCAGTCTCATGGCAACTTGTGGTGAAATGTGGGCAGCCCCTGTGCACACAGGACCTTTGACCTAAGTGACTCCATCTTAGAAAAAGACTCCATCTTACATTTTTAAAAGACATCATGCCAACAGGAGCCAGATGTTTGTCTAATCAACAGTGACTATACCCAATCAGATAAGGTTCACTTTATCAGTCCTCACCAGAGGACTCGGGGGCTATAAAAAGAGGAAGAATTCACCAGCTCCAGATGGCCGTCTTCATAGACCCCATCCTGCTGTCACTCATGACCAGCACCCAGCATCTGCCACGATAGTCTCTTTCTTACAAAATGTTGATGTCCATCCAGATCAGACCAGGACATTCTCCTTGTTCATGTTACCCTCTTGGACTGGTTCATTAACCCGTTTATCCTATCCCCCTTTCTCTTAATGTTAAATATTACTTTATGAATGTTTACTGATGTAGAAGGTTTAATCTATAGCAATTGTATATTGATTAAGTGTACTACTATGTCTTGTTTGCAATACTGACTGATTTGTAAAGTGCGCCTGAGGCTTTAACTACCAAGTAAACAGGTAGCACTAAAGAAAATCGCCTCCTTGGGAACTCCATGCAGCTAGTGGCTCTTATGATTGAAATTGCATCAATAAAAGTCTGACCTTATACAAAGACACAAATGTTCATGGACCTGGTTATGTCTGACCCTGTGCCACTCAGGACACACTGGCTGAGCCGAGACCCCGCTGCTCCTGCTGCTGGGTGTGAGACGTAGGCTTTGTTTCCACATGGGAGAACCAGAGCCAGCGGCCAGCATTCAAGCCTGCCAGAGCCAGGCATTGCCCCATAAGGCTTTTTACCTGGTTAACCCAGTGAAGCTCAGTGAAGGTGCACTATTATCTTTGCATTTATCAATGAGAAAACAGAGACACCAAAGAGTTAAATGACTTGCTGAGCATTATACGGCCTTTCCATGGTAGAGCTCAGACTCTAGAGGTTCCAGCTCCAAATCTCCGCCCCCTGCCAATTACAGTAACCACGAATTCCCACTTGGAGCCCCCACAGAGGCAGAAAGAGGGGCAGACCCTGAGGACATTTGAAGACATTATGCTAAGTGAAATGAGCCAGGCACGGAAGACAAATACTGCATGATCTCATTCATATGTGGAATCTATTATAAAAAGTCAAACTCAGAAGTAGAACGTAGAGTGGTGATAGCAGGCGCTGGAGTCAGGGGTATGGGGAAGGTTGGGGAGATATTGGTGAAAGGATACAGAAGTTCAGTTAGACAGGAGGAATAAATTCAAGAGATCTATTGTACAACATGCTGACTATAGTTAATAATGTATTGTATTTTGAGAATCACTGAGAGTAGATTTTAAGTGTTCTCACCACACAAAAAAATAGGAGGTGATGCACATGTTAGTAGCTCAGTTTAGCCATCCTACAAAGTATACATATTGCAAAACATCATATTATAAGCCATAAATGTATACAGTTTTTATTTGTCAGTTAAAAAGAAAAAGAACTCATCTTTTTATTTTGCCCTTTAAGGCTAAGTCTTCTATCTGGGACTAGTTCAATGCAAGAAAAAATGTCATAAATACTTTTAAGAAGTCCAATATATTATGTTTCTCCTTTTGGGAAGTCAGATGACACATTAGCATATTAAAACTTTTGAGAAGCTGTGCAGTAATTTAAAATGTTTGACTTTGTTTAAGCCAATGTTTCATATTCACTCTAGAACCCCTTCTTTGAGCGGCACCCATTAATACCCTGTGTAACTCACTTTGGAAAATAATACTTCAACATCTAAACTTTTGAGAACTTGCAATCTTAATCATCTTTTCATCGTATCTCCCACTATAAACCCCTTTCCCTGCGGCCTGCTGTCTTTTGTGCAAGTAATGGATCTTCAATAAATATTTACTAAATAAGGGGAAAAAATAGAGAGAGGACTGGGGAGTCTAATGGTTGAGAATGCATGAGAAAGACCCTGGAAAGCCGAAGTCATTGTCGTGAGCAGGGACTGGGCCTGGGTGGCCTGCTGCACCCACAAGAAAGCTGAGGTGCAGAGAGGAGAAGCTCCAGGGGAGTCTTCTGTGGAACACAGGTCTTCCAGGGAGGACCCCCTGGATTCAATCTGAATGGATGGAGGAAAAAGACCTGCCTTCAACTGCAGAAGACAGACCACCTGAGTGAGGCACCACAGTCGCCTGGTTGTGGCATAGTCTAGTTTTAGAATAAAAGAGAGATATAAATCTATAGCCTTCAGTGCTGACCTTGCAAAGCAGTCAGTTTAATGATCACAGCACCAGCACACGGCCACTCTGAACTCGAAGGTCAGCTCAGAGGCCATCGCATGACCCTTACTTTGTCCCTGGTGTGAGGGGGGCTTGTTGAGGTCCAGATTTAGAAGAGGTTTGTAATGACCATCTGAGACTGACCGTGGAAATGAGGGGTTAACAAAAAGAATGTCTCTCCTCTCACCCACCCATCACCCACTTGCTGTGATCCAGGGCAACTCCCATCGGCATCAACACACTCATTAAGATCTGTAACACACGTCTGCTTAAGTTCAGGATCTGCCAGGAGTCACCACAGTGGATGCAACACACTGTAAATAACCTTTGAACTTTAACTATGACAGACTAGGAGCACTCCCCCCACACGCTTTTTTTAGGGCAAGAGGCTTTCTCAGAACAAATTCAGTATTTCCTGAAGTCACATGAGCTCTTTCAGACCAAGCAGGCGCCACCTAAATAAGACACCCAAGACGTTATTTTGGGGGCGACTGAGTCCAGGGAGTGAACACCCTTTAAGAAATACAAAAATGCTCTCCAGCCATTTGCAATAGGGCCTGCGTCATAGGGTGCAGCCCTGCAGTTGTGCAGGTCCCCATACAGAAGAGCCTCATCAGGATCAGCTATAGAATTTGCCTAATGCAAATGGCATTCAGGGCCTCTTGCTAAAAAAAGTATTAAGTATGACAAGACAGCAGGAGCAGAGCATTGGGCCAAGCACAGGTCCTTCTGTGTAGGGGCCTGCGCAAGTTCCAGGCTGCACCCCATGAGACAGGCCCTACTGCAAAGAGCTGGAAAGCATTTTCATACTCCTTGTTTTTTGAAATGGAGTCTCGCTCTGTCGCCCAGGCTGAAGTGCAGTGGCACAATCTTGGGTCACTGCAGCCTCCGCCTCCCAGGTTCAAGCGATTCTCCTACCTCAGCCTCCTGATTAGCTGGGATTACAGGTGCCCACCACCACACCCAGCTATTTTTTGTATTTTTAGTAGAGATGGGGTTTCACCATGTTGACCAGGCTGGTTTGAAACTCCTGACCTCTGTTGATCTGCCTGCCTTGGCCTCCCAAATTGCTGGATTACAGGCGTGAGCCACCGCATTTCTTAAAAGGCGCTCACCCGCTGGACTCATTCCCTCAGGAGGCATTTCTCTGAGTACTGCACATGGACCACTGAAAACAGGTGGAACCCCTGGCAGCTGATGGGAGCCCCCAGCCAACAGAGAAGCATTGAATGGGCCCCAGAAAATATCCTGATTGCCAGACAGATGGAAGATGGATAGACAGAAGCAGCTAAGGCACTTGTCCCCCCTGCTCCAGGTCTCTGGGAGACCCTCCCATTGCTTGACTTCAAACCTGTTGTCCTTGCTTTTTCTTGCAAATATCGGAACCCCAGATCCTCTGGACTTAGCACAGGCTGAGACATGGCAGCACAAAGTGATGGCCAGAAACCACTCCAGCAGGTTGGTTCACTCAAACTCAGAAAGTCTTGGGCTCAATGTTTCCTGCCCTTCTTTACTTTACACACATGCATTTTAATGGAAATACAGTTCTTTCAATATGCAATTCCTTTTTCCTCTACCAATCAAAGTATTTACAAAGCACTTGACTCATAAGAAGGCTTTTATTATTGACAGAAGTTGGAAGCTCCTCTCCCAGCTCTGATTCATGTTCCATTTAGAGTGAAACATATGGGGAACAAGAACTCTCTGTTTCACAATCTGACTCTTAACGGTTCTAAGGGCCAATTCTGCTCTTCCCAGGACTAGGAAGATCAGTCACACACTTTGAAGCTGCTTTCTGAAACACATCTGAATTCGGATTTTCAGTGATTCTTCCCCATTAACGAGCATCCTTGCTGTGGGAGGCCATGTGCCCATTCACGTGAAGATTCCATTGCTTGAAACAATTTTTGAGCTGTGCCTTGGAGAGTGCCTCCCCTCAAGACTGTGGCCTCTCTCCTGAGTGAGCTAAATGAAGGTGCATTGTCCTTTGAGGGTGTATTAGCTTTCTGGAATCAGCCTGAAGTCATTTGAAGTCAAGTGGTGAAGCGAAAGGGAGCCAGAAATAAGGTGCATCTTTGCCCTCAGTCAGTTGGGATTCTTTTGGGCATTTAGAAGGGGCGGTCCTAGAGTTCTAGAGAATTTACGGAGGAGAGTTTCAGATCCATGCTGGGCAGGGCAATAGAGGCTTGGTTAGACTATATCTGCAAAGGAGGGTTACTTTGAAGGAAACAGCATTCATTTTATTGTATGCATTTAAGTGTGTTTATTAATAATGCGTTTACTTTTCTTACTTCCTGCTAAGATCTCATATGCATCTGGTTGTAAAGAAGATTTAGCCATGGCCTGTAGGCTGCTGTGCTTTTGAATATCTAACACTGAGAAACCACAGCTCTCAAGGAAGCTACCGGAGACAGGGAAAGCAAGAAAAAGGGACTGAAAAAAGTCACCAGGACACAGTTCCATGAAGCAGCCAAAGCTCTCTATCCTTCATAATTAGAAACTTGCTATCAAGATTAATGGGGCCATCTCAAAGGAACGTACATTGTTCTGTCATATTCTTTGTTTGCAGAACAAGTTAAAGCTACTAAAAAGAAAGAAAGAAAAGAAAGAAAGAAAGAGAAAGAAAGAAAGAAAACAGAAAAGGACACACACACACAAATGTAAACTATGACAGAGTAAGAGCCTGTTTACTTTTTAGGTTAAGTGACTGCCTCATGACAAATGTGGTAAATTTCGAAGTCAGGTGAGCTCATTCTATTTCAGATCAGATTTCTCTGGGCTGATGTTGGCCATCTTACAAAGTCAAGAGCAGCAATATCATGGTTCTGCCACCTTTCTCTCTGGGGCTTAGGGCATTTTTCTCTCTTCCCTTTAATCCAATGTGGGTAGGCAGGGATGGATGTAGGGAAATTGCTAGAGAGGAAAAGAAGGACTTCTCGCAAGCCAGTACAAAACCAAGACCTGGATTTTCTCTTTCCACTGCTTGGGTCACATTCTATATAAGCAAGAGTTGCTGATGATTTCGTCCACCTTCTTCACACAAAAGTAGCACTGGCTTACATGGGAGCTCAGGACTGCACAGACAGCTCTGGGGACGGACTAGGGGAGATAGCCGTGTGCACACAGCCTGCCGTGCTGCAGCCTGAGCCTGCCAGGTGGCCTTGTAGCATGGGCCAGAATGTGACCAACAGGCAGGGCTTCTGCCAACTTACTAGTCAAATGGTTGGCACAGAAATGAGCTGCTCATGTGAAAGCAGTCAATAGCCAGAAACTCACTGTAATCCACCCTCTACCCTATCCGTCCTCTGCCCCATCCCCGTCTCACACAGTCTCAGCCACTTTCTCTCCTAGACCCCTGGCTGGACTGTTCTCAGGCCTGTGCTAAGTAAAGGTGGAAGACCTAGAGAGAAGTTCGAGGTCAGATACTGGCCTGGACATTGACCCAAAGCTGAGCAGTGGCATCCTGTGCAGGGCTGCTTCTCAAGGGCATGTTCCATTCCTGTCCACACATTGTCAATTTGCATCGAGACATTTTTCTGGCAAAGAACAGGAAGGTGTCTTAGGATATGAATGCCTTTTTTCAATTTGCACAAAGGCCCCACAAGGGCTAACAGCAGTGCTGACTTTAACCACCACAGCCGGGTAGCTTCTGCCCAAAATAGCAGTGAAGAAACACACCACCCTCTGGGACTAGGTGGGGCTTCAGGAGAAAGGAAAATGTAAACAGATGTGTTCCTGTTGTCATCTCTGATATAAACAATTTGGCAGATCTATTCATTAGGAATTAAGTTTGGTCTATGGTAAGAGGGATCACAAACAAAGGGGGAAGAGCAACTTAAAAAGAGGATGGTTTATTCTCTCCATAAAAGACAGAAAGTGAGTAACCCAGGACTGATACAGTAGGTCCACAAGCTCATCAGGGATTGAGCTCCTTCCATCTTTCTGTTGCACCATCCTCAGCAAGTGACCTCCTCATTCAAGATCATCTGTGGTTCTGCCATCATATCCACATTCCAGAAAGAGAGAAAGAGGGGAGGTAAAAAGGGAGTTGCACCACCAACTAAATCAGCCTTTCTTAGGCAACATTCCCAGACTCCCCAGACTATACTCTCAATTAGGTCTCACTGATGGCATTCACCTGCAAAGGCAGCTGGGAAATGTAGTCCTTAAACTGTGCGTGGCCACATCCTGGATTCTCTTGCCACCCTGGTGCCTGCCAAGCAGGAGTCTTTTCCATTTCCCTAGTGCGTGAAATTATCTCCTCCTTTTCAGCACTCACACAGACCACAGCCAAATGATAAGAAGCAGATTCAATATACAGAGCACAGCTAGGGAATCTGTCCCACTTGGAAAGGTTGGGACTCCTTTCTTCCATTAGCCAAGCAAACTTTTGACCTAGGAAACTAGATAAGGTAGAAACAAACAAAAAAAGTAATTGATCTGAGTGCTTCCACATTCGTTATTTCTTGAGCTCCTCAACACAGATCTGAGAGAGAAGCAATTATACTCACTTTGCAACTGGACATCAGAGGCTTTAAGAGCAAAGCGACCCTGTCTAGGATCCTGCTGTCAGGGTTGGCAATAAAACCCAAGGGCCATCTTGACTCAAAAACTTGCTACTAGTGGAAGCTAACATAAAAATTCAATTACAGTAACTAATAGGGAGTTAGTTGATAAAACCATGACTTTTAAAGCTATAACAAGAATTTCAAACAGTGTCCTAGCACATGGAGGACTCTGCTAGTATCATCAAAACCACCCAGTTGATGACCTAGCTAGTCTATAACAAACACAGTGCCCTCACAATGACATTTTTTCCTTTTCCTTATGAAGTCATTTACTAAAATTAAAGTCAGTAAAGGCATACCTCATTTTATCGCACTTCCCAGACATTGCATTTTTTACAAATTGAAAGTTTGTGATAACCCTGTGTCAAGCAATTGTATCAAGAGCATGTGCTCACTTCCTGTCTCTGTTAAATTTTGGTAATTCTCACAATATTTTCAACTTTTTCATCGTTATGTCTGTATGGTGACATATGACATATGATCGGTGATCTTTGATGTTACTATTATAACTGTTTGGGGTACCATGCCCATATAAGATGGCAAATTTAATTGATAAAGGTTTCGTATGTTCTGACTGCTCTGCTGACCAGCTGTTCTCCCATCTCTCTCCCTCTTCTCAAGCCTCACTGTTCTTTGAGACACAACAATATTAAAATTAGGTCCATAATAACCCTACAATGGCCTCTAAGTGTTCAAGTGAAAGGAGTCACACATCTGTCACTTTAAATCAAAAGCTGAAAATGATCAAGCTTAGTAGAAGGCATGTCAAAAGCCAAGACAGGCTGAAAGCTAGGCCTATTGCACCAAACAGCCAACTTGTGAATGCAAAGGAAAAGTTCTTGAAAGTAGTTAAAAGTGCTCCTCCAGTGAACACATGAACAGGAAAGTGAAATAGGCTTATCGCTGATATGGAGAAAGCCTAAGTGGTCTGGATAGAAGATCAAACCAGCCATGCTGCCTTAAGCCAAATCCTAATCCAGAGCAAGACACTAACTCTCTTCAATACAATGAAGGCTGAAAGAGGTGAAGAAGCTGCAGAAGAAAAGGTTGAAGCTAGCAGAGGATGGTTCATGAGGCTTATGGAAAAAAAGCTGTCCCCATCACATAAAAATGCAAGGTGGGCCTGGTGTGGTGGCTCATGCCTGTAATTCCAGCACTTTGGGAGGCCGAGGCGGGCAGATCACCTGAGGTCAGGAGTTTGAAACCAGCCTGGCCACCAGGCATGGTGAAACCCCGTCTCTACTGAAAATACCAAAAATTAGCCAGGAGTAGTGGTGGGCGCCTATGATCCCAGCTACTTAGAAGGCTGAGACAGGAGAATTGCTTGAACCTGGGAGGCAGAGGTTGCAGTGAGCCGAGATCACAGCATTGCACTCCAGCCTAGGCAACAAGAGTGAAACGTCAAAAAAAAAATTAAAAAAAAGGTGAAGCAGCAAGTGATGACATAGAAGCTGCAGCAAGTTATCCAGAAGATCTTGCTAAGATCATTGATGAAGGTGACCACACTAAACAACAGATTTTCAATGCAAGCAAAACAGCCTTCTATTGGAAGAAGATGCCATCTAGGACTTTCATAGCTGGAGAGGAGAAGTCAATGCCTGTTTCCAAAGGACAAGCTGACTCTTTTATTAGGGCGAATGCACCTGGTGACTTTAAATTGAAGCCAACGCTCATTCCAAAACTCCTAGGGCTTTTAAGAATTACATACTCTGTTTATTGTATTCTCTGATGGTAGTTTGTATTTCTGTGGGATCGGTGGTGATATCCCCTTTATCATTTTTTATTGTGTCTATTTGATTCTTCTCTCTGTTCTTCTTTATTAGCCTTGCTAGCAGTCTATCAATTTTGTTGATCTTTTCAAAAAACCAGCTCCTGGATTCATTGATTTTTTGAAGGGTTTTTTGTGTCTCTATTTCCTTCAGTTCTGCTCTGATCTTAGTTATTTCTTGCCTTCTGCTAGCTTTTGAATGTGTTTGCTCTTGCTTCTCTAGTTCTTTTAATTGTGAAGTTAGGGTGTCAATTTTAGATCTTTCCTGCTTTCTCTTGTGGGCATTTAGTGCTATAAATTTCCCTCTACACACTGCTTTGAATGTGTCCCAGAGATTCTGGTATGTTGTGTCTTTGGTCTCATTGGTTTCAAAGAACATCTTTATTTCTTCTGCCTTCATTTCGTTATGTACCCAGTAGTCATTCAGGAGCAGGTTGTTCCGTTTCCGTGTAGTTGAGCGGTTTTGAGTGAGTTTCTTAATCCTGAGGTCTAGTTTGATTGCACTGTACACCTCTATGCAAATAAACTAGAAAATCTGGAAGAAATGGATAAATTCCTCAACACACACACCCTCCCAAGACTAAACCAGGAAGAAGTTGAATCTCTGAATAGACCAATAACAGGCTCTGAAATTGAGGCAATAATAGCTTACCAACAAAAAAAGTCCAGGACCAGATGGATTCACAGCCAAATTCTACCAGAGGTACAAGGAGGAGCTGGTACCATTCCTTCTGAAACTATTCCAATCAACAGAAAAAGAGGGAATCCTCCCTAACTCATTCTATGAGGCCAGCATACCAAAGCCTGGCAGAGACACAACAAAAAGAGAATTTTAGACCAATATCCCTGATGAACATCGATGCAAAAATCCTCAATAAAATACTGGCAAACTAAATCCAGCGGCACATCAAAAAGCTTATCCACCATGATCAAGTGGGCTTCATCCCTGGGATGCAAGGCTGGTTCAACATACACAAATCAATAAATGTAATCCAGCATATAAACAGAACCAACGACAAAAACCACATGATTATCTCAATAGATGCAGAAAAGGCCTTTGACAAAATTCAACAACCTTCATGCTAAAAACTCTCAGTAAATTAGGTATTGATGGGACGTATCTCAAAATAATAACAGCTATCTATGGCAAACCCACAGCCAATATCGTACTGAATGGGCAAAAACTGGAAGCATTTCCTTTGAAAACTGGCACAAGACAGGGATGCCCTCTCTCACCACTCCTATTCAACATAGTGTTGGAAGTTCTGGCCAGGGAAATCAGGCAGGAGAAGGAAATAAAGGGTATTCAATTAGGAAAAGTGGAAGTCAAATTGTCCCTGTGTGCAGATGACATGATTGTATATCTAGAAAACCCCATCGTCTCAGCCCAAAATCTCCTTAAGCTGATAGGCAACTTCAGCAAAGTCTCAGGATACAAAATCAATGTGCAAAAATCACAAGCATTCTTATACAAACAGAGAGCCAAATCATGAGTGAACTCCCATTCACAATTGCTTCAAAGAGAATAAAATACCTAGGAATCCAACTTACAAGGGATATGAAGGACCTCTTCAAGGAGAACTACAAACCACTGCTCAGTGAAATAAAAGAGGATACAAACAAATGGAAGAACACTCCATGCTCATGGGTAGGAAGAATCAATATCATGAAAATGGCCATACTGCCCAAGGTAATTTATAGATTCAATGCCATCCCCATCAAGCTGCCAATGACTTTCTTCACAGAATTGGAAAAAACTACTTTAAAGTTCATATGGAACCAAAAAAGAGCCCACATTGCCAAGTCAATCCTAAGCCAAAAGAACAAAGCTGGAGGCATCACGCTACCTGACTTCACATTATACTACAAGGCTACAGTAACCAAAACAGCATGGTACTGGTACCAAAACAGAGATATAGACCAATGGAACAGAACAGAGCCCTCAGAAATAATGCTGCATATCTACAACCATCTGATCTTTGACAAACCTGACAAAACAAGAAATGGGGAAACGATTCCCTATTTAATAAATGGTGCTGGGAAAACTGGCTAGCCATATGTAGAAAGCTGAAACTGGATCCCTTCCTTACACCTTATACAAAAATCAATTCAAGATGGATTAAAGACTTAAATGTTAGACCTGAAACCATAAAAACCCTAGAAGAAAACCTAGGCAATACCATTCAGGGCATAGGCATGGGAAAGGACTTCATGTCTAAAACACCAAAAGCAATGGCAACAAAAGCCAAAATTGACAAATGGGATCTAATTAAACTAAAGAGCTTCTGCACAGCAAAAGAAACTACCACCAGAGTGAACAGGCAACCTACAGAATGGGAGAAAATTTTTGCAATCTACTCATCTGACAAAGGGCTAATATCCAGAATCTACAATGAACTCAAACAAATTTACAAGAAAAAAACAAACAACCCCATCAAAAAGTGGGCGAAGGATATGAACAGACACTTCTCAAAAGAAGACATTTATGCAGCCAAAAGACACATGAAAAAATGCTCACCATCACTGGCCATCAGAGAAATGCAAATCAAAACCACAATGAGATACCATCTCACACCAGTTAGAATGGCGATCATTAAAAAGTCAGGAAACAACAGGTGCTGGAGAGGATGTGGAGAAATAGGAACACTTTTACACTGTTGGTGGGACTGTAAACTAGTTCAACCATTGTGGAAGTCAGTGTGGTGATTCCTCAGGGATCTAGAACTAGAAATACCATTTGACCCAGCCATCCCATTACTGGGTACATACCCAAAGGATTATAAATCATGCTGCTATAAAGATACATGCACACGTATGTTTATTGTGGCACTATTCACAATAGCAAAGACTTGGAACCAACCCAAATGTCCAACAATAATAGACGGGATTAAGAAAATGTGGCACATATACACCATGGAATACTATGCAGCCATAAAAAAGGATGAGTTCATGTCCTTTGTAGGGACATGGATGAAGCTGGAAACCATCATTCTCAGCAAACTATCGCAAGGACAAAAAACCAAACACCGCATGTTCTCACTCATAGGTGGGAATTGAACAATGAGAACACATGGACACAGGAAGGGGAACATCACACACCGGGGCCTGTTGTGGGGTGGGGGGAGGGGGGAGGGATAGCATTAGGAGATATACCTAATGTTAAATGATCAGTTAATGGGTGCAGCACACCAACATGGCACATGTATACATATGTAACTAACCTGCACATTGTGCACATGTACCCTAAAACTTAAAGTATAATAAAATAAATAAATTAAATAAATAAATAAATGAGTTACATACTCTGGGTGTGTTCTAAAAATGGAATAACAAAGCCTGGATGATAGCATCTATTTACAGCATGGTTTGTGGAATATTTTAAGCCCACTGTTGAGACCTGTTGCTCAGAAGAAAAGATTCCTTTCAAAATAGCACTCATCACTGATAATATGCCTGGTCACCCATCAGCTCTGAGGGAGATGCACAAGGAGATGAATGTTGTTTTTATGCCTGCTAATAAAACATCCATTCTGCAGCCCATGAATCAAGGCATAATTTTGACTTCCAAGTTTTATTATTTAAAAAATACATTTTGTAAGGTTATAGCGCCAAAAATAGTGATTCCTCTAACGGATGTGGGCAAAGTCAATTGAAAACCTTCTGGAAAGGATTCACCATGCTATATGTCATTAAAAACATTGATTCATGGGAGGAGGTCAAAGTATCAACATTAACATAAGATTGGAAGAAATCGATTCCAACCTTCATAGGTGGCTTTGCGGGGTTTGTGACTTTGGTGGAGGTAGTAACTGCAGATGTGTTGGAAATAGCAAGAGAACTAGAATGAGAAGTGGAGCCTGAAGATGTGACTGAATTGCTGCAATCTCATATTAAAACTTGAACAGACGAGGAGTAGCCTCTTATGAGTGAGCAAAGAAAGTGGTTTCTTAAGATGGAATTTCCTCCTGGTGAAGATGCTGTGAACATCGTTGAAATGACAACAAAGGATTTAGAATATTCCATAAATTTAGTTGATAAAGCAGCAGCAGGGTTTGAGAGGCTTGATTCCATTTTTGTGAGAGAAGTTCTACTGTAGGTAAAATGCTATCCCAAACAGCATTGCATGCTACAAATAAATCTTTCCTGACAGTAAAAGTCAACTGATGTGTCAAACTTCATTGTTGTCTCATTTTAAGAAATTGCCACAGCCACCCCAAGCTTCAGTAACCGCCACCGTGGCCAGTCAGCAGCCATTAACACGGAGGCAGGACTCTCCTTCAAGCAAAAAGATTATTACTCACTAAAGGCTCAGATGACCTTTAGCATCTTTGAGCAATAAGGTATCTTTTAATTAAGGTATGTATGTTTCTTAGACAGATAAGGAGTGGTTATTGCACACTTAATAGACTACAGTATAATGTACATAACTTTTACATGCACTGGAAAACCAAAGAAATTGTATAAATTGCTCTATGGTGATATTTGCTTTATTGCAGTGGTGTGGAATCGAACCTTCCATATCCTCAAATATGCCTGTATGTAAATGTCTTTTGTTCACTGCACATTCAGTGGCTTAAACATGAAGGAAATGTTCACCTTACATTATTAACATGAAAAAATGTTTGTTATCATTTTATTAAGGAAATCAGGATCTCCCAAGTGCTGGCTCAGAAAAATATTGACACAAGAATTTCCCTTTGTTGCACTGGCCCATGTTTATAATCTTCAGACTGATCTCTTACTTTCTTACAACCGCCCCCTCACCTCCTTAATCTGGTGGCACTGGGCCTGTTTAACAAGAAACCAAGAACAAGGAATAAAGGTTTTGCATGGTCTCATTCTCTTCTCCAGGCTCCATGGCCAGCCCAGTCCCATTCTCCAGACTCAGGGTCTACATCCTTCCCACTCAATAAAACTAAAGCGGCACCAACAGCTGATACATTCAGCAGCCAGGGACAAAACCACTTCTAGCTGTGAATTCCATCCAGTCACACACAGGGTGCAGCTGCAGCCCACATCTGCAAACTCTGCATTCCGAAACCCTTTGTATATATACTTCCTAGGGACTCAGACAGTGGGCCCCAGGGGCAAGAGGACTTGTCCTTCCCAAGGTCACAGGGTTCATTGCAGGGCCTTCTTCCCCCATCTTTCTCAGGCTGCTAGGACTTTCAACACAGTTGTGATCTCCTTCCTCCTACACCCACCTCCTTTCACCCGGTGTCCCTCCTTCCCTGCCGCTTCTTCCTTACTCACCTCCTGTCCAGGAGACTGTTAGTGTTGGTTCAGGCCAGGCTCTCCACACGTCTCATCCTGGGCACACTCTCTAAATGAATCCAGGTTCCTTGAGCCAGTAGCACCTCCATTTCTTCAGCTGCAAAATGATTCTTGTTAGCACACCTATCTTACAGGGACTTTCTAAGATAAGAAAATGTGTATAAAATGCTTTAGGACAATGGCAGACCGGCAGCAGCAGATATCACCTGTTAACATTAAACCCCTGGTTCCCATCTGATTTGGATGGGTTGGGTTGCAATGTCTGTGAGATTTCCACATGGAAGAGACAAGAAGGGAATAGGATTTTCCTAGAAGAGTGGTCTAGGCTACAGATACACCCGGAATGAGGTCATTAATGGAAGGATAGCCTGCCCTTATGACTGGGTGCCTTACATACTACATTAGTCAGGGTTCTCCAGAGAAACAGAAACAACAGGACATGTAGAGAAATATAAGAGATTTATTATGGGACTTCATTCACCCAATTACCCAGGCTGAGAAGTTCCATAATCTTCTGTCTGCAAGCTGGAGGCCCAGGAAAACCTCCAGCTTGCAGACAGTGAACTGATGTAACTCAGTTCAAGTCTAAAGGGGAGGTGATGTATAAGCCCTGTTGTGTTAGTCCATTTTCATACTGCTATGAAGAAATACCTGAGACTGGGTAACTTATAAAGAAAAAGAGGTTTAATGGACTCACAGCTCCACATGGCTGAGGAGGCCTCACAGTCATGGAGGAAGGCAAAGGAGGAGGAAAGGCATGTCTTACACAGTGGCGGGCAAGAGAGCATGTGCAGCGGAACTGCCTTTTATAAAACTATCAAATCTCGTGGGACTTACTCACTATCACTAGAACAGCATGGGAAAACCAGCCCCCATGATTTAATTACCTGCCACTGTGTCCCTCCCATGACACATGGGGATCTTGGGAGCCATAATTCAAGATGAGATTTGGGTGGGGACACAGCCAAACCATATCACCTTGTCTGAGCCCAAAGGCCAGAGAACCAGGAGCACCAATGTCCGAGGGCAGGAGAAGATGTGCAATCAAGCAGGGAGAGTGAATTTGCCCTGTCTCTGCCGTTTTGTTCTATTCAGGCCCTCAGTTGGATAATGCCCACCCACACTGGTGAGGGTAATCTTCTTTACTCAGTCTACTGATTCACATGCTAGTCTCTTCTGGAAATGCCTTCACAGACACACCCCAAAGCAATGTTTACCAGCTATCTGGGCATCCCTTAGCCCAGTCAAATTGACACATGCAATTACCCATTACATACACGTTGCCTCTGCTCCCTTCCGCATCCCCTCAGCTCAGTAAACAGCATCGCCATGCACCTAAATGTTCTGCCTAGAGCCTAGGAGTTGCCCTTAAGTGCTCCCTCTCCCTGTCTCTCACATTTCCTCCATCAACAGATTCCACTCTCTCTTCTAGAACGTGGCCATCACCATGGTCCCAGCCTCTTACCAAAACTGACAAGCAGTCTCCTGCCTCCATTCCCAATCCCTCCAGCCCACTGTCCACACAGCTCCTTAAGCCTAAGCCAGATCATGACATCCCTCTGCTTACAATCTTTCAGTAACGTTGCACTGGATGTAGTAGGAAACCCGAAACCCTCACCATAGCTGGTTTACAAGGCTCTGCACACTCGTGCCCCACTCATCTCACATCCTCCCCTGTGCTACTCTCCACTCCTGAGTAAGCTGCGACCACACCAGCTGCTCAGGGAGCCTCAGGGCCTCTGCCCTGGCTGTTCTCTCCACCTCGCGCCCTCACATGCCTCCCCACCCTCCTCTCCCACAGCCACCTCATTCTTATCCTTTCCATTCCAGCATGCATGTTGCCCTCCGCAGAGTGGGCTTCCTGCGTCACCCCATAGGAAGTAGATCTTCTCCCTCTCTGTCATGACTGAATGTCTGTGCCCACCCCAAAATGCATATGTTGAAGCCCCAAGCCTCAGTGTGATGTGATTTGGAGATGAAGCCTTCGTGGAGATAATTAAGGTCAAATGAGGTCATAAGGATGGGGTCCAATAAGATTAACATCCTTGTAAGAAGAGATATCAAAGCACTCTCTCTCTCTATCTGCTCAAACACTGAGAAGAGGTCATGTGAGCATACAGTGAGATGTGGCTGCCTACAAGCTAAAAGAAGAGGCTTCAGAATAAAACTTGCTGACACCTTGATCTCTGACCTCCAGCCACCAAGAGCATGTGAAATCAGTGTCTGTTGTTTTAGCCTCCCAGTAGATGGTATTTTGCTATGGCAGCCCACCTAAGACACACCCTCATCCTCATTCTCCCTTCAAGGCAGTGGTTCTTACATGTAATTAGTGTCTCTGCCCACTTACATAGTCTTTGCCTATCTCCCACCACTGGAACATAACTCTGAGGTCATCGTCACTTTCCTCAGGCCTAGCACAGGGCCTGGCACATAATAAGTGTCCACAGAACAAATCAGTGACTCAATGAATCCATCAAAGACTACATACTTCTAGAAAGGGATGGAAGGAATTGAACCCACCCCTCATACCCAGAAAGGCATCCTGAACAAAGGAGCCACTCTTCCCAGGATAGACTCTGCAATAACTACCCTCTAAAGCACACATATTTATCTACTTCTTGGTTTAGATCCCATCTTGTCCCAAAATGAATTTAAGTGAGTTTATCAAAATATAAACAATACAACAGAATAAATAACAGAGAAGGAAAAGAAAAATAAGAGAAAGCCACTTAGGTGACAGCATGCATGCCATGGTCACTTGCTCTGGGCACCCCAGCAGCCATGGCAAAGAAGGTAGTTCAGTGAGATGTACAATTCAGATTATCCATGAGATGCAAAGAAAGAGTTCTTTGTAAGAAGCATCTTTCTTTTTTTTTTTCTTTTTTTTTTTTTTTTTTGAGATGGAGTTTCGCTCTTGTTGCCCAGGCTGGAGTGCAATGGCGCAATCTCGGCTCACCACAACCTCCACTTCCCAGGTTCAAGTGATTCTCCTGCCTCAGCCTCCCGAGTAGCTGGGATTACAGGCATGTGCCACCACGCCCAGCTAATTTTGTATTTTTTTGGTAGAGACAGGGTTTCTCCATGTTGGTCAGGCTGGTCTCAAACTCCCAACCTTAGGTGATCTGCCCACCTCAGCCTCTCAAAGTGCTGGGATTACAGGCGTGAGCCACTGAACCCGGTCGTAAGAACCATCTCTTAATGAGCCAGATCAGCTCAGCACTGAGGTCATGGAGGAATCCCCACAGTCCTCCCATGGTAGATGGGTCCTGATCAGCATCCTTAAAGAAGATTCAAGAAAGGGTTTCAGGCAGCTCTTCCTCCCAAGTTGCCTGAAGGCAACTCACAGCAATGCCTCACAAAGCAGGATGAGCTGCTCTATGGGCAGCAGAACAGTGAGTCAGTAATGCACTTTGTGCTCCTATAATTCTATATCTCCACATAGCCTACATCGTTATAAAGTAAACTTCCCTTTGTCTTCACAAAGCCAACCCTTGCAGCTGGTAATGGCTTAGAAAGTGAGACCCCAGCATGAGTGGTTTATTCCAAAGATGACAGATACCCAGCAGTTACAGCATCTGTGGGTGTTTTCATGGGTTGGGCAGCCACTGTAGCTTCTGGAGTCTGCAGTTCAAACGAACTCCTCTCCCAGCACAATCTTGCCCATCACCCATCCTATCCTGAAGATGGTCTCCTACTCAATTGCACACTACCCAGGCTGTGGTGACAATTATGTTTCCTCTTAAACACTGCTAACACATCCTTTGAAATGTTTTAAGAGGTTATTATCTTTTAATAGGGTGGACCAAACCCAGGAAGAGCTTGGACGCTGTAAACAGTTGGCTGTCTCTGACCTTATCTTGCCTGTGTTTGCTTTCCTGTCCTACTGGGGAATTCCTGCGCTGCAGCTGCAGTCTTTAGCTTCAACTGCAGGGGGCTGGGTGCTGCTGCCCTGCTGCCTCTTGCTCCAGGTGCACAGCCAAAAAGTGGCATCCTACAGCATGCCCAGAAAGCAACACAGGTGTGTCCCATGTCTGCTGTGCTCCTTATCCATGCTTACATAGATGCAAGGAGTTTGAAAGAGCCCTAAGGAAGCAGTGAGCTGGGATAAACCACCAAAGAGCTTTTGTGGCCAGATGTAAATGGAAACAAAAAGGAATATGAAAGGTTTCCTCGGGCCATTTCTATTTTATTTCAGACCTTCCTGACTTCACAATCTGTAAGATCCACCCTGTGTCTGCATTTTCTGTAGCTTTCGTCCCAAACTGATGAAACCAGGCTTCTAATCCCGAATTTGCAAAAGCTATTCTGCCAGCCAAGATGAAGTCTCTTTATTTTTCTGGGATTCTAGCCTTGCTCATTTATCCTTCCCTGTCATTCCCCGACATACTTTCCTTCTTCTGATAAATTCTTTTTCTAGTCCCCTGAGCTCCTGGCCTGTCTGACGTCTCTTCATTCCCTTCCCAAGAAACTGTTTAATTAGATGGCAGAGCATGACAAGAACAGGGATTCTGGAGCCAGATGGCTGGAGCTCACAATCCTGGTTCTGCTACTCACCTGCTGTGAAACTTTGGACATGTTACTTAACTCCTCTGTGCCTCAGTTTCCTCAGATGTAAAAAGGCTAATAACAACACCTCCATCATAAGGTAGTATGATAGAGAAGCTTGTGAGTGAGTCTCTTGTCTCTCTTCCCCACTACAGAGGCTAAAGAAACCCCATGTTCCAGAATGCACAGCCTAAAGAAGAAGGTAGCCTGTCAGCCTTGAATCCTGAGTGACTGTACGGAGCAGAGCACCACCTTGTAGGACAGACAGCATTCACAAGCAACCAACCTTTGCTCCGTTAAGCTACTGAGATTCTGGGAAAATTTGTTATTGCAGCAAAACTTAGTTCAGCTTGACTAATAATGGAACCACTTGTATGGCTGTAATTAAATACTAGTTAAAATTGAATACCTAAGTAGATAACTTATTCCTCCTCCAGGAGATGAGATCCCAAAGCGGCAGGCTCACTCTCTGTATTCCCTCCAGCTCCTGGCACCTGGCCTGGCACACAGGAGGAGCTGCATGAGTGTTTGTTGAGTGACAACTGCAAAAGTTTCCAGGCCCTTCTCCTCCATCATGTGCTGCATCTGGCAGCTTCCAGGCTCACCCAGCCCCTGCACCCAAGGATAAAGTTGTTCCAAGGCAGGGCAGTACAACCAGCATGAGAACACATTAGCAGCTCCTCTGCAACACACACATACAGAAACACACAGAGGCACACATGCACACACATAGACACACAGAGGGACATACATGTATGCACGTGCACACAGAGACAACACACACAGAGAAAGAGACACAGAGAGACACACACAGAGACACACAGAGGCACACACGCACACACATAGACACACAAAGAGACATACACACACAGGCACACACACACACAGACACACACACAGGACACACAGAGACACACACACACACACACACACACACACACACAGAGGCAGAGCACGAGCCCTGCACTTATTACTTCTGAGAAACAGGTGGGAAGAAAACCAGAGTGTTTGGGTCTGATCACTGTTCCTTCCTCCCATTCAACAGGGCAGTGAGTCACCACCTGCACAAAAGGACTCAGGCCTCCATATCAGGCAGAATTTGGCTGTGATGGCCAATCTCCATTGCTTTCCCTTGTCTTCTCAAGCCATGCTCAGAGAGTAAACCTTCAAGCATGATTAGAGGCTGGGGGCAGAGAGGTCCCCACTGGTATCAGTGACAGCCACGTCTCACAGCACTTCCCTTTCAGGAAGGGGACCCTCCCTCCCCTGCCCTCTACAGCTTCAAGCGGTCACTGGCCTGGACAGAAGCAAATCTGGACTAAGTCCTGGGAAAGCCCCAAATTTTGGAGCACTCTGGCCCTGAGCTCAGGTCCAGGATTCATTTTTCACAGGCATGCTTTATTATTCCCCGTGGGGAGCCAGGTTTCCATCCCTTGTCATTCCTGAGGAAGGAGAACGTGCCGGGATTGCAGTCGCACGGTGTGCCTGTATCTCTTTTCCTATAAAACAACTCTGAGTACCTGAGTTATGCACCTTATCAGAGTCCATGTGCTGGATGATTTTAAATTATTACCCCCCAAATACGTACATATATTATGCCAAGAAACCATCAACAGTAAATTACCTCCTGTTCCAAGGGCCAGAACATGGTTACTGTCACCATGCAAGTCATTCACATAAAATTCAGAATGTCTCACACTTTATCTTGGAAATTTACACAATTTATTAATCTTTATAGCCCGAAAGGCAAAAAGATATATATTTTAAGTTCATGTCTTGTATTACCGACCCAACTGGCCATGTGAAATGACTCAGATTTATTATCATGTCCAGTTACCAGCATTTATGGCAACTTTTAAACATGTCATTTTACTGTGGACACCTCATGGTTCGGGACACTTTGGGACTTTAGTGAGTAACTCTCATTTCAGGAGCAGAACAAATAAATGATTTAAGTACTTTTGCAGCTTATTGGAAAGAGAATTTGAAATTCACTTGAGGAGACTGTTAACCATGGATCACAGAAATGTAGGGAAGGAGCAAGCTCTCCCCAAATTTATGTCTCTTTCCATATGGGAATAACAGGAGAAGTTCCCTTTGCCAAATAGAGGTTCCCACGCCCCCCAGCGTGTACCTCTGCTCTGTCAGGCAGGTTTAAGAAAATAGCATTCAATTGTGTCCCTAGTTGCTAAAAAGAAAGTTAATACTGAGAAATGGAAAAGGAAGTTTGGGTTTCTTTAAAAACATTCTTCAATGCTGTTTACTATTCAACAAGTATAAATAAATAAAACAGTCCTCACCGTGCATGGAATTCACCTCTGCTCATGATAAAACCCAGAGATGGTTTTTAAAATACCATTACTTATTGAAAAAGAACAAGGGTCCTCAGGCCTCAAACTCTGTATATTCTAATGTACATGCCAAGCTTGGTCAAGCAGGCAGAAGCCATGGTCAGGTCTCCCTTCACCCCTCCCCTTCCTTCAGGCCCACATGTCCAGCCTGCCCTGGAATTCTGGATCCTTCCTTTGTGCATTTGTCCTTTCTCTCTCCTGTGCCTTCATACAGTGTACTCTGCCACCCAACCAATCTTCCAAAAAGTTGGATCTATGAGGTCATCTCCAAGCTCAGACACCTTCCAGGCTTCTCACTGCCTAGGCCCAGAAGACCAAGTTGAAATCTGTTTGTCTGCCTCAAGGCAGACATTGCCTCTGACTGTGTCTGTCTCTAGTCTTACATCCCATCATTCCCCAGCAAGAGACATCTGCTCCATGAAACCCAGTGAAATCCAACTCACAGCTGCTCCAGACTTTGCTTATAACACACCCACAAACTGAATGCCCAATCCTTTCTAAAGTCTCCCTGTCCTACCTGATAAGATTCGGAGAACCCCTCAGCCCTCCCTGAACAGGACTGCCCCACTCCTGTGGGCCTCTGCAGACATATAGGCCCGAGGCAGGACGGCTGTCTTCTGGGCACCAACCTCTCTCTCATCTACCCTCCATAACCCATGCTGGACACTTAGCCTCATGCTGCATTTCATCATTCTGCATATGGCATCTCTCCTTTATGGGATTGTACACCTAAGGGCAGCTACCAAGTCCCACACATAATTATCCTTCCGGGGTTCCAGCCCAATGCTAACAAAGGGTAGGTTCTGCAAAAATAGATTTTGAAAGACACAACTAAATGTATCTGAAAAAATAAAAGACTCGGGTCATAAGCTAGAAAAAGTAATGCAAACTCATTCATTTCATAGAATTCTGGGAAGAGTTCATACATGTTATTTTTCTTTAAAAGCCACTCTAGTGTGGAATTGTGTTCACCTTCCCTGAAGGGCTGGGGAGGAGCTGGCTGGGAAGATATATACTGTGACGTCTATGGAAGAGATGCTTCAGGTCTAGGAGTGACCGCTCCCTTGCCTGTGCCCCTAACCTACACCTCTCATCTAAAGGGTGTCTGCGGCAATACATCTGTGAGGTTCCAGAACCCCGACACATGCTATGAGCTCAGCAGTGACTTGAGGGGGGCAGGCAGCAGACTGGCTTTCTCTAATGGGGGTGAAGATGGCTGAGTGCTATGGGCTAATGAGAATGCGTATGTATTTGGGTTTTTAAAGCCATCCAGCAAGACTGGTAAACACTCTGTTTCTTTTAGGCGCGGTCGGTTGTTCCTTCTCTGATTCCAGGAGACAATCGTTTGGGGCCAGTTTCAAAACCCAGCATTCACAACTCTCTCCGCTCAGTCCCCGAGGGCTAGCCCTGTTGAAGAGGAAAAGTAAAACCCCCTTTCCCTCTGTGCTTCCCCTTCATGTGTCAATAGGGTCTTGTGGCCTCACCAAGGTAAGTTGAAAATAGAGCCAGAAGGATGCCTCCACTTTCATGCCTGAGGAGACAGCGAGCCCATGAGCAGGCATCACGGCTTCCAACCCAGAGACAGCAAGGACTGCTGGCAACCGGGCGTCAGGAGACCAGACCAAAGCACAGGCTACTTCTCATCGTAAACAGCAGGCAGTCTATTTACCACAACGAATGAGTGACAAGCCAAGGAAACAAAAAGAGAAGAGAAGAGGATCATCAAAGAAAATCTGTAATTAAAAATAAATACTTCACAATGTGACTCCAAGAAGTTTATGGCTGAGGCGGCTTTCACGGGCACTTATGAGTGTCCACAGACAGCCTGGAATTGTGTCTTTAAATGTGAGATGTTCGTGTATGTGAAAGGGCCAACTGGACTTTCCTCCCCCAAAAGGCACACTGTTCTGGATATGACACTTTCAATGACCTCTTGTGTTAGTCTGCTAGGGCTGCCCTAACAAAGTACTGCAAACCAGGTGGCTTCGACCACAGAAATGCTTACACAACCACCTGCAGGCTGGAAGTCCAGGAACAAAGTGTCAACAGGGTTGGTTCCTTCCGAAGCTGCGAGGAAAACCTATTCAATGCCTCGCATCTCACTTCTGGTGGTTTGCTGGTGACCTTTAGTGTTCCTTGGTGTGGAGATGCATCACACTGATCTCCACCTTCATTTTCACACAGAATTCTCCTGAATGCATCTGTCTGTATCGGCATTTTCCCTTTTTAGAATGACCAGTAGTAATACAGATTAGGGCCCACCCTACTGACCTCATCTTAATTTGATCATCTGCAAAGACCCTACCTATATCCAAATAAAGTCACATTCACAGATATAAAGGGTTAGGAATTCAACAGCTTCTAGAAGACAATTCAACTCCTAACACCTCTCAAACATGAAATGTTTCTATGAATAGCATCATTGATGGTATTACTTGACAGAGGAACAGATAGAGTCAGATGACAAAGGCCTCTCCAACAGCCATCAGTTTCATTCAGATCTGGACACAAGCAGGAAAAATGGTGTGAACAACAGCTAAGCAGCACAGAGAATCAAGACTTGGGTGTGAGATTCTGCCTTGGTCTTCAGCCATGTAGATGTGAGCCCCACCCCACTCTCATCCCACCCAAGTGCCACTGTTATAGCCTGGGGGCTCAGAATAAAGCCAGACAGTCAGAGTAGGGGAGAGATTTTCCAACATAACTCAGGCCCTGATGTTTCTTAATTTTCCCTGAAAGAGAAAATATCTTCCTAAAAGAATAAAAGACTTAAAAGTAACTTGATGTTAAGACACGCCATAAACTATGAGAATAATTTCTCATTTGTTCCTTCCTCCTGTTTTCTTTAATCCAAGACCCTCCTAGAAATACAAGAGGACTTTAGGAAGTTCATGGAAAATGGAATCAAAAGATAAAAATGAAAAATATCAACTTTATAAACCGTATTACTCAATATAGGCTCCATTGAGTTCAAAACAATTTTGTAAGTGATGATACCACCCATTTAGTCCATTCTTAAAATATTGAGGGTGCTGAGAATTTAACCATATCAATACAGTCTTTTTACATTATTAACTGAAGAAAATGGGTACCTTTTAATTATTTTGTTTTAATTAGGAAACAAAAAGAAGTCAGAAGAAGCAAAATCAGAACTGCAAGTTGGATACCCAATGATTTTCTATTGAAATTCACAAAATTGCCCTTACTTAATGAGAGGAATGAGCAGAAGCATTGTCAGGGTGGAGAAGGACTCTCTGCTGAATTCTTCAGTGGCATTTTTCTGCTAAAGCTTTGGCTAACTTTCTCAAAACACTCTCATAATAAACAGATGTTATCATTCTTTGGCTCTACAGACAGTCAACAGCAAAATGCCTGGAGTATCCCAAAAAACTCTTGCTGTGACCTGTGCTCCTGACTGGTCTGCTTCTGCTTTGACTGGAAAATGTCCACCTCTTGGTATCCATTGCTTTGATTGTGCTTTGTCTTCAGGATTGTACTGGTAAAGCTATGTTTCGTCTCCTATTACAGTTATTTGAAGAAATCCTTCAGGATCTTCATCCTACTTGTTTAATTTTCATTGAAAGATCTGTTCTTGTCTGCAGCTGATCTGGGTGCAATGGTTTTGACACCCATTGAGTGGAAAACTTACTTAACTTTAATTTTTCAGTCAGAATTGCATAAACTGAACCAACTGAAATGTCTGTTAATCATCAGGTCTTTTCAATTAGGGCATGGTTAATTTTTTCCTTGCAAATTGACATGAATGGTCTGCCACCACAGGCTTCATCTTCAACATCAACTTCTCCCTTTTTTTTTTTTTTTTTGAGACAGAGTCTTGCTCTGTCACCCAGGCTGCAGTGCAGTGGCACGATCTCGGCTCACTGCAACCTCTGCCTCCTGGGTTCAAGTGATTCTCCTGCCTCAGCCTCCCAAGTAGCTGGGATTACAGGTGCCTGTCACCACACCTGGCTATTTTTTTTTTTTTTTTTTGTATTTTTAGTAGAGATGGGGTTTCACATGTTAACCAGGCTGGTCTTGAATTCCCGACCTCAAGTGATTCACCTGCCCCAGCCTCCCAAAGTGTTGGGATTACAGGCGTTAGCCACTGTGCCCAGCCTCAACTTCTCCCTTCTTAAAAGAAGTTATCTATTTGTAAACTGCTGATTTGGGGGAAGGGGGTATTGTCCCCATAAGCTTTTCACAAAGCATCAATGAGTTCACCATACTTCCCCTCAAGCTTCACTATAAATTTGATGTTTGTTCTTACTTCAATTTTAGCAGAAATTCACATTGCTCTGATAGAGGCTCTTTTCAAACTGATGTATTATCCTTCTTAGTGCCTCAAACTAGATTGTGCATGAACATGTTATAAAAAGGTAGTACAAATCAATTTTGGTGCAAAAAATTTGAAATCCAGCATAGTTTTTTCATAATATGCATTTCCTATGAACTTTCTGAAGAGCCCTCAGACAGCCTCTCACACAGCTACTCCACATCCTTGAGGATCAGAGATCAAGGCATCAGCAGGGTTGGTGGCTTCTAAGGGCTGTGAGGGAGAAACCGTTTATACCTCTCTCCTGGCTTCTGGTGGGTTGCTCACCATCTTCAGCATTCCATGTCTTGGAGCTGCATCACTCTGATCTCTGCTTTCATCTCCAGATGACGTTCTCCCTGGATGTATACAGCTCTGTGTCCAGATTTTCCCTCTATATAAGGACATCGGTCATATTGAATTAGGACCCACCCTAAAGACCTCCTTTTCCCCTGATTACCTCTATAAATACCCTCTCTCCAAATAATGTCACATTCTGAGGTACTAGGGGTTAAGATTTCAACATATGGATTTGACAAGTATGTAATTCAACCCATAGCACCCTATGTCCAAACTGCACTAGCCCTGGGGATAGATAAATAAATAAAACATGATACAGGGAACGAAGCACTCACTGGCCGTTGGGAAAAACTCACAGCTATGTCCCTCTCTGTTATCACCTTTGTAAGCACATGAAACTGACATGAGACTCTTGCAAGTCCAGATGCCTAGGACCCAAAGAATCTACCTCTGGGATAACACATTTTTCAACAGGTAACCAGGTAAGGTTAGGGGATGGTTTCAGATTTCTCAGGTTGAAAATTTAGGAGTATGTAAAAAATAGCATCTAGGAGTATGTAAACCATAGAGTCCAACAGCACAGAGGAGGGAGGCACTCAGGTGACCAAACCTTCCTAACCCAGTGTGAGAGCAGCCATAATCGATGATGGAACACAGGAGACAGAGCCGCTTCTCCTGCTCCAGGAAGGAGGAGGCTGCCAGGTAACGCTGGGAGACTGCGCTGGAGCTACTCCGCAGACAAAGTGCCGGAGTTCGAAAGGGGCACAGGCTAAGGACACTCCGGGCGGAAAGAGCAGCCAAGCTGCGGAACAAGAGGTCCCAAGCATGTTTCTGAGAACCTTGATTTTGCACCTTGTTTCAGACACTTTCTTGTCACTGAGCTGGTGTAGGTGGGAAGTGAAAGTGTAAAATACGGTGGTTTCCGAAATAGGGTGTTTATACACCTAAAAAGTTTTGAAAACTCCTTGATAGGCTATTTTTTAAAAATTAAGTAAAATAATCTAACAAAGTTTCTTAACTTCTCAACATTTCAACGAAACCCCAAGAGTATGTAAGGTGGGTTCATTTTTACTAATATATTTTGGAATTTTCTGCCACGTAAGGGACCTAAATGTAGAAAAAAAAAAAAAAAACCTAAAATTTAATGTGCATTATATTAAAAGGAAAAAAAAATCTCTCTTTATCCTCCTTTCTCTCTTCTTCCCCTTAAGTAGACATGGCGGGATTTCTTGAGCTGTTGACTGGGCTCTTCTCCCTCTCCCAGGCCACATAACTTGGTCATTCATTTCCTGTTCCCTGCTTCAGCCAAAGGCAATTTGCAGAGAGCAGAGGAAAATGGAGGTCTTCACCTTTACCTTTGAGAGCAAAGCTTCAGCCCCGGGTTAAGACCAGGGCTCAGGAAGAACATTTGGCCTTTCAAAGCAAATCTTTGGCCTCAGCAGCACAGAGGCCTCCTGAGTAGGGGGGAGGGGTATGGAGAGGCTGCAGTGTCCTGGGAAGGGCCTGTGCCCATGAAGTGGGCTTCATCCCCACTTTGTGCAGTTTGTGCAGAAAGATAGCCTCAGACAAAGTCCAGAGTGGCAGCAAAACCCTGAAGTTCCCTTGGAGAGGCAGGCTGCGCAAATGCCTATTTGGTGATTCAGAATCAACAAGCCAGGCCCAAATTTACATGGGCTCCCTCCAGGATGGGTGAGAGCTCCCAAGAGCTTCATGGGAGGTCCAAGTGGGTGGCTGTGGCCTGGAGAGAGTAGGATTGAAGCAGAGCTGGGGTGGAGTCAGAACAAGAGACAACAGCAGTGAACAGCAGGCTCTGACAACCAAAGACCAGAAAGGAGAGCATCTCCCAGCCCCCAAGGGGAGCAATGCCAGCCCCCAGCATCAGACACATCTGCAGGAAAAGCAGGGGACTTCAGCTAACCAAGAATAATGTTCCTTTACCCAGACAGAATTGAGCCTGGGAAATTAGATAACGCTAAAGGGAAGCCAACATGCATTTTCTGCACACCTGGCTTCTGGGTCTAAGATTTTTGTCTGCTCCTAAAATGCAAGCCTTGTTGAATTGGTGTGGGCTTCTCCTTAATCGCTGGGTAAAGCAGAGGGCTGGGGCACAGCCATATGCAGTAATCAGCCTGCCCTTAACCAAAGGGCCCGAGGAAGAGGTGAGACCAAAGAAGGTGAATCACAGGTTCAAAAGCGAAGCAAATAAAAGCAGTGGGGAGAGACGGGGTATGAATATGGAGCACACTTTGAGACACAGACACTTCCCAGGACCCTGCAGCCCTCTGAGCATCCCTCCACCCTACTCAGAGGCATTTTTCCCATATCGAACTCCTCGGGGTTGGGGATTCTGGATCCTCCTATGTAACCACTCCTTCCTGCTTCATCTCAACATCTGTGTTGTTTGCAAAGAAAGTGGGCTCCATAAGGTCAAGGGTTGCCCCAGGTGCATTTGGGTGTTTAACAGGGTTTTGGGTGATGACTGTGTAAAAGGAACAATATTAGAGTTTTTGACCAGAGTGACTGAGGAGCTCACAGGAGTACAGGGTGTATAAGTCCCACCAAAGATTCCATGTGCCTTGGGACTGCCCCATCCCATTGGGAATTCCAGTCTGGCTTCTTGGCAATGGGTGCCTGGGCAACAGAGCAACAGAGCAACAGAGCAAGGTGGAGGAGAGAAGCCCTCCTGGTACCCATCCCCACACCAGCAAGAGGGAGCGCCAGACTCACAGCCTCCCATCCCCTCCAGCCCCAGCCCACCTGACCTACATCAGCCACCTTCTGATTGATTCTGTTTTTTCCTGGGGAAAAGGCCAAAAAGCCATCTAGGCCTCAACCCCAGCATCTCTGAACCTCTGACCCAGCCCTGGACTTCCAAATTTCAGACTTCTTTCAGGTGAGACAAGCAAACCACATGTTTTTTAAGCCTCTGCTATTCAGGCTTTCCATTGTTTGCAGCCTAACGGAGCCCTGGCTGCTCCTGTCTGGAGATGGGGCACGTGGACGAGGCCTTGGAGAGGCCAGCATCTCTCACCTCCTTTCTAGCCCACAGCTCCAGGCACGCAGACTCTTCCTGTGACTATATAGAAGTCATCTATCTTCCTAAAGCCATAACCAGACAGACCTTCTGTCAAAAGGCAGGAGAGTTGGGAACGGGCTCTTTGAGGCCACAGATGGACACTGTCATTGACCCCTCCAGGATCCTGTTTCCTGACATACACCCTTGATTCAGGTCATCTGGTTATTGTGAGCTGGGTCATAAATCTTAAGGAGCTCCCTTTCTTTGCAAACAACTATACGCCAAGAATACTCCTTATTTATAAAACAATATGTATGCTGGTTCTATGGAAGGTTTTCAGTCCTCAGGGTGCTAAAATTCTTGTGCCCTTCTGCCTCTTTAACCATAGCACACATGCTCAAGAGAACTAGAGTTGCCAAGAAATCATTTCTATAGATGGGCTCCAACAAACCCAGGTTATGGAGGATGGCCTATTTCCAACAAGCTTCATTTAAGGTTCTCCTACATTAAAGGAATAAATATGATGATGTGAAGCAGAACATAAATGCCTGCAGAAAGTCAGAAAATTCCCTCCTGGTGCCTCATCATCATTGGGGTGAGGGGAACAAAAGGTGGAAAAATCGATTCCACCTTCTTATTCTTGGAGAAGAAAACAACTCTCTAGACAAGAACATGGACCAGCAAACAGGGAGAGACTGATTTCAGTCAATTATTGCAGTTGCCACATTTCTCAGGAGTGTTGATGTCCAGGTCGGGGCTGACCCATGAATGGTCAGCAACACACTCAGGCCAACAAAAAGGAGGAGGCCTGGCTGTGAATGAAGCATGCTCGACTTTAGCTCGTCATATGAGCAGGTCACAGAGAGCAGATGCCTGTGGGTGCTTAGTGAACACTGCAGGGCATGGCACTGGTACTGAAAGGGACTACAGTTAAATGTTTATCAGAATGTTTACAGCAAACTTCCCACAGCACAGGTCAGGTGAACTCTTTCTGCCCATGCATGAGCCTTTGGACAGACAGCCCCCAAAACTATGAGTCTTTAATATTAGCCTGCATCCCTCAGTTCTGGACTTTTCCACTGTACTGGGTTATACGTCATTCAAAATTCACCTCCAAAGGAACCTCAGCATAGATTCCTCACTCACTGTGGGACTGGACACAGCCTTTCAGGGCATCTCCAAATAGAACCAAGATAGTGAGGTAGGGGGCGGGACTCAACTCCAGAGGCTGGGCTCAGACACTGGACCAAATTGAGAGCTAGCTGAAACAGGGCCAGGGCAGAAGCAGCTTTCCATAAGACATGCCCACCAGTGTGCCATGTCAGTTTACCATCGCCGTGGCAACACCTGAGAGTTACCACCCCTTTCTATGGCAGTAACCCAATGACCCGGAAGTTACCACCTTTTTCCTAGAAATGCCTGCATCAACTGCCTTTTAACTTGCATGTAATTAAAAGTGGGTACAAATATGACTGCTGAACTGCCCCTGAGCTGCTACTCTGGGCACACTGCCTGTGGGGTAGCCCTGCTCCACAGGGAGCAGTACAGCTGCTGCTGCCTCAATAAAAGTTGCTGTCTAACACCACCACTTGTGCTTGAATTCTCTCCTGGGCAAAGCCAAGAATCCTCCTGGGCTAAGCCCCAGTTTGGGGTCTTGCCTGTCCTGCATCAGTTGCAAATGGTAAGCTGATAAGAAATGAAAATGTAAGGAAAACTCCTACATACCACCCAGGGAGAAGCCCACTCCCAGGCAGCATCAAGCCCAGAAGGAAGCAAATGGGGTTTGCAGGACTGCTTGGTGTTTGTCTGTGCAACAGCCACTGGGCCTGGTACGGGGCGAGTATGTGGGCAGAAAGAGGAGCTGGCAAGTAAGAGTTAGCTTTAAAAAGATGCTGACTCTGGGCTCCCCATTTGGCCATGGCATCAAACGCTCCTGCCAAGTAATTTGGCTCACAAATATTCACCATATGAGAATATCTGAGCATTAAAAAACAAACAAGAAAACAATCAGGAACCAAGTACCTCAGCTGGCTGGACAAAAAGGCATATGCTTACAAGCCAGGAGATGGGTGTGCAGGCTACTGAGTGTCACAAGAAGTGCAGCTTGGCCAATTGTGACTTCTGGAACGGTCTGTGTCAAAGATTTCAAATGCTGTGTGCAGTTGGCATGTGGCTGCTAAGCTTCTAATTTTGTGACCTTTAAGATTGTACAAATGAGCAAAACCCTTTGCAGATCTTTAAAGGGAATTTTAAGCAAGGTTCAGGAGCAATACAATGGTAATTTTTTTTTTATTTTACCCAGTTAAAACAGACTTTGTCAGGCAATGTGGAGACCTCTAAATTCACATCTTCTAAGGACATGGAGAGAAGGGAGTTTGTGTCTATTTTGACAAGAAAACCACCAGCCAGTTCCATGGTGCCACTCATCCAAGCTGCCTAATTAGTGGTATCAAGCCCTCTGTCTGAAAAGACTGCCTTGGATTTACTTAGCACCCATCTTCCTATAAATGTCTCCCAAAAGTCTTGGGAGTTCATCTCCTTTGCATTTTCACCATATCACACAGACCACCATGGCCACACATTAATGCCCCTGCCACCAGCCTCCATCGTCCACCAGGGATAAGCAAGAAAACATTGATTTGGGACTTCTGCAGGGTCCTTCCTTCACATGGTGTATGCTTTGAAACTGCCACGTCCCCAATCCACCACCATGGGTGGCCTCCTTCAAAGCCCTCAGCTCTCCACAGGAAACCTCCTCCTCCAGGACACCTGTCATCAGCTCCCCAGCTGCCTTAATTTCCTTCCTCAAAACACTCTACATTGCAATCATGCGACCATGCAATTGTTCAGCATATATGTTAGTTTCCTATGACTCCTATAGCAATTACCACAAACTCAGTGGCTTCAAACAACACAAATCTATTCTCTTACAGTCCTGGTGGTCAGAAGTCCAAAATGTGTCTTTCAAGGCTGAAAGCAAGGTATCAGAGGGTTGGCTCCTTTGGAAGGCTCCAGCAGAGAATCTGTCCCTTGCCTCTTCCAGTTTCCAGAGCTGCCAGCTTTCCTCAGTTTGTAGCTGCAGCACTCCCACATTTACTTCCATAATCACATTGCCTTCTCCTATGCTGATCACCTGCCTCCTCCTTATGAAAACCCCTGTGATTACATTAGGCCAATGCAGAGTAATCTCTCCATCTCAAGATCCTGAACTTAATCACATCTACAGAGTCCATTTTGCCATATACGATAATATTCACATGTTCCAGGGATCAGGATACAGACATGGTGGGAAGGTGGTGATTACTCAGCTTAATACACAGTGTGTCTTTCCCACTAGGATGTTAGTGATCAGGGTCTTTGTGCAGCTAATTTAGTCTTTATGCTCCAGGATCCAGCACAGAGCCAGATTCACTGTTCAGAAAATGAATGAGGAAATGAACTGAAGAGTGAATGTGCAAATAGAGTTCTTCTCTCAACTCTTCTACACTTCCTTTGAACTCTTTTTTTTTTTTTTTTTTTTTTTTTTTTTTGAGATGGAGTCTTGCTCTGTCACCCAGGCTGGAGTGCAGTGGCACAATCTCGGCTCACTGCAAGCTCCGCCTCCTGGGTTCACGTCATTCTCCTGCCTCAGCCTCCCGAATAGCTGGGACTACAGGCACCAGCACCATGCCCACCTAATTTCTTGTATTTTTGGTGGAGACGGGGTTTCTGAACTCTTATTTATTTATTCACTTGTCTATTTCCTTTTCCTCTCTCTTCCCAGCTCCTGCTTCTTCGTCACAGGTACACCAGGGCATCCAGCACATTGATTTGTCCCCACTCGCCTTAGCCTGTCTCCTGCCACAGTTGTCTCATTTTGGTGAAGTGCGTGTCCAGATTTCCCCATGCTCCCAGCTGCAACATGGATCTGTGAAAGACAGTACAGCAGAAAAGTATTCACATCCTGGCTCTCTCTGCCCTTCATTGTCTTTAAGCTCTTTAACAACTTTTACTTGGAGAGGAAAACAACTATCTAGACAGGAACACGGAGCAGCAGAGGGAGAAATTGTGTCTTTACTGATTTCAGTCAATTATTGCAGTGACCACATGTCTCAGGAGTGTTGATGTCCAGATGAGGGCTGACCCATGAAAGGTCAGCAAGGAAAAAGGAGGACCTAAACTTTCCTCGGTTTGCAAGTTGTAAAAGACCCATGGAATGCCAACTATCCTTGTCCATGGACATGTGGACAGACTGTCCAGTGGCTATCATCAATTTTGCATCTATTTGTAAATTCTATGTCAGCATTCCTATTGTCCTAGCTATGCGTGGCATTTTTAATTCTCCTTTGGGCTGGTTGTAGCATCTTACTGGTTCCCTCATTAATTAATGAACTAAATAAAATCTTTGACATGTGTTCATTTTACATTTGTGTAAGAGTCATGATTTTACCTTTAAAAAAAAAAGTCATTTTACAGGTCTCAGGAGAGAGGCAGCTGCATCAACAAACACAAGGACTAGCTCTCCTCTAGAGAATTCACAGCTGAAGGGTAGATTAAACGCACCCTTTGCCTTTCCCACCTTTCATTCCCTTTACCGTATCTAGCAGCCAGATGGAATGCATTGCAGAAGGAACAGTGGAGAAGCATACACACACAGCACTTGCCTGGGAGGGTCCCCTAGAGCAGCTGGGATCTCTATGCCCCCACCTCCACCTTTTAATCTCATGGTTTCTTGGCCTCTTCTCTCCCTTTCACACCCATCTAGAGATGACTTGAAGAGGCTCTGGCTTCCCCTTGGCCACTCTCAGCTGTCTTCCCAACTCCCGCCTGATCTTCACACTGGCAGTTATTGTCTTCTCAATCCTACACAAAGTCTATGCCAGCACAGCCTCCCAGCCCACTTCCCACTCCAACAGCCATCACACGAAGACATTCTGGAGTTATCACTCCATCCATGAGGAGCTGCCTACCAGTCCTTAGAAAGAAAGGGAAAGTCTGCTTCCAAACATGAGAAGGGGTTAGACCAAGGGCTACCTCCTGGCCAGGTGATGGAGGACTGGAGAAGCCAGATTAAGCCAGATTTCTGCCAATCCAAGCAAAAGGCAGGTGGCCAAGCAGCTGCAGGGAAGAAAATATGTTTTTTCCTCACCCATTACGAGGGTCATAGCTGAGGCACCTATGGCAAAATACAGATTAACAAGAGAAACATCAAACTTATTTAATTTAAATTTTATGTAACATAAGACACCTCAGGAAAAAAGATCCAAAGAGGCTGGGCACAGTGGCTCATGCATGCAATCCCAGCAGTTTAGGAGACTGAGGCAGGTGGATCACGTGAGGTCAGGAATTTGAGACCAGCCTGGCCAACATGGTGAAACACCGTCTCTACAAAAATTTAAAAATTAGCCGGGTATGATGGCGGGCACCTGTAATCCCAGCTACTCGGGAGGCTATGGTGGGAGAATTGCTGGAGCCCAGAAGGCAGAGGTTGCAGCGAGCCAAGATCACGCCATTGCACTCCAGCCTGGGTGACAGAACAAGACTCCATCTTAAAAAAAAAAGAAAGAAAGAAAGAAAGAAAAAGATAAAGAAATAGGGAATAGGGACACCTGTGTGTTTTTATTGTAAGTTTGATGGAGAAGTCGATAGTAGTGGAGAAGTGTGATTGGACAAAGAGAGTATGATCTAATTAGTTATATACAAGGGGGAACTCAGCAAGGCCTGTTTGTTCAGCTTTTCTTCTGCATCCCTGTGTCTTCAGAGATAAAGACGTTCCTCCCCTCCAGGTAAAGAGTGGGCACCTCTCACACAAGGACCTTATGCCTTGCTCCAGGAGAAAGTCAGCTTGGTTTCATGGCCTGCTTCAGGAAAAGAAGGGCAAGGAGAAGGTGAGAGAGGCCTTCCTGCTTCTGCCGTTTTCTCCAATGCCAATCTGCCATATTTTGGGGTAGTATTCCCTGAACCCCACCACAGCCTCAGAGAGTGGGGCTTTGCCCAAGGGTGAGTTGCAGCACTCTGCCAGGTGTTTCAAACAGCAGAGGTTAGTTACGGGGTATTGATTCAAAATAGCTACCACGCATGAGCTTGTCACCCTGCACCAACTCATCCTGTGCAGTTACCACTACTGTTAACTCTGACCTAGGATTTGTAGTTCATTCGGGATGTCATGCATGCTTCAGATCTCAGGCCCTAGTGACCTCACCTATAAATTTGGTGTGGGCAGTGATAGGCCTGGATGACCCTCAGTGGCCCTTCTAGCACAAAAATTTCTCAAGTCAGAAGAACAAAACCCTGTACTTCTACTCTCCCTGGGACAGTGGCACCAAATATGCCATAAGTGTTCATCTTTCCGGTGGAGTTCATACGTGTAGTGTTGTGTTTACTTTACTGACTGTAAACAGAACAGGTGCCTGTCATTCACTCACCCATTCCTTCCGTCTGGATACAGGGCAGCAGAAATCAGCAGAATGCTTTTATTCACAGAGCTGAATGCCTACACCAGAAAACAAACATTAAGCAAATAGTGGCAGAAATAATTTTTTTTTTTTTAGACGAAGTCTCACTCTGTCACCCAGGCTGGAGTGCAGTGGGACGATCTTGGCTAACTGCAGCCTCCACCTCCCAGACTCAAGTGATCCTTCCACCTTGGCCTCCCAGGTAGCTGAGATTACAGGCACGCACCACTATACCCAACTGATTTTTGTATTTTTCGTAGAGATGGGGTTTCACCATGTTGTCCAGGCTGGTCTGGAACTCCTGACCTCAAGAAATCCACCTGCCTCGGCCTCCCAAAGTGCTGGGTTACAGGCATGAGCCACCGCACCCAACCACAAATACATTTTAAATTGCATTTATGATCACTTCTTTGGATGAGAGGCTGGTCCTAAGGGAATGTATAATGAGTGTTTGACTTAAACATGGGGTCAGGGAAGTCTTCCCTGAGGAGGAGTAAATGGGTTTAGGAGATAGTTCAGGCTTTCACCATTAAGCATGATGCAACCTGCAGGAATTTTGTAAATGCCTTTATTATTTTAAGGAAGTTTCCTACTGTTCCTAGTTTGCTGAGAGTTTTTACCATTAATGGATATTGAATTTTGACAAATGCTTTTTTGCATTCTTTGAAAAAGATTTTATTATTGTAATCCTTCATTCCATTAATAGAGTAAATCACATTGATTGGGTTTCTAATGCTTAACCAAGCTTGCATTCCTGAGATAAACCCAACTTAATGAAGATGTATTACCCTTTCTCTAATATTAATGGAAGTCAGAGACAGGGACCAAGGAATAATTTAATTATGCCTGTAATTCTCGATATGATTTGGATTTGTGTCCCCACCCAAATCTCATGTTGAATTGTAATCCCCAATTTTGGAGGTGGGGCCTGGTGGGAGGCGACTGAATCATGGGGGTGGTCCTTCGTGAATGGTTTAGCACCAACCTCTTGGTGCTATTCTTGTGATAGTGAGTTACTGAGGGATCTGGTTTTTTAAAAGTGTGTAGCACCACCCCCCTCACTCTCTCTTGCTCCTGCTCCTACCATGTAAGATCCCTGCTCCCCCTTCGCCTTCCACCATGATTTTAAGTTTCCTGAGGCCTTTCCAGAAGTGGAGCAGATGGCAGCATCATGCTTCCTGTACAGCCTGCAGAACCATGAGCGACTTAAACCTCTTTTCTTTATAAATTACCCAGTCTCAGGTATTTCTTTATAGCAATGCCAGAACAGACTAACAATTCTCAATCCTCATTTTAAAATAATCACCATCTCCTAAGGCTGGGTGAAGACATAATATGTGTTACAAGGGAGCATGGTAAATGCTGGAGACACAGGTTGATTTATAAATGCCCTGCCATGAAGCGGGATACATGGCAAGACAGGTTTCAGTATGAGCCATGCCTTGAATGACAGCAGGGAAAATCACTTTTAATGGATGCCAGGGGCTGGCAGGAGCAGAAAAGACAGACATACAGAGTCTGGGAAACAGAGAGCAAACCAGCATGGCTGGGTAGAAGAAGGGCTGTCCATGGATGATCACGAGTGCTGGGCTGTGGCATTCAAACCTTATCCTCCTGGTCAGCAGGGAACCGTGAACACAGGAAAGGGCTCACAATGCAAAGATGAAGTGAATAAAGCATGATACAGAACTGCAATGCAGAATGACTCCAGTTTTATTAAATTGTGTGTGAGATGAGAGAGGCTGGTTGTATTAGTTTGCTAGGATGGCCAAAACAAAATGCCATGAATTGGGTGGCTTAAACAACAGAAATTTATGTCTCACAGTTCTAGAGGCTCAAAGTCCCAATCAAGTGCCAGTAGGACTGGTTTCTGCCGAGGCCTCTCGCCTTGGCTTGCAGATGGCCGCCCTCTCGCTGTCTTTTCACGTGGTTGTCCCTCTATGAACAAGACCTCCTCGTGTTTCTTCTTTGTCCAAATTTCCTCTTTTTCTAAGAGCGCCCATCAGTTTGGATCAGGGTCCACCCTACCAGCTTCATTTTAACTTAAGTACCTCTTCAAAGGGCCTATCTCCAATTACAGTCAAGTCCTGGCATCACCATTCCCAGTGACTGAGGAGGCCAGAAGTAAAATGAAGATGGTATCTGCCCTCCCCCTGTACCGTGTTAAGCTCAGGGCAGAATCTGAAGGTCACCAGGTGAAGTCCATGGCTCCCTGTCCCTGGGGTTTGAGGAATGCAGCCTTGCTGGGCATCACTGGCCTGCACATCCAGATGCGGCTGCTCTTTCTCACCCCACGCTTGCCCTGGTCAGCCAGAGCCTGAGCACCCGCACTTCAGCCGACAGAGTGCTCACTGGAGCAGCATCAGAGCCCCTCTGTCCTCTTCAGAGGCTGGGTCAGAGCAACTTCACTTCGATGCATGACACCTGAGAGGCACCTGCACACAGGTGCACAGCTGGAGAGAAAAGTCAGCAGCCTGCCTTGCCAGAGGGCAGACAGACCACGCTTGGACTTCAGTTTCCAGGCGGAACAAAAGGATCTCCACATTTTTTACCTTAAAAATTAATTGACAGGTCCTGTCTGTTCCCAAGTGTCTAACATCTAAGAGGGTTGGGTTCATAGTCTGGCTGAGGATATCCTTTCCCTCCCCTCCCATTTTTACTGTAAAAACATTTTGACTAGAAAAAGAAAACCTCTTATATACTCACTATCCCAGGCAAGATTCTTCTTTTTTCTTTTTCCTCTCTGGTTGTTTTTTTTGTTTTGTTTTTTTGTTTTTTTTTTTCATTTCCTTACATTCTCTGTGCATTTGCCTATGCACCGTGGGATTTAAACAATAGATTGGGAAAACAGTGGAGAGGGCACTGAGGGTGCCCTTTTGTGGTAGAAATTGATTTTGCAGCCCTCCCCTCCCCCCCATACACACGCACATACACACACTGGGTATTTTGTTAGTCTTAACCAAAGATCAAAACAACATAGCCTTGACCTTAACTCACAAACAGCCTCCAGCTACAGGGAAAAAGTCTCTGAGCAGGGGGAGTACAAGTCCCACCAGAGCCCTTATTGATGGCAATTTAACAACAGGTATTTTATTTAAGGCCTGCATTTTTCATACAGAGACACAGTGACTCGGCTTTCAGGTATGTCTCATAAGGAAGTAGGAATGGAGAAAAGACTTGGGATTTTGAATATTTTACACAGCTTTACTGATGAACAGTAAACTGGAAGTGATCGCCATGTCTGACTGTAAAGGAATAGTTAAATAAATGTGCCACCCATGAGTAGAATGCATACCTTACGCACGTGTGCATGCACCTTCTCCAGGCAGGAAGAGTTTCCTGTGCACCCCTCACCTCCACCCATAGGAAGAGCTATGGGACCTACAGGAACTCCAGTGCTCCTGGGGCACTCCCAGCCTGTGGCACTGGAGTGTCACGTGGACAACAGAGGGTGGCTTTGTGGTCAGAACAGCATGGGCTCAAATCCAGCTTGGTCTTGCCTTGGCCTGCGTAGCCCGGGCAGCTCTTCTGCCTCCCCCAACCCAGGGAAGTGGGGTTGATGTTCTGAATCTGCAGGGCTCTTGGAGAAGTTACAGGGTGCCTGACACATGGGAGCCAGGCTCTGCCCACAGTCACCCAGCCAGCATGTTGCAGAGCCAGGATTTTAAATTAGATCCAGCCAGTTCCAGAATCATTACTTTTTCCGTTCCGTATGCATACCAGGCTGCCTCTTTCTAGATTATCCTCCAAAAAGCCCTGGGGAGGCGGCAGCAGCATGAGCGGCAGACAGGCGGCCAAGAAGTGAGGCCCCAGACAGGGATCTGAGCGTGATCTTTGCCCTTGGGACGCAAGGCATCCATCCAAGAGGTCACAGAAATCAGCAGCTTTCACCGGGAAGCCCCAAGTCCTGGGATTGGGGTGCTGAAGGGGGATCCAAAAAAAACAGTCATTGATTTGGAAGGAGATGCTGTTCTCCATCTCAGCCAGCTGTTAAAGGGACATGGATTGAACTCCCAGGCAGGGAGGGGCATTTTGTTTCCCTTGGCCACATCAGCATGTTTTTACAGTTGAGAGAGCAGGAGATGACTCTCCAGCCTGTGGCAGAGAGAAAGTGCCCTTGGCCCAACTCCGTGGAAGATGTTCCCCACCCCCCTTCCAGGAGAAGCTCCTGCTGGTGGATGCACGAACCCAGCTGGTGGCGACACAAGGCCAGTGGGCACTCTCTGCCTTGCTGAGGCCTCAGCCTCCTGGCTGCGAAGGCCCCGGGTTCCCCTCTGCAGCCAAGTCTTTACTTCCCCTTCACCCTGAAAAACGTCTTCACAGACTATCATTCTTGGTCTCTTGACTGCCTTTCTCCGGTTTCCTTTCACAATCCCTCAGAGATGGGACATCTCTCCAGAGGACGCCTGGGTTGTGAGGATCTATGGTCAGAACATTTTGGTCAATGACAGATTACATACACCACAGTGGCTCCCTCAGATTATAAAGGAGCTGAATAATTCCTATCACCAAGTGACAGTGCTATGCCATCTAAGCTTGTGTAAGTACACCCTGTGATGTTCACACAATGACGAAATCACCATTGTTAAGTAAATGGGTTTGGGAGAAGGTTCAAACAGCTTCCACCTGCCCCACCCTTCCGTTTCCTAAGCTCAGCCATGCCTTTGGAGGGTAGCACCTTTGTTTCTTCCACATGTCGCAAATACAGTGACACATGACTGTATTCAGGAACAAGGAGGCTCTGGTGCAAAAAGAACATCATTTCCATATGTGAGTGGGTCTTCTGGGTCCATCACAGGCAGCCAATTCAAGTGGTCCATCCGTCAACAGAATTCTTCTTCCAGGCTCACCAGGACTTCTTCCAGCCATAGCACATAACATCATAGCACAACACATTACCCACGTGTTTGTGGCAGTGCTGACGTCAACACACCTCCTGCACTGCCAGGCCTGTAAAAGTCTAGCACAATTTCATACAATACATAATACTTGATAATAATAATAAATGATTAGATTGCTGGCTTATGGTATTTACTGCTGTATTTTTAATGATTATTTTAGAGTGTATTCCTACTTATGAAAAAATAGTTAGGCAGGTCCCTCAGGAGGTATCCAGAAGAAGGCGCTGTTATCCTAGGAGATGACAGCTCCATGCATCGTATTGCCCCGATGTCCCTCCAGCAGCACAAGATGTGGACAAGAAGGCAGTGATAGCGACGATCCTGACCCTGCAGAGGCTCAGGCTAATGTGTGTGTTTGTGTCTTAGTTCTGAATAAAAAAGTGTAAAATGTTAAAAAAAATTACAACAGAAAAAATGCTTATTGAATAAGAATATACAGAAAGAAAATATTTTTGTATAGCTGTACAACGTGTTTGTGTTTTAAGCTGTTATTAGAAAAGAGCAAAACAAATTTAAAAATGAAAAGATCTATAAAGTAAAAATGTTACAGTAAGCTAATGTTAATTTATTATTAAAGAAAAAATGTTGAAATAAATTTAGTGTAGCCTGAGCGTACAGTGTTTCTAAAGCCTACAGCAGTGTAGAGCAATGTCCTAAACCTTCACATTCTCTCACCACTCACTCACCGACTCACCCAGAGAAACTTCCAGTCCTGCAAGCTCCATTCATGGGAAGTGCCCTATACAGGTGTGCCATTTTTAATCTTTCATACTGTGTTTTTCCTGTGTCTTTTTAAGGTTTAGATACACAAATTATTGCCATTGTGTTACAATTGCCTGCAGTATTCAGTAGAGTAACATGCTGTACAGGTTTGTAGCCTAGGAACAATTGGCTACACCATACAGCCTAGGTGTGTAGTAGGCTATGCCATCTAAGCTTGTGTAAGTACACCCTGTGATGTTCACACAACGATGAAATCACCAAATGATGCATTTCTCAGAACGTATCCCCGTTGTGAAGTGACACATGACTGACTGTATTCAGGAACAAGGAGACTCTGGTGCAAAAAGAACATCATTTCCATGTGTGAGAGGTCTTCTGGGTCCATCACAGGCAGCCAGTTCAAACGGTCCATCTGTCAACGGAACTCTTCTTCCAGGCTCACAGGGACAGAACTGATAGGCCCACCATCCTTCCTTCCTTCCTTCCCTTCCTTCCTTCTCTCCTTCCCCACCTTCCACTCCTCCTTTCATCCTTCTCTCCTTCCTCCCTCCTTCCTTTCCTTCCCTTCAGAGGATCCTGCAGAGGCTCTGGGTGTCAAAGCAAAACACTCCAAAGATCAGTGGAAGGACATGGATTCCTACATCTCCATACAACTTCACCCAAGGTACAGTCACCTTCTCTGAGATGAAAAAGAGAGAGAAAGGGAGGGAGAAACCCTTTATTAAGCACCTAATGAGTGGTAAGTGACCTCACAAGCCTGTGAGGAGGAATGCGGCTTCCCATCTGTATGGATAAGATTGAGTATGGGAGTCAAGAGGGTTACTGATAGAGACAAGACCAGGACCGCAGGTTTCTGGCCCCAGTGTTCACACCTCTGCAACTTAGCATCACAGAGCTACAGAAATGAAACTCCCCCAAAGAGGCTGCTTCCAAAACCAGTGACTTGCCCAAAGGCCACAATAAAAAAGAGCCCACATATCTGTACACCTGGGACACTGAAAATGCATGATATGCAACCACACGTCACCAGGTGAATGAGTCCTGCAGATGATGGGGCTGGCCCATATCAGCTCACAAGACTTGATCACGAAATAGTCTGGAATTTAAATCATTGGTAGCTTGACATCAGCCATGGTGGAGGTGTTGACATTGGTAAATGTTAAAACTGAGATCTTGTTTTGTTTTTTGATTTTTTGGTTGGTTTTGCTTTTTGTCTTCTGAGAACCAATTGACCAGAACGCCACTGGATGGCTTTTACAAATGCTGAGCAAAAGCAGCCAGATACAAAAGAGGACACTATGCATGACCCATATGAGGAGATCAAGGACAGCAAAGCTGAGCTATGGTGATGGAAGCCATGGGTATGGCAGGGCATCCGGGGAACCGGCTGTGTTCTGAGTCTTGATCTTGGTGGTGGTTTCATGGGCATGGTCAGTGTGTGAAAATAGTGCTGCAATGAACATACATGTGCATGTATCTTTATAATAGAATGATTTATATTCCTTTGTGCTTCACATTTACGATGGAATGTTTTTCATAGACACAGCCTCATAACATTTCTATTCATATTGGTAGTGGAGAAGAAAATGGGGACCCTCTATTCCCTTTTAAGAGAAAAAAGATCATTGATTGAACCTTTAAAAGAGATCAAATGAGGTCATACACGGGACTCGAATACTTCAGGATCAGGAGTTGGTGGCTCCATCCAGCTCCGCAAACTTGGGCAAGTTCTAATCACTCTGGCCTTCAGTTTCTTCCTGTGTTAAGTGGAGATAAAAACTTCTACTTCTGGCCAGGCATGGTGGCTCATGCCTGTAATCCCAGCACTTTGGGAGGCCGAGGTGGGCGGATCACCTGAGGTCGGAAGTTCAAGACCAGCCTGACCAACATGGAGAAACCCCATCTCTACTAAAAACACAAAATTAGCCGGGTGTGGTGGTGCATGCCTGTAATCCCAGCTATTCGGGAGGCTGAGGCAGGAGAATTGCTTGAACCCAGGAGGCAGAGGTTGCGGTGAGCCAAGATCGCAACATTGCACTCTAGCCTGGGCAGCAAAAATGAAACTCTGTCTCAAAAAAAAAAAAAAAAACTTCTACTTCTAGTGTTGTTGAGGAGATTAAATATGTGTCACATTGCCTAAAATACTACAAATGTTCAATAGATTGGCTATGATGATTATTAATCAGCCCCACAGGTGGATAGGAGAAGGGAAAGAGAAGAAGAATGCATATTTGAGAATACAGCCAGTGAAGGCAAGAACACAGTTCCTGCCCAATATTGTGGCCTTTGTGCATGGCTCTGTTCTCTCCCCGTGGCTGGCTGAGCTCCCTCCTAACTCTGAAAATATTGAATCTGCAGTGGTTTAGAGTAGTCCTGGGTCAAATGACCCCAACTTGGAGCAAGTTTGATTCTGGGGCACATCTGGGGACATGATCCAATCTAGATTCACATGGATGATACATTTTCCCAGCTAAGCCCATAGCAGGTTCACAGTTCAGCTCTGAAGGAATCATACCAATCGTGGAGTGGCTGAAAATTCTGACAAAGGCTTATAGAAGTGCCTTGCACTGAGAAAGATCCTCACAGAAAACATAAATAATGAAAATTGCAAAGCTTCCATTTCTCTGAGTGGATTGTGTTAGAATCGAGTGTTTCACACTTTGATCCCAACATGATTTCCACCCAGTCTATTAGTAAATATGAATCATAGATCCTCAGGCCTAAAAGGGACCCAGGAAATTGTCTCATCCAATTGCCCACTGGAAGCTCAAATTCTCAAATTTCACTAGCTCAGTGGTTGACTGGCCAGCACATCCAACACATTGGACAACACGTTCCAGGAACAGGGAGCTCACTCCTTCATAGGCAGCCATGGCATCCATGCATAGCTGTGTGGAAACATTCCTGTGGCAAAGACAAATCAGCCTGGCCGTGGCTCCCCAGTGGGCCTGGGCCTATGCCTTGGGGTCACCCAATGACATGAGAAAGACACCTCTTCCATGAAACATTCCCCATCATCTGTGCAAACACCTTCCACCTGCCCCGCCCTCCCATTTCCTAGGCTCAGCCACGCCTTCGGAGGGTAGCACCTTTGTTTCTTCCACATGTCACAGTTTCCCATTTCTTCATCTTCCTAGTCTTGCCTTTGCATTTTAAACTATTGCAGAGGTACCAAAACAAGGCCTTTTCCCTTCAAAGCCAACTTTTTCTTTAAAAAAAAAAATGTTTTCCGCAGTTCATGGCATCCAGATCTTTTGCAATCTGTCTCTGCCTATTCTTCCAGCCTTGTCTTCTGATGCTGCCCCACACCCACTCTCCTTCAGCAGTAATGGATCTTCCTCCATGACTCTGCATGCTGCTCCCTGCACCCCATCATCGCCCCCACAATTTCAGCTCAGATGCTGCTTCTCACCTCACTACAAGGCCCATACCAAGTCTATCTGTGCCTCACTATCCTCCCCTGCAGGTTGCTTCTCCCTCCATGGTGTCTCCAGGAGTCTCTTCCCTACTATACCACCGCCCCAGGATCATTTCTTTGTATTTCTCTCTCCTACCAGACACTGAATGCTTGGATCAGAAACCAAGCATTGTGTCTCATCTTCCAGCACCTTCCAGCCTTCTCACACCTGTTACACCTACCATTTATTTATTTATTTATGTTCAGAAACAGGTCTCACTGTGTTACCCAGGCTGGACTGCAGTGGCTATTCACAGGCACAATCATGCACCTACTATTTTTTTAATCAACTTTTATTTTAAGTTCCAGGGTTCATGTGCGGGATTTGCAGATTTGTTACACAGATAAACATGTGCCATGGTAGTTTGCTGCACAGATCAACCCATCAGGTAGGTATTAAGCCCATCATCCATTAGCTATTCTTCCTGATGCTCTCCCCCCAGTGCACCTTCTGACAGGCCTCAGTGTGTGTTGTTCCCCAACATGTGACCATGTATTCTCATTGTTTAGCTCTCACTTATAAGTGAGAACATGCGGTGTTTGGTTTTCTGTTCCTGCATTAGTTTGCAGAGGATAACGGCTTCCAGCTCCATCCATGTCCCTGCAGAGGATATGATCTCATTCCTTTTTATGGCTGCACAGTATTCCATGGTGTACATGTACCACATTTTCTTTATCCAGTCTAGTGTTGATGGGCATTTGGGTTGATTCCATAACTTTGCTATTGTGAATAGTGCTGCAATTAACATACATGTGCATGTATCTTTATAACAGAATGATTTATATTCCTTTGGGTATATGCCCAATAATGGGATTGCTGGATGTTGCTGGATCAAATGGTATTTCTGCTTCTAGATCTCTGAGGAATTGCCACACTGTCTTAAACAATGAACTAAATTACTCTCTCACCAACAGTGTAGAAGCGTTCCTTTTTCTCCACAGCCTTGCCAGCATCTGTTGTTTCTTGACCTTTCAATAATTGCCATTCTGACTGGCATGAGATGGTATCTCATTGTGGTTTTGATTTGCATTTCTCTAATGATCAGTGATGTAGAGCTTTTTGTCATATGTTTGTTGGCTGCATGAATGTCTTCTTTTGAGAAGTGTCTGTTCATGTCCTTTGCCTACTTTTTAATGGGGGCAACTACTGTTTTTAAGAAATTATTTTTCCTGCTCCAATAACCCAAGTCTGCCAAATATGGGTTTGCCACGAATTAGCTGGTTGTGTTTCTTTAAGAACTGTCAAGAGCCCATTTCCTGATATAAATCACAGTTTGTGTGGAAATAGTAGCTATGAGTTTGTGTGGAAATACTAGCTATGTTAAGCAACATGTTCAGATGCTAATCTCACATCAGTGCATTTCTCAACATGGACTTCTAAGAAGAAAGCTTCAGTGAGGGTTCCAATTACAAGATTTGCTCACAGAAGCAAGTCACAGTTGTAAAAATCAGCACATTTGGTACATGGTATATAGAACACAGTCCCTTTGACGAAGCTTTTCTTGTCTTTGGATCTTGATTGTGTTTTCAAAATTATAATCCATCAGGCCAGAATCTATTACAAGTTAGTAAAAATGAGCATGATTCTTTTTTTTTTTTTTTTTTTGAGACGGCGTCTCGCTTTGTTCCCCAGGCTGGAGTGCAGTGGCGCCATCTCAGCTCACTGCAAGCTCTGCCTTCCGGGTTCACTCTATTCTCCTGCTTCAGCCTCCTGAGTAGCTGGGACTACAGGCGCCCGCCACCACACCCGGCTAATTTTTTGTATTTTTAGTACAGATGGGGTTTCACCGTGTTAGCCACGATGGTCTCGACCTCCTGACCTCGTGATCTGCCTGCCTCAGCCTTCCAAAGTGCTGGGATTACACAGCATGTTTCTTATAATTAAAAATGTGATGCCAGAATTTGAGCTTATGAGATGAAGGAGATGTACTTTTCCCTATTCCTCCTGGTAAGTACAACTAAAAACCCTGGACATTATATGTAAAATCAATAACTAGGTAAGAAGATTCTGAGAGGTGGAGAGAAGGCAGACAGGAGGCTAGGAACCTCAACACACAAGTAACAAAATGATAAGGAGTTCCAAGTTAATGTTTTGCCTCACATATGCCAGAGTTGGAACTGAACAAGCCAGCAAACTGGAAACACCAGTGGGCACAGACAAAAATCGCCCTGACAAAAGCCTGCTCCCCACAGCCAAAGGGCCAGCAAAAGTCAGCCTAGCAAGACAGAAAACTTTCAGGCAATAACCATCCTACTCCAGCCAAACACCCAAGAAAAACTGTGGCTCAGCCACTACCCACACCAGCCAAGGTCAAGTGGGAGCCTAGCCTTGCAGGAATGTGCCCCAATCACCTGTCAGGTGGTGTCAGAGAAAGTTGAATAGGGAGCCAGGACTTCTATCCCCACCAAGCAGTAACAAGCATCTCCCATCACTACATGGTGCCTTTAAAGATCACCTGGTCAGTCTGGATTTTTACCCCTAACTCAGAGTTATAAGGCCTCCCGCTCTCTGCTAGTGTAGTCTCAAAGGAGAGTGGAGAACCAGGATTTCACCACAGCCCAGTGTAAGAAGGCCCACACCCCATATCAGTGGTGTCAGTTGAGGCTGCATGGGGAGCAGAAATGAGTCACTCATATCTTTTTCAGCTAGGGAGGTATCAGTAGATACCAACACTGAGAGAAATGAGATGTTAGATTATCTGACAAAGATTCTAAAGTAGCTGTCATAAAAATGCTTCAATGAACAATTATAAGCACACGAGAAACCAATAAAAAATTGAAATTCTCAGCAAATAAATTGAAACTCTCAGCAAAGAACAAGAAGATATACAAAGAAAAGAGCCAAACTGAAATTTTAGAAGTGAAAAATACAATAATTAAAATAACAGGCTCAGTGGGTGGGCTTAGCAGCAGAATGGAGGGGACAGGGAAGAATCAGTGAGCTGGAACATAGAACAATAGAAATTACTCAGTCTGACCAACAGAAAGAAAGTAGACTGAAAAAGAATGATAAACAGAGCCATAGGGATTTGTGAGACTGTAACAAAAGATACATCTTTTGTATTATCAGAGTTCTTGAAGGAGAGGAGAAAGGGCACAGGGCTGACAAACTGGTAAAGGAAATAATGACTAAAACCTTCCAAATTTGGTAACACCTAAAGATTCAGCAAGCTGAGAAAACCAAAAACAGGGTCAAACCAAATAAATCTATGCAAAAATCTATCATAATCAAACTTCTGAAAATTAAAACAAAGGAAAAAACCTAAAACAGCAAGAGAGAAATGACACCTTACCTATAGATAAAAACCAATTCAGATAACAGCATATTTCTCATCAGAAACCATGGACTCTAGAAGGAAATGGCATATTTTTCAAGTGTTGAAAGAAAATAACTGTCCACCCAGAATCCTATATCTAACAAAAATATCAGAAATTAAGGGGAAATTAAGGCATTCTCAAATGAAACAAAACTAAGAGAATTTGTAGCAAACAGACCTATAATAAAAGAAAGGATAAAAGAAGTTCTATAAATACAAAAGAAATGACAAAAGAAGAAAATCAGACCTTTGAAAATCAGAAAGGAAGGAAGAAAACAGCAAACAAAAATGTCGATAAATACAATACACTTTCTGTATTAGTCTGTTTTCATACTGCTATAAAGTCATACCTGAGACTGGATAATTTATAATTAAAAGAGGTTTAATTGACTCACAGTTCCACATGGCTGGGGAGGCCTCAGGACACTTTCAATCATGGCAGAAGGCAGAAGGGGAACAAGCACGTCTTACCACAGCAAAGCAGGAGCAAAAGAGAGCACGCAAAAAAGCCACACACTTTTAAACCATCAGATCTCATGAGAACTCACTCACTATCATGAGAAGAGCTCGGGGGAAAATGCCCCATGATCCAATTACCTCTCACCAGGTCCCTCCCTCAATACATGGGGATTACAATTTGAGATAAGATTTGGGTGAGAACGCATAACCAAATCATATCACTTTCCTTGTCTTAAGTTTTCTAAATTATGTTTGAAATTTGAAGTAAAAAATTATGGCACCCTCTGATATAGTTCTAATTATGTAATAGAAATATTTAAAACAATTATATTATAAATGAGGATAGTAAGGGGTCATAAAGGCAAATAAGATTTCTACACTTCACTAAAATTGGCAAAATTATGACACCTGTAGACTGTGATAAATTATGAATCTATAATGTAATACCTACAGCAACTAAAACGCCATGCAAAGAGGAACTGATATGGTTTGACTGTGTGCCCACCCAAATCTCATCTTGAATTGCAGTTGCCATAATTCCCATGTGTTGTGGGAGGTAACTGAATCATGGGGACAGGTCTTTCCTGTACTGTTCTCATGATAGTGAATAAGTCTCATTAATCTTATGGCTTTATAAAGGTGAGCTCCCCTACACAAGTTTTCTCTTGCCTGCTGCCATATAAGATGTGACTTTGCTCCTTATTCACCATACGCCATGATTATGAGGCCTCCCCAGCCATGTGGAACTGTGAGTCAATTAATTCTCTTTCCTTTATAAATTACCCAGTCTCAGGTATGTCTTTATTAGGAGCATGACAACAGACTAATACAGGGACATTCAAAAATGCCATAGATAAACCAACACTACATTCTTAAAAATGTTTAAATAACCCATAGGAAAGAAAGGAAAAAAGAGAAAAATGCAAACAAGAACAGAGAAAAAAAGTCAGATTTACGTCATGTCAATAATTACATTAAGTGTAAATGGTTACAATATGACAATTAAAATACAGAGATTGGCAGAGTGGGTTAAAAAAACATGATCCAACTATATAATATCTATAAAAATCAATTTAAAACATAATAGTATAGATAGGTTGAAGGTAAACAAACTGAGATTATATATATAATGTATATCTCAGACAAAGTAGACTTCAGAGCAAAGAAAATTATCAGAGACCCAGAGGGACAGAGGGACATGGTATAATGATAAAAGAAACAATCCACCAAAGATTTAGCAATCATAAATGTGTATGCAACAACAGAGCTGCAAAATAGGCAAAACAAAAACCAACGGAACTGAAAGGAGAAATAGACTAATCCACAATTACTGCTGGAGATTTCAATACCTCCCTCTCAACAATTGATAGAATAACCAGACAGAATATTGGCAAGGGTATAGAAGAATGGAACAATACCGTCAACCAACAGGATCTAATCAACATTTATAGAACAATCCACCCAACAACAGCAGAATATACATTCTTGACAGTTGCCTACAGAGCTTATACCAAGACAGACTCTATTCTGAGCCAAACACACTTCAACAAATTCAAGATAATTGAAATCATACAGTGTATTCTCCAGCCACAATGGAATAAAATTAGACATCAATAAGAAAAATCTCAAAACACTTGGAAACTAAATAACACATTTCTAAATTATCCATAGGTCAAAGATGAAGTCTCAAGAGTTTTTTAAAAAATACATTCAACTGAATGATAATGAAAATACAACATATCAAAAGTCGTGAGACACAGCTAAAGCTGTACTGAGGGGGATATTTATAGCATTAAATGCATACACTGGAAGAAAGAAAATCTCAAGTGAACCTAAACTTCTACCTAAGGAACCTAGGGAAAAAAAGAACAAAATATACTCAAAACAGTCCAGGCACGGTGGCTCACGCCTGTAACCCCAGCACTTTGGGAGGCCGAGGAGGGCAGATCACTTGAGGTCAGAAGTTCGAGACCAGCCTGGCCAACATGATGAAACCCCATCTCTACCAAAAATACAAAAATTAGCCAGGCATGGTGGTGCATGCCTGTAATCCCAGCTACTCAGGAGGCTGAGACAGAAGAATGGCTTGAACCCGGGAGGCAGAGGTTGCAGTGAGCCAAGATCAAACCACCGCACTCCAGCCTGGGTGACGAGAGCAAGACTCCACCTCAAAAAAATAAATAAATATGCTCAAAACAAACAGAAAAAAAAAAAGAAATAGTAAATATAAGAGCAGAAATCAAGGAAATTAAAACAGAAAGACAATGCAGAAAATCAATAACACAAGTGTAGAAATCTTACTTTCATTTAGATCCTTTTATTGTCTCTGCTTATTAAATGTAATCCTCTTAAAAGTATTCTCTCTGCAGACATTGAGGACTACATCAAATGGTGTTACAGCTTTTGCTTCGACCATAAAACCATAAAATATAATCAAAGAAATTCATGAGATGGAGAATCTGTTTACTTCTAATTCTATCCATTCCATTGTTTTTTGTTGTTGTTGTCGTTGTTTGTTTTTTCCTTTCTGAAGGTTCCAGCCTTTTTCTACTATCATCTTCTTTCTGTTTGGAGAGCTTCCTTAGACATTCTTTAAAGGTAGCTATGCTAGCAACAAATTATCTTAGTTTTTCTTCTTCTGTGAAGGTGTCTATTTCTCTTTCAACCCTGAAGCATAGTTTCACTGGATATGTGAATTGGGGCTGTTCTTTTCTTTCCGCACTTGAAAAACATTGTTCCACTTCCTTCAAATAGTCATGGTTTCAAATGAGAAATCCACTGTCAATCAAATTGGTATTCTTGTATAGATAATGTATCATTTCTCTCTGACTACTTTTTTTTCTTTTTTTAAGATGGAGTCTTGCTCTGTCACCCAGGCTGGAGTGCAGTGGCACAATCTCAGCTCACTTGCAACCTCTGCCTCCTGGGTTCTAGCGATTCTCCTGCCTCAGCCTCCCGAGCAGCTGGGACTACAGGCATGTGCCACCACACCCAGCTAATTTTTTTTTATTGTTTAGTAGAGATAGGATTTCACCATGTTGGCCAGGCTGGTCTCAAACTCCTGACCTCAGGTGATCCACTCATCTCAGCCTCCCAAAGTGCTGGGATCACAGGCATGGGCCACCACGCCCAGCCTCTCTCTAGCTATTTTTAAGATTTTTTCTTCGTCTTTAGTTTTCATAAATTTGGCTATGATGTGTCTGGGTGTGGATTTGAGTTTATTCTATTTGGGATTTTATTAGCTTCATGAATCTGAAGATTTATATATTTTGCCAAACTTGGGAAGTGTTTAGCCATTAGTTCTAATATTTTCTTTAGTTTCACACCAACATAGGCCTCCTGGCTGCTGCCACTATGGGTAGATGGGATCGCCCACTGATCTGGGCTTGTGAGTGGGGCCTGGACTGATCAAGGCTTCATTTCTCCTCCTCCAAACAAATCAGACCACCTGCAGGGAACCCGGTTACAGACCTGAGGCTGGAGGTCCCCACTAGGTCTCTGGTTGGCTTTCCTTTCCCTAGTCTTCTGGCCGGGGAGATCAGGCTTCTCTTGTTTGTTTTTAATCTATGTCTGTTGTCGGTCCCAGGTTGCAGATCCCTCCTGCACCCAATCTGAGAGATACAAAGAAAACCCAAGCACTCACCTCATTGTCATTCCTCAAGTCCTGAGGCCCATACCAAATCCTCCTTCTTTTCAGTTTTTAGGGTCCTTTTATAACTGTCTGTCAAATAATTTCCAGGGGATTTAGATATATTTGGAGAGGGGAAACTGAGTGTATGCCATCTGATTCTAGAACTGGAAGAGCTGGCATTTATTTTTGATGCCACTTTGCACCAGGCACTGCACTCAGCTTCCACGGCTAACCAACAGCAGACCCTCAGGGACTCTGATGACTGCCTGGACCATGGTGATGGGTCACCTCTGCTGTAAGGCTATTGGCTTCTCAGGGGTAGTCTTTGAGAAAGGTGAAGTTTCACAAACGTGAATGTTCCTTTAACCCAAAGTTTCAAAGTTGCTTTATTTAATTTCACAGGATGAAAAGTTTTCTCGACGTATTGCACAGTCACTAAATGGGACAAAATCTAAACTCCTCTGGGCACCCTCTACCCTTTGCTATGTTTCTGTCTCCTGTTCATGGTCCAGCTCAATAAGTGGGTCTCTCTTCTCCCCATTTTTTATACCTCTTTTCTCCCTAGACTTGCTGTCTGTCTGCCAGTTGTCACTCTGACATCAGGGTACCTACTTCTGGAAGGCTCTCATTTCAATCCTTACTTCTAATTTGCTGAGGGTCAAGGAAATAATATAACCAGGATTATATTATTGTATCTAAATGAAGAGTAAGTTGACTGGGAAGGCGCATCTAAGAGACATATATATTGTGAGCCAGAGCTTGGGTTCTTGGAGTTTTGATAATATTTTGGCAGTTCAGTAGCTGCTTTTACTAAATTCGTGTTATTGGCTGTGTTACAAATAATCAAGGCTAGAAAAGTGGCCTCTAGATAACTGGAGAATTTTTGCATTTACTTTGTAAACACCCTCTCCCCACAACCCCACTACATCCCCAAAAAAAACAACACTAAACAATTTTAGGCTCAAGACACAGACTCAAGTCCTTTTTGGGAAGAATACACAAGAGTGAAGATAGTTTTTTTCTACTTTTTACTACAAGAAAGCAACTGAAAGGGTATTTTACAACACTTTCCAAAAGAAAGTGTTTCTGTGCCAAAATCAAGCATGAGACATTTCATCCCAAAATGAAATCTGACAATGTCATGGGTAACTTAATTATAGCTCTTCTACAAGAAAAATAGTATGGAGGCAAAAGGGGGTTTCAGCTGAGCTTTGTGGGAAATTAAATCCAATTATAATTAGTATTAAATGTGTGTTGGATAATGCCATTTCCAAAATGTAGAACCCTCCTCTCCTAGACCCAGATTTTCATTCTGAGTCTCAGCGCCAGGGACCTTCCATCATTGAGAATCAGCCCTAAAAGTCCACAGCACAGGTTCTGGAATTAGGCCCAGCTGGTACACAGACCTGTGTGACTTCAGGAGACAAATATAATGATGGTTACACATTTCTAATCTCACCCATTTAGAGTCAAGACAGGTTCCTAAAATAATCACATACCCTGATTTCCTAACGGCCTTTGGCAAAGTTGCTGAACCTTCATTAGCAGCACATGTAAGGACCAGACAAACCACCCTTTCTCTCCACACTTCTGTCTCCCACTGATGCACAGTGAGAAGACTTATTTGGAGATTCGGCATCCCCCTCCAGATACCCTGAGCTGTCAGGTGATTGTAGAGCTATGCTGAAGCTTCCCTTTCCCACCTTGCACTGAATGATGTGGGCAATGACATCATCCTGGGGCCCTACTTCCTTTCTCAGGCTCAGCTTTCACCCCAGGGCTCAGAGAAAAGCAGCTTTTTAAGAAAACTGGCCCCCAGGAGCTGTTGTTTCTTTGGACTCTATCCTTCCACAGCAAGTGCAGCCCGGCACCAGTTTGAGCAATTGATTCAGGAGCAGCAGCTTCTGGATCTGGTTGTGCAAGAGAGAGAGTGCGTGTGTGTGTGTGTGTGGCAGGTGTACACGCAGATGCACAGTTTCCCAAACATAAACATCCTCATGGGTATTTTTTTCAGCTCCCAGAACTCCAAACAGCCTCTTAGCAGTGTCTCCATTCAATCCAAACTGCCCCATCCAATCCCTCCTCCTCACTCATACCACCCGGGTCTTTCTGAAACCCAAAACTAAGGGGAGTCATATCTCCCCTCCCTGTTCAGAACCATTTGGGAATGTACTGCCTCACTGCCTGGAACTGGGCTGTGGACCCACTGTCTACCTCCAAGCCTGACTTTCCCCACTCCTCTCCCTTTATGCTGCCCACTCACCTTTCAAGATTCAGTTAGGACTCATATCCTCTGTAAAATATTTTCCAACCAGTCCATCCATCTCCCCACCTCCGCACACAGAAACAACACCACATCATCTATTTTGTAAGCACTATCATCCTACACAGAGGTTTCTATGGGATAAAAAGCCCCTGCAAAGTACCTAGCCCATAACGGCACTTGACAAATGTTGGGCAAGTGAATGAACACATCTTGCAGCTGGCAGAGAATTCCAGGCCCTTATCTGAATTGAATAAAGGATACATCAAAAAGAAAAGTTTGAGGCCAAGGGGATCCCCCACATCAGGGAACCGTGCAGTGGGAGCCTGCTGGGTCCTCCAAAGAATACACATGTATCTCCCAAGAGGCCCGTCATGTGGATGGCAATGAGGCAGAGGGTGCTTAGGGCCAGAAAAGACCAACGGAGAAGGGCCAGAGCCATAGCCAGCTTCCCCCTTCGGCCTGCCCGGGCACAGGGGAGCTGCACACGGGGAGAGGCCAAAGGAGGAGGAAGGAAAGAGCAAACCTTATCTGCACCCGTGCCCAGTACTGCTTCCCAGAGCCTGAGATAGGCCTGTGTTGGAGGAAGAGACTCCCTTTCCTGTTCTCTCTCCCCTGAGTTCTTGGGTTCTCAAAAAAAAAAGAATCAGAGAAGACACTAACCAGAGCACATATACCTTCCTTCCCTCTCATCCCAAATCTCTGGAGACAAGAATAAAGTATGCTTTATAAAAGAAAACAATCCTTACCTGGGTCAGATAACCAGAAAGGGTGCTTAAAGGACCCAAAACTTATAAGACACCATGAGGGATGAGGTCAGATGGTGACTGAGCCCGCATCCACAGTGTCTTTGTCTGTTTTGTGTTGCTACAACAAAATACCACAGACTGGGTGCCTTATAAACACTAGAAGTTTGTTTCACTCGTGATCTGGAGGCTGGGAAGTCCAAGATCAAGAAGCCACATCTGGTGAGGGCCTTCTTGCTGTGTCATAACAGGATGGAAGCCATCACATGTGTGAGAGAGAGTGAGAGAAGGTGCCAAACTCACTCTTCATAAGGGCCCACTCTTGAGATAATAAGCCCATTCCCCAGATAACAACATTAATCCATTCATGAGGGTAGACCCCTCATGCCACAATCACTTCTTAAAGTTTCCATCTCTCAACACTGTTGCATTGGGGATTATGTTTCCAACACATCACTTTTGGGGGACACATTCAAACCATAACACACAGACAGCCTACTCTGCACAGCCTTGCCTGCCCAATACCACCCCTGTCATTAGACTGTAATAAAGGGGAAATAGCAGTCAGACAACCTTCAATACAAAAGTGAAAGGGACATCAACAAAAGCATAAGTATTTAAAGAAGACTATAATCCATCAGAAAAAAAAAAGCTTCAAACACACAAATAGAAAAATAAATTATCCAGAAAAAGAATTAGGAAGAAACAGAAGATAATCTTTAAATAGACATAATTAAACTGATACCAATCATAGGTATACATTCTTTTACAAATAGAAATTTAAAATGTTTAAAGTAAAAACTACTAAAAAAAGAACAAGTAAAATCTTCAAGGCATGAGAGAGGATAGGATTAATTTTTTTAGAAAAAGAAAAAGAAAATAAATTAAAAGAACTTAAAATCCTATACTCAACCAAACTATCATTCAAGTGTGAGGAAAAAGAAAACTGTTTCCAGTTATGTCATGGTAAATTAGATTGTTGCTTCCAATTATTCACTTTCTCCCTCCACTGTGGGACCCTATCAACCCCACCCCATTGGTTTTGGGCTTGGCCAGGTGACTTGCTTTGGCCAATGATATGTGAGCAAAAATTGGGGCGTGTCTGCATGGTTTTGCTGGCCTCTCGAGCTCCTGTGATTTGCCATGAGAAGAATATGCCCCAGGGAGCCACTGCTCCCAGAACCAGACACATGGAACAGACTCAAATTCAACTTACAGCTGGAGCTAAGCCCAGTCAAGCCCAACCAGAAGCAGACAAATTCCAGCTGACCCAAAGAGCCACAAACAAGGAAAATATATGTTTGCCATTATAAGTCACAAAGTCGTGTATTAATTATTAGATGGCATTAATGCAGCAACACCTGATTAATAGGGAAATAGGAAGTTTAATATTCAGGCACCTTCTCTGAAAGAATTACTAAAGGATAGCCTACAGCAAAATGCAGTATGATCCAAGAGACTGTCGGGGAATTTTTTTTTAAGTGGTAAGAAAAGAGCAATATATACTTACATCTAAACAACTATCAATCACAAGAAAAGACAATACTCTTGATGATCATTCCATATAATCTTAAATGAGAACTGGTGATGGCAGGGGAAATAAAAGTTAAGATTCTTGTTTTATTCAGACAATACAGTAAACAATGAGGAATATAGATGAAATTAAATTGACACTGAGAGAGGAAATAAGTGTCAATGTATAAATTACAGTTTTAGGAATAATCACTAGAAAAAAATGTATAATTGAGATATATTGCTTTCAAACCATTCGAATAAAAATGAAAGCAGCAAAAAGAAGAAAATCCAACAGAAGGTAAGAAGTTGTTTGGTTTTTTTTTTAATCAAAAAGGAGAAGAACCAGTAGCATTTTAGAGATAAAGTAACATGGCAAAAATAAATTCTAACAGATCAGTGACCAGTACAATTTCTCTGTAAAGGTAGAAATTCTGAGAATGAGGGACACTCCTGAAATAAAATAATGCAAGAAGGCTAAAGCAAAACAAACCAAAAGGCATCACAGGCAAACACTAACAAATAGATACCAGATCAATAATGTTAATTTCAGACAACAGAGTTCAAAGATAAAAGCATCAAAGGAGACAAATAAAAATATTTCTAATTTAAAAAAGGTAGAATCTATATAAAAATCATCTACCTTTAAGCAGCTAACAACTAATTCCAAAATATTTAATTTAAAAACTGATGATAGAAAGACAAGAAATGGATGAGTCCATCTCACATGGATATTTTAACCCACTTCTTTCAGAAATCAACAGATTGAATATACCCAAAAAAGTAATAATTTAGAAGATTTTTAAAATATTACCAACAGAAATTATTTAATAGAGAACTTTGTATCCAGCAAGCAGAAAATACACATAAATTGCAAACACACAAAACCTGTCCAAAAATGGATCACTATCAACTTCAAAGAAAACCTCGGCAGGTTTCTCAAAGCAGAAATCTCACAGGGCACCTTCACCAAACACAATTTCATAAAATATAAATTAATAGCAAAAGAAGAAACAAAAATCCAATTCATTTGAGAACTTTAAAACAACCTTTTAAAAAACAGTAAAACTCAAACAGGATTATAAACTATTTTAAAACAAACACAGGGCAATGCATATCAAAACCCATAAATTGCAGTCAGACAGATATTCTGAAAAAAACTTAGTCTTTAATGCAAATATTAGATAATTCTAAAAATGAAAATAAATGCATAGAACATTCAACTCAAAAAGAAAAAAAACAAGGAAGTGTAGAATTAATAAATACAAAAACATAAATAAAGTTGAGGTAATAAAGTAGTAGAGTTGCTCAATAAAATAAAAAGTGCTTTTCTTGAAAACTAGATCAAAAACTAGATAAATAACTCTAAATAGGAGAGAGGAGTCAACAATGTATAATTTAGGAGTGCGTGTGGGTGTAGATACGGGTATGTAAGCCACTGAACGTGAAAGTGATGGGATCTCAGGTCAGTGGGAAATTAAAGTTTGGTAGGGCACAGTGGCTCATGCCAGTAATCCCAGCACTTTGGGAGGCTGAGGCAGTAGGATTGCTTGAGCACAGGGGTTTGAGACCAGCCTGGACAACATAGCAAGATCCCATCTCTACCAAAAAAAAAAAAAAAAAAACTAAGAAGAAGCCAGGCATGGTGATGCAAACCTGTAGTCCTAACTACTTGGGAGGCCGAGGCAGGAGGATAGCTTGAGCCCAGTAGTTCGAGGCTGCAGTGAGCTATGATCATGCCACTAAACCTCAGCCTGGTGACACAGTAACACCTTGTCTCTAAAGTTAAGAAATAAAAATAAAATTTGGGGATTCAATCCAGTATCTATGTGGGACAAAACAAAGTTTAGATTCCTACCTCACACCATACACACAAAAATGAATTTTAAGTGAATTAAAGAACAAACATAAAATACACACTATAGAAGCATTACAAAAAAACTGTAAGATCACATTTTGGTAAATCTAGAGTAGAGTAGAAATGCAATGCAACAGCTATAAAGAAAAGGACTACATACATATCTCAATTATGTACAACAACAAAAATAGAGTTTGAAAACAACAGATTGGAACAAAAAAATTTGCAACACACATTGTCAATAAAGAATTAGTGTCCAAAATTTATAGGCAATTTCATAAGAAAACAGTAATAATCCTCTTTTTAAAATAGGAGGATGTGGATAGGCAATTTACACAAAGAGAAACCCGCACAAAGTAGCTAAGAGGATACCCAACCTTGCTAGTCCCTGCACTAAGGGCTACCACCTCCAACTGGCTGTGGGGAAGAAAGAAGGAAGAGGCAATCACAAAGTCTTGGACTTGAACTCTTTTAGGAGAATTGCAAAACAGTGATGAAGGAAAAGAACTTCAGTGGGTTAAAAGGAGGCATTATCCAAAGATATCTACCACCAAAATCTGAATCTTGACTTAAAGGTCCTCTATGATTTACCAGAAGTTGTGCCTCAAAATTTCTGGAACTTTGAGAGAAGCACAAATTCTTTTATGTTTCCATCTGCACCAAAAACAAGATCACACATTGTTTTCCTTTTTGGATCACACATTCCGAAGCCAATCTTAGGTATACTCTTCAAAACTCACCCACATGTCAATCAGGCACAAGGCTTTTTTCTGGCAAAAAGCACCCAGGTCTTCTTCCCAGGCATGCAACATAAAACCTAGTCAATGTCTTAGAAACTACAAACCCAGGCTTACCCACAAAAACACCACCCCTGGGGGCCCAAGCCAGCAGAGCCCTGGTGGAGAGCTCTCAACCATGTGATGCATTAAAAGCTAAGCTAAGGGGCAGAATTACCAGCTAACAATCAAGAGAACATCAGGGGATATGGACCAGGACGGGGGATGACATGATAGTTATATTGGTATTCACAGCAAGTCACGTGGCACCCGAGGGCATGACAGCCTGCCTTAGAGACGAGCACTCACCTTCATGAATTACCACATTTAACCATCCTATTGTTTTAATTGTGATAAAATACATGTAACCCAGTAGTTCACCATCTGAGCTATTTTTAAGTGTACTGTTCAGTGGCATGAAGTACATTCACATTATTGTGTAACAATCACCACCATCTATGATGGGTTTCATCATCCCATTTGAAACTCCATACCCATTAAACATTGGCTCCCTACTCCCCTCTCCCTGCCTGCCCCTGGCAACCACCATTCTACTTTCTGTCTCTATGAATTTGACAACTCTAGATACCACAAATAAGTGGAAGCATATAGTATCTGTCTTTTTGTGACTGGCTTATCTCACTCAGCATAATATCCTCAAGGTTCATCCATGCTGTTGCATATGTCAAAGTGTCTTTTCTTTTTAAAGCTTAATTGTTTTCCATTTTATGGACATACCACATTGTTTATCCATTTATCCATCTATGGACACTTGTGTTGCTTCCACCTTCTGGCTATTAAGAAACCATCCTATTTCCCATGGCATTCAGAAGATTCCACAGCCTTCTAGTAATTCATTGCAAAGCCTTGCAGTAAGCTTTGTTTTTCCCAAGTTAGTCTCATGTCTAACCTAAGTCCTCTGTGTTGTCGTAAGGCCGTCTATTCCTTGTGTTCACTGAAGGCTCTGCCTGGCTCTACCACTTACCAGTTGAGGGCCTTGAGCAGCAGCCTTCGCCCTCCACCTTTCTGCACCTTAGTTCTGTCATTGGTAAAAGGGAAAATCCTCGCAGAGCTTTGGGTAATCCTAAGAGAGCTAATGCACATACAGCACCTGACCCTGGGCCTGACACATAGTAGGGGTGCAATATTGGTATCACACTGAAAGAAGCATGATTTGTAGATTTTTTAAAAGTTGTCAATCTTCTGTACTCAATCTAAGTTCTTTGAACTCTTTCAGATGCCATGTTTTCTAGTCAAGCCCGCAGGGGTGTGTGTGTGTGTGTGTGTGTGTGTGTGTGTACATGGACACATGTGTGTTGCCACTGAGCCACTTTCACACAGATGCCAGCTGAGGCATCCATTCTCCCTTCCTTCCACAGGCTGGCTCAGAGCTGAGATGCAGGGCCATGCTGTCAGAGCCAGTCAGTCTGAGGGCACAGATTAGCATAATTTCAGCCACCTCGAGGATCCACATCTCTCCACATCTCACCACCTAAACATCCAGAAACTCCCTCTCGGCTAGTGCTGAAGGAAGAGAACTTCAGTCAGCCTCTCCCCTCTCTTCCTCTTCGCCTTTGGGGCAAGTCTTTCCTCGAGATGAGGGAGCTCTCAACCCCAAGGCCAATGCATTCTGAATGAGGATGATGATTGTGATGGTATGGTAGGAAGAATAGCTGCCCTACAAAGATATCTGCCTAATAATTCCTAGAACCTGAGTATAAAGATATTACGGGTTCCAGAATAATAGGTTACTGGTTATGTGACAAAAAGGAATAAGGTTGCAGAAGGAATTAAGGTTGTTAATCAGCTGACAGAGTGATTACTCTGGATTACCTAGTGGGCCCAACTGAATCACCTGAGCTATTAAAAACAAAAGAGGGATCAGGCATGGTGGCTCCTGCCTGTAATCCCAGGGCCAAGGGAGGCCAAGGCAGAAGAATTCCTTGAGGCCAGGAGTTCAAGGCCAGCCTAGGCAACCCCATAGTAAGACCCCACCTCTACAATAAAAATAAAAAATAAAAAAAAGATAGAGCAGCAGAAGAGTTGGTCAGAGATGTAATGAGAAGGGCTCAACCCACCATTGTTGGCTTTGAAGATGGGGGAAGGAAGCCACAAGCCAAGAAATGTGATGGCCTCCAGAAGCTGGGAATGGCCCTCAGTCTACAGCGAGCAAGAAAATGGAGAATTCAGTCCTACAACCACACGGAACTGAGTTCTGCAAATAACCCAGATAAACAAGGAAAGAGATTCTCCCCTAGAGTCTCCAGAAAGAAACATAGGTCTGTCAACACCTTGATTTTCACATAGTGAGATCCATGTTGTACTTCTGACCTCCAGAATGGTAAGATGGTAGATCTGTGTTGTTTTATGTCACAGAGTTTGTGATGATTTGTTACTGCAACAATAGAAAGTAATACCTATGGTCATAATGCATGCATTGCATCAGGCCTTTGCTGAAAGCTTTACATGCCTGGTCTTGTTCAATCTTCACTACAGTCCTGTTAGGTAACTATTGCTGTCGTCACCTCCATTATATGGAAGGGGAGTGTATTCATTTGCTAGGGCTGTCATAGCAAACGACTGCAGACCTTGTCTCCAAGTACAGCTACATTCTGAGGTACTGGGGGTTAAGACTTCAACATATGGATTTGGGAGGATACAATTCAGCCCATAACAGGGATACAGTGTCATAGAGAAGCTGTGTCCCTTTTGCAAGTTCATACAGCCACAGTCCCTAAATGGAAAGTAGGGATTGGATCCCAAATTGGTTGGACCCCAGAGGTTGTCCATTAGCTACTATGCAATGATGCCTCCCCAGGTCCCCAGTCCCAGTACAGAGCCTCTGAATAACTCCTAGTCCCCTGAAGAACACACAGGCGTGCATGCACACACACACATTAGTAACATCCTGACCATCTTTTCCTACTCCATTTCCCTGCTGATCCAGGTGCCTTTTCACAGGAATGTCTGCTTGTGTTGTTTGATTATAAAGTCACTCATAATTTTTGGTTGTCTAGGTTCTTGTAACACTTGACATAAACTAGAAAAGCAAGTTTCCAAGTTCAGCAGCTACTCCAACAGGAAAAAACATCATGTGGAAGGTTGGTGTGCTGCTTAAGAAAGGGTGAGAACCAAAGTTCACACCCCTGCCACTCCCTACCATAGAAAATCAAACCCATAGGCGCCAACAAAATTAATCATCTTAAGAATCCTTGTGTTAAAAGTCAAGGAAATCAGATATAAATCTAGAATAAAAGACTGGTTAATAAAGGGAGAAAAAAAAAAACGAATCCTCAACAGGTAATGTGGTTTCTTTTACTATCTGATGAAGGTCAAGATGATGTTATAAAAATAGTGAATTCACACTAAGGAGGCACAATATCTGACATTTCTTTGTCACCAATTCTCAGAATTCTAACATGGAACAACAATCATCATAATAAACTGTGGTTTTGTGAACTGTGACCTATTGAATTACTAGAGGGGTTTCACCCAATGTTAACCCCTCAATGACTTTTTTTTTTTTTTGTATCTGATGTTATTGTCTCCATTTGCAAAGGGCAGTTATGACAGAGCAATTGTGACCCAGGGTGAGCACCCATGTGTCATCCCTGGCAGATTTCTGCCTTCTCATAGGACTTTGCTGAGGTCTCCAAAGGAAACTTCTCTTTTTATTTAAAAGAAGTAAATCTGGGCCGGGCGCGGTGGCTCACGCCTGTAATCCCAGCACTTTGGGAGGCCGAGGCGGGCGGATCACGAGGTCAGGAGATCGAGACCATCCCGGCTAAAAAAACGGTGAAACCCAGTCTCTACTAAAAATACAAAAAATTAGCCGGGCGTAGTGGCGGGCGCCTGTAGTCCCAGCTACTCGGGAGGCTGAGGCAGGAGAATGGCGTGAACCCGGGAGGCGGAGCTTGCAGTGAGCCGAGATCCCGCCACTGCACTCCAGCCTGGGCGACAGAGCGAGACTCCGTCTCAAAAAAAAAAAAAAAAAAAAAAAAAGAAGAAGTAAATCTGCAATTTTGTGAAATGTAGGCAAGCCCAGGAATGAAGGACCATTCAGTTCAGCAAATAACTGACTGGGAAAGAGTTCCTTAAAGAGTACAACAGTGTTTTCCAGGAAGCCCACATCTGCAACCTCAGCTGGGAACCATAAGGCATCAGAAGAGGCAGCATTCCCACTTTACATTCTTCCTATGATTCCTGAAGTAGAGAGAGAAATCAGGATTTGACTTGTTGCTCAAACGCCACTAAGCCAAGAAAAAAGGAGGAAATTGATCTTGACTATTTACCATGTCTCAGAGGCTGCGGAAGCAACAACCATGAACATGTATTGAGTTAGAAACTCTGCTACGGCTATTATGAGCATCATCTCATTTGATATTTCTCACAGGGATGTCATAAGTCCCTAATATGCAGAAAGAGAAGCAGAGACCAAGACAGGTTTCTGTTCTAAGGTATCTCTGTTAGTGGACAATGAAGTCCAGATTTGAAGGTGGCAGCCAGGAGCTTTCACATATGCCTGCTGCTGTAATTGTTACAGATGAGGAATCTTTGTCACTGATTTACCAAAAAGTCCACCCAAGGTCACCCAACTGGAAAGCTGGAGTTGAGGCTGGAAACCACACTGTCTTTTCCCCAAATAAAGAAGGTTCAAGGAAGGTGGATTGGGTATCAGAAAAATCTTTTATCAAAAGGATATCCAACTTGAAAAGTTTGGTAGCAATGGTAGCCATGGATTTACCCTGTGGCGGGCTGAGTAGGTGGGGCAGTCAAGGCCTTACAAGTTTTCAAGGGACTGGACCAAGGAAAATTCAAGAAGGCAAAAGAGGAACTGCTGCTGCTGCTGCTGAGAGCTGCAGATAAGAGGCTGAGTGAGCTCTGCTGTGTGAGCTGACAAGAGCCCAAGCACACCCCAAATCACACCTGCCCACAATGCCCTCCCAAATGAGTAAGTCTTCCTCTTGCATGGGAACCTAATTGCCTTGTGAGTATGAGGAGCCTGGTATCCAGAACCAGGAATGCAGAGGATGGGGGTGAGCAGGGGAAAGCGGAAGCACAGCCAGAAGAGGGAAGCTGAGCCAAGCACCTTCCTCCTTCTAATTTTCTCTTCCCACAGGTGAATAACTTGCACTGAAGGAAAAGTTTCTGAGCAGTTCTGGTTTCACACTTTTTTAAAACAATCTCTTTCCCATCATTAAGTATAAACTTCATGGCCAGGCACGGTGGCTCACGCCTGTAAACCCAGCACTTTGTGTGGCCGAGGTGGGCGGATCACGAGGTCAGGAGATCGAGACCATCCTGGCTGACACAGTGAAACCCCATCTCTACTAAAAACACAAAAAATTAGCCGGGCGCGGTGGCGGGCGCCTGTAGTCCCAGCTACTCAGGAGGCTGAGGCAGGAGAATGGCGTGAATCCAGGAGGCAGAGCTTGCAGTGAGCCGAGATCGCGCCACTGCACTCCAGCCTGGGTGACAGAGCGAGACTCTGTCTCAAAAAAAAAAAAAAAAACTTCATCTGGAGGAGGAAAAAATGTTTCCACTTGATAGGAAGAAGACTGTGCCATTAGAAGTAGAACTTCCAATGGAGGAACCCCCTTCATGATTCAATGAGAGCCTGCCATGGGTCAGATGTTACACCAGACACTGGGTAGACACATAGACAGGAAGAAGGCAGCAGACAAAAAGATGGATATGCAGGTGCGAAGCAAAGCAAAGGTGGTGACACAGAGCTAGAGGGAGCACAGGAAATGTCTGATTTGGGGTAGAACAGAGCAACCCTCATCATCTTCTTACTCCTGCACTGAAGTGAGGCACCCACAGAGAAAAAATTATGAGTTAGGCAAGTCTGTTTTGCCTGGAAGCCCTGGGACAGGCTGAGAAGCCACCAAAGGGGGCTGGCTTCAGTGCACAGAGATACTTTGTTTCAGATGTTGCACAGACTAGTAGAGCCAAAGGAGAACCTAAAGATGTTCCACACCAGTACTATCCTGTTACAGGTGAATAAATAACCTGAAGAAAGTGGCCCCAAGAGAGTTTCAGGGATGTGTTCAACAAAATGAAATGATTGCCAGATCAAAACTGAGGCCCACATATCTTTAATTTGGCCTAATCATTAATTTGGGCTGCTTCATTCATTTATTCCCTCATTGAAAAGATTACTGAAATATTTATTTGTAACATTTACAGAGTACAAATGATATGCTGAGAATTAGGCTTGTTTTATATTTTTATCTGTATAACAAAGAGACCTAAATTTCATATGGAAATGAACTTCATTACTGCTATTTCAAATTTATAAATCATCAAAAGTGTTGCAATTTTTTTGTCACTTGGTATTTCCCCGCTTTGATCTCAATATAACTACCTACTGCCAAAAGGATCCAAGAGAATACATGTGAAACATAGACAGCACCTTCTGCAGCGTACTATAATAAAATCAGAGAAAACTAAAGACAAAAGAAAATATTAAAAGTAGCTAGAGGGAGGAAAACATATTTTCTTCAAAGGAGCAACAGTGAGACTTACGGTTAACTTTCCAGTAGGAACAATGGAATGGTTTTTCTTTAAGGCTGAAAGAAAATAGCTCACAACATAGGAAAACATTGTATATTGGGTAAATGTAGTTAAATATTGGTTGTACAAAACAATAATGATGATGGCTTACAGAAACTAAAATATATTTAGAATTAAAATTCATGATTACTATAAGAGCATAAAGGCATGAGGGGGTAAATAAAGTTAAAGTGTTCTAAGGTTATAACATTGACTGAGAAATGGTAAAAATATTCATTTGTATTTGGATGTAATTGCCCAAGGTTTAAAAAACTAATGAGTTAATGCAAAGTGAATATCAAGTGATAAAAATACTTTATTAATACAAAAAGAGGCAGGAAGAGAGAGAAAAAGAAATGTAAAACAGATTATATGAACAGGAAAATAAGACATATGTCTGTGTTTCACATGTATTCTCTTGGATCCTTTTGGCAGTAGGTAGTTATATTGAGATCAAAGCAGGGAAATACCAAGTGACAAAAATATTGCAACACTTTTGATGATTTGTACATTTGAAATAGCAATAATGAAGTTCATTTCCATATGAACCCTAGGTTCTTTTGTTATAGAGATAAAAATATAACAGAATTTATCTATTCTAGGTGGTGGCTTACGCTTGTAATCCCAGCACTTTGGGAAGCCAAGGCAGGTGGATTACCTGAGATCAGGAGTTCAAGACCAGCCTGGCCAACATGGCAAAACCTCATCTCTACTAAAAATATAAAAATTAACCAGGCATGGTGGCATGCGCCTGTAGTCCCAGCTACTTGGGAGGCTGAGGCAGGAGCATCACTTGAACCCAGGAGGCGGAGGTTACAGTGAGCCAAGATCGCATCACTGCACTCTAGCCTGGGTAACATAGTGAGACTCCATCTCAAAAAAAAAAAAAAGAAAAAAAGAAATATATATATATATATATATATAATAAAATAAGACATAGTTATATAGGAGATAAATAAAATAAGTCAAAATACTGAGAAGACATCAGCAAAAACAGAAGAGTAATGAATTCCAAAAATTTCCCCTCCATAAAAGCAATAAAAAATGGGTAAAAATTCTCAAAATCAACTTTTTCCAGAAGTCTGAAAATTAACCAAAAGCTCCCAGCAACCCAGGGAGAATTTAATCAAGAAAAATTGCTGAATCTCATAATGAAAAGCAAGCCTTGTGGCAATTGAACATACTCTAGTCTCATCCTTTACTTCCCAGCTCTGTGGCAACCTTGAAAATTAACAGCTACATTCCCAGTGCCTGAGAGAGTATTATGGGTCTAGAGTACTTTAAAAGGCTTAATCCCAACAAAAAGCTATTAATTGGCCTATTTGGTGTTTCCCTGGCATATACTGGAAAGGTGTCACTCTAACTTTCTTCTCTTCAGAGGCCTTTGTTGAATATTTTTTAATTACAGCTACCTGAGGTAATAGATAATAGTTGGACCAAACAATAGGCTAACCAAAAAACTTAAAAGGAAAAGCTGAGAAGTGAGATGTCTATATGGGCTTTGAAAAGCTCCCACACAGTCCTGGGAATCTACAAGGAGTGTGTGTGTGCTCAGGAAAATACCTGAGAAAGCTCTTATCTCTCACTTCTAACTGACCTTGAGTCTCTCCAAGCAAGAAGTGAAGGCTAAGGCATAGTGGTCAACTACCTGGCTGACCGTTAAGCAGCGTCCCGACACCCACAGAGAAATGCTCAGCAGAAACACAAAGACTGGAGACTTACTGGTTACTCATTTAAAGAAATCTTTGTCAAGTTATTAGCCAGCCACCATGTAAAGCAAGTAGAGACTTCAGTGGCCACATACTACAAAGCACACACTTTAACTAATCAGTTCATAAAAATCACTAAACAAACAAACAACAACTAAGACAAGAAGCTACAACAACAAAACTAAAGAAAACATTATTTCCAGAGTTGCCACACTGTATCATTTGAAATGTCCAATTTTCAAAACAAAAAAAAAGGGGTGGGGAGAGATGTTCAAAGACACAAAAAAAAGAATAACTGGTATGCAGAAAAAACAGAAATTAATAGAAACTGTCCATGTGGAAACCCAGGCATTGGAATTACTAGACAATCAGCTATTTTAAATCAGCTATCCTCACTTAAAAATCAAAATAGCTATGTTTAAAGAACTAAAGGAAAGCATAAAAACAATGCCTTAACAAATAGATAGTATCAATAAAGAGATTATTTTATTATTAATTATTAAAAGAAATTAAATAGAAACACTGGAGTTGAAAAGTACCATAACTGAAATGAAAAATGATTACAAGAAATAAAGAGCAAAATGAGCAGGCAGAAAAAAAGAATCTGCAAATTTGAAGGTATGTCAATTGAGATAATCCAGTATGAGGAACAGAAAGAAAAAAGAATAGAGAAAAATGAACAGAGTGCAGTGACTTCTGGGATACCGTCAAGCATACTATCAAATGTACAGTGGGTACCCCAGAAGGAGAAGATAAAGAGAATGTGTAAAAACAATATTTAAACAAACAGGCCAAAGACCTCCCAAATTTTATGAAAAATTTTAATCTACACATATGAGAAGCTACAAGAACTACAAATAAGATAAACTCAAATATACCCCAACCAAGATGTAAGATAATGACATGGTTGAAAGCTCAAGACAGAGAGAAATCTTAAAAGCAGCAACAGAGAAGTGACTCGTCATATATAAAGATTTGCCAATAAGATTAATAGCTAATTTATCATCGGAAACCATGGAGGCTCAAAGGCAGTGAGATTACATATTCAAAGAGCTGAAAGAAAAAATTGGCAACTAAGAATTCTATATCTAGCAAAACTATCCTTTAAAAACGAAGAAATTAAGATATCCAACATAAACCAAAACTGACAGGGCTTGTCCTTAGCTCATCTGCTTTATAAGAAATATTAAATGGAGTTCCACAGGCTGAAATGAAATTAAAGTAGCTTGAGTCCACAAGCAGAAATAAAGAGCACTGGCAAAGGTAAATACATAGATAAATGTAAAAGAGAGTATAATTGAATGTTTGCATATAATTCCTTTTTTTTATCTGATTTGAGAAACAACTGCATAATGCAATAATTGTAAATTTAAGTTGATGGACATACAATGTATAAAGATGTAATTTGTGGCAATAAGAGCACAAAGAAGCAAATGAGACTATACAGGAGCAAAGGTTTTGTATACCATCGAAATTGAGTAGGTATTAATCTAATTGTTATAAATTAGATTGTTATAAATTAAGATGTTAATGTTAATCCCCAGGACAACCACTAAGAAAATTACATAGATATATATATGTGGGTGTGTATATATATAATTATACTTATATATAATTATGTATATTATATATTTATACATATATATTATATATGTGTATATATACACACACATATATATACAAACATTTTATATATAAATAAATATGTATTTATTTATATTTGTGGGACTCCCACTATGCATTTGTAAACGCACATGTATATATGTTTACTAGAAACACACACACATATTAAAAGAAATTACAAGTGTATTAAATTGGTACTCTAGAAAATATTTAACAAAAAGGGAATGCAGCAATGGAGAAACTGAGGGGTAAAAATACATAAGACATATAGAAAACAAATAGCAAAAATGGCAAACCTAAATACTACCTTATTAGTAATTATATTATGTATAAATGGGTTAATCTCTCCTATTAGGTTGAGATTGGAAGAATTGTTTTCTCAATGAGCCAAATATATGTTGAATACAAGATACATTCTTTAAAGACACAAATAGGTTGAAAATAAAAGAATGGAAAAAGATACACCATGCAAACAGTAACCCAAGGAAAGCTGAGTGGCTATACTAATATTTTTAAAATAATCTTTACGAAAACAATTGTTGTTACTGTAGTGATAGAACATTTAGAAAGATAAAAGCGTCAATCAACCAAGAAGATATAACAATTATACACGTATATGCATCTAACAATATACCCATAAAATACATGAAGCAAGAAATGATTGAGTTGAAAGGAGAAATAGACAATTCAATAATAATAGAAAGTTCAATACTCCACTTTCTTTTTTTTTTCCAATCACCATAAGATTCAAGATCCAACAATAGCTTACAATGAGGTAGAACTATGTATATTTCAACCTGAATCTATATATATTTCAACCTGAATTTTTAAAAATCCAGTTTCAATAATGTATAGAACAACCAGACAGAAGATCTTCAAAGAAATATAAGACATTAACAACAGTATAAGCAAACTAGTCTTATGTCTATAAAGCACTCCATGCATTCAATAGCTAAAGAATACTCCCTTCGGCTGGGCTCAGTGGCTTACGCCTGTAATCCCAGCACTTTGGGAGGCCAGAGCAGGTGGATCACCTGAGGTCAGGAGTTTGAGACCAGCCTGACCAACATGGTGAAACCCAATCTCTACTAAAAATACAAAAATTAGCTGGGCATGGTGGCAGGTGCCTGTAAGCCCAGCTACTCGGGAGGCTGAGGCAGGAGAATTGCTTAGACCCGGGAAGCAGAGGCTGCAGTGAACTGAGATCATGCCATTGCACTCCAGCCTGGGCAACAGAGCAAGACTCCATCTCAATAAAAAAAAGAATACTCCCTTCATCAAATGGTATTGAGATAGCAGGATATCCACACAAAAAAAAAATAAAGTTGGACCCTTTCCTCACTCAATATACAAAAATTAATTCAAAATATATCAACAACCTGAATACAATAAACTATAAAACTAGACAAAAACATAGGTGTAAGTCTTCATAATATTGGATTAAGCAATGGCTTATTGACTATGACACTGAAAACACAAGCAACTGAAGAAAAAATAAATTAATCAGAATTTATTAAAATTAAAAACTTTTGTGTGTTGAAGTACACTATCAAGAAAATGAAAAAACAATGCACATAGTAGGGAAAAATTATATATCTAATAATAGTCTATTATTTAGAATATATAAAGAACACTTATATAGCTAAAAAGACAAGTTACACAATTTAAAAGTGAAAAAAATGATTTGAATAAAACTGTTTCCAAAGAAGATATACAAATGCCAATAAGCACAAGCACATGAAAAAATGTTCAACATCATCAGAGATATGCAAATCAAAACCACAATGAGACACCACTTTACAACCTTTAAGATGGCTTTTATTTTTAAAAAAAATGCTAAGGAAGATAATCATTGGTGAAGCTGTGGAGAGTTGGAACCCTCATACATTTCTGGTGGGAATGTAAAGAGCTCCAGCTACTATAAAAGCAGTTTGGCAGTTTCTCAAAAAGCTAAACATTAAATTACCATATGATCCAGCAATTCAATCCTAGGTATAAATCAAAAGGAATTAAAAACAGAAACTTGAACAGATATTTTTATGTCAATGTTCATTGCAGCATTATTCACAATAGCCAAAATTTACAAACAACTTAATTGCTCATTAACAGACAAATGAGAGAATAAAATAAGTTGTACACATACAATGGAATATTATTAAGCCACAAAAAGGAATGAAGTTTTAATACATGCTACAACATGGGTGAACACTGAAGACATGATACCAAGTTTAAAAAACAGAAACAAGGCCGAGTATGGTGACTCACACCTGTAATCCCAGCACTTTGGGAGGCCGAGGCAGGCGGATCACCTGAGGTCTGGAATTCGAGACCAGCCTGACAAACATGGAGAAACCCCATCTCTACTAAAAATACAAAATTAGCCGGGCGTGGTGGTGCATCTCTGTAATCCCAGCTATTCGGGAGGCTGAGGCAGGAGAATCACTTAAACCTGGGAGGTGGAGGTTGTGGTGAGCCAAGATTGTGCCATTGCACTCCAGCCTGGGCAACAAGAGTGAAACTCCATCTCAGAAAAAAATAAAAATAAAAATAAACAGGAACAAAAGGACAAATAATAGGCAAATTTATAGAGACAGAAGATAAATTAGAGGTTATTGATGGGATTGGGGGAGGAAAAATGGGAAGTTATCACCCAATGGTTACAGAATTTGTTAGGAATCATGAAAAAGTTCTGGAAATAGAAGTGATGATGGTGCAACATTGAGAATGTTATTTTTGCTTTAAAATGTTTAAAATGGTAAACTATGTTATACATATCTTACAATTTTTAAAAATTAATAATGCAATATATCAAAACTATTGAGTTATACACTTTAAACAGGTGAATTGTATGGTATGTGAATTATATCTCAATAGAGATGTTAAATTTTTTTAATTACAAAAGTACAAAATTTTACAGAGAGCCATAAAACATAACTGAGAAAAATTAAATGAGGCATAAATATTTGAAACTGCAGTTACATTTGCACCAACCTAATACATGGAAGGATGAACTATGTTCATGGATCAGAAGATTTTGTGATTCTGTATTGTAAAAGTATTGATTCTCCCCTAATCATCTATAACTGCAATGCCATTCTAATCAAAATCTCAGCATGGTGGTGGTGTGTGTGTGTGTGTGTGTGTGTGTGTGTGTGTGTAATGTGACAAGCTGATTCTAAAATATTTAGAAACACACAGCTCCAAGAATAGCCAAGATAATCTTGCAGGGGAACAAGGTTGGAGGATTTATACCGCAGATAAACTACAGTAGTTAAGACAGTGTGGTTTCTCATAAAAGAGTCAACAAATAGATATATTGTACAGAACAAGGAGTACAGAAACAGACCTTCACATATAAGTCCACTTGATTTACAGCAATGGTTCTATAGCAATATCCTAGACAAAGGATAAAAGTACATTATTTTTTCAATAAATGGTTTTGGTTCAATTGGATATATGAACGGAAAAAACAAAGCTTGATGCCTACCTCATACCATATACAAAAATCAATTTCCGTAGTACCATAAATCTAAATGTGAAAGGCAAATCAATAAAGTTTCTCTAACATTACATAGGAAAATAATTTTATAGCCTTGAGCTAGGCAAAGATTTCTCAAATAGGACACAAAATCGCCAACGAGTAAGTGAAAAATTGCTAAATTTCACTTCATTAAAATTAAGAATATTGAGAAAAAAGACACTATTCAGAAAGCAAAAAAGCAAATAATCTAGTAGGACAAAGTAACTGTAGCATAGGTATCCAACAAGGGACTCATATACAGGATATATAAAGAACATCTCTAAATCAGACAAGCTCTGATAACCCAATTTAAAATTGAGCAAATAATGTAAACAGGCCCTTCAAAAAAGGAGATATCCAAATGGCAAAAAAAATATGAAAAGGTACAGGACATTATTAATCATCAAAGAAATATAACTGAAGCCACAATGAGATACGACTACACACACTCCAGAAAATAAACTAATAATACCAAGTGTTGGTGAGGATGTTCAGCAAAGGAATATTCATATACTGCTAGTAGGATATAAGTTGGTTCAAGCACTTTTGACAACTATTAGACAGAATTTACTGAAGCTGAACAGTTGCAAACCTTATGACTCATCAGTTCCACTCCTAGGCACAGACTCAACAGAAATGCCTGCATATAGTCACCAAAAGGCATGTTCATAGTAGCGTTATTCATGGTAGTCAAAAACTGAAAACAACCCGAATGTCCATTAAAAAAGGATGGATGAATAAATCAAGTGTATGGATAAAATTTACACGATGGAGCCCTATACAACAATGGAAAAGAAAGTGCTACCACTGTCAACAATATGGAGGAATCTCACAGGCAGAATATCAATCAAAAGAAGCCAAGCTCAAAAGAATGAAACCATGCAGTTACATTTATACATAGTTTTGAAACAGCCAAAAATTAATCTATTGTGAGAAAAGTCAGGATACTGGCTAACGTTGAAGGAAGTAATGCTTATGAGGAGGCATGAGGCAGCATACTGAGTGCTTGCAATGTTCAATATCTATAGTTAGGTGGAATATAGACAAGTATGTTGATTCTGTAATAATTCATCATGGTGTGTGCACCGTTCACTGTGTATGTCAAAAGCTTTACCAAAGAAAACATTTGGAAGGCAAGGCAAGAGAGGTCATCCAGAAACTGCCAGAAGAAGTGTGCATAAAAAGCAGTCCAGGTGAGAGTGAGTCTAAGCAGAATCTGCAAGCAAAGTCAAAAAGCAAGACTGGATTCCTCTCTTATCACATTTTCCAGGAATCAAGTGCTTGGTCTTGCTGAAATGGAGCAGCTGCTATTCTGAGTATGAGAGAGAGACACTTAGAAGGGCTGACTTGGTCCTCATGGAAAACTCCATCACACTTGCCTCCTCTCATAGTTTTGAACCATCTTCAGTTCCTTCCTGATAGCACAAAAGGAAGAAATGTGCATGCATAGAGCTGACTGGAAAAAAAAAAGTGTCTCTGAAGATGACCAGGGAAAAATATTAGGCAGATTTCAGAAGGCAAGTGTGCAACACTGGAAGTCCAGCACACAATTCTCCTATATGTCAGAACTCAGCAGCACTGCTTCAGCCCTTCAGCAGCACTGCTAACTAGCACAGTTGAGTAAAGGATGAGTACAGTTGAGTGTCAGGATGTGCTCTACGCCCTTGATATGTATTAACTTGTTTAATCCTCACAACAAGCCTATGAAGCATAGTTTACCATCATCATTCCATTTGACAGAGGAGGATATTAAAGTACAAAACTGTAGGCACCTTGACAAGCTCCCACTGCTGGTTAGTAGTGGAGCTGGCATTTGGCCTGTGCTCTCCACCTCTGCAAGATACCACCTCCTACTAACACAGACCCAGATTGCCTCTGCATATTACCAAAGGCAGCTTCTGCAAGACTGGGTTCATTTCCAGAGAAATATTCTTAGGGAATTCAAATCCAATGCACAAAATCCATGCACCTAGAAGGTAAAATGTGCCTTCCAGAGGAAAACGCTGGGATGCTGTTTGATTCCACCCCAGAGATATCACATTGCTAATAAAAAGACTAACCTCAAATTTTTACAGAAATGACCACAAACACAAAATTTCAACTATAAGTGATGTTCTTTTCAAGAGGTCCACACATGCTATGGAAAGTCTCATTCAATCCCAGGCTCAAGTCCTGCTCTTTATTCTATAAAACTGAACGACAATGGGCCCTAGCAAAAAGTTTTTCCCTTTATTGACAATGTCTCAAGGGCACACTTGTCCATCAAGAAAACCATCTGTATTGGGTTTCTAGCCATTACTCCAGGCAGTGCCTGTAGGACGGTGGCCTCCCAATGACACCACAGCCCCTGGAAGCCACTTGGCACTTGTCTTCAGAAGCAGCACATCAGCTTTGCAGGAGAGCTGTCCCCTGAGCTAGCACTGCTGAGACCCTTCCCTCTGCCCTCCCTCCTATCTGGAGTGTTCCAAAAGCAGGCTGACAGATGGGGGTTCCCGTGAGCATTCCTTGCTGCATCTAAGGGCTGGAATGTGGGCTGAAATGTGGGAGCACAGAGGTACACTGGCCCAGCGATCCCACCCTAACTCACTGGACCCTGAACCTGTCCACACTGGGAAGGTCTGCATTGAGGTATAGCACGGCTGCTTCTTCTGAACCACATCTTTATCATTTATGGGGATTTGTAAATATCAGCTTCCCATCTTGGCAAAGAAGTGAATGCACAATTTGGAATGTGTTATAGATCAGCTGGGTCATGGTTAACAAGCCCATTATTTTCTAGCACACAATCTATTCATGCCCCTCTCAAGTCATTCACAGTCCCCTCTCTGTTTACAACCGATGGAGTCAACTCCGTCAAAAACCACTATACCAATACCACTGAGACTAAAAAGAAATAACAAATGGACAATGTGGTTGCTAAGTGTGTGGGCCTGTTGTTGGTGCTGTGCCTAAGTGGAAGAATGGATGCTGTTGCCTCAAGGATCACCTTCCAGGGAAAGGAATATGGCTCTGCATACTTCTTTCCAGATCATTTCTACAAAATTTCAAGTCTCATCCATTGCAATACAAAGTTTTGTGTAAGTGGAAAATGTTGTCCAAAAAATGCAAGACAAGGACAAAATAATTGTTCCGGTTTCTAATAGTTCTATTAATCATGATATTTCATTCTGATGTTCATACTCCTACAGAGTTTCCATGCTCATAATCTAGTTTAGAGCCTGACACCTTCCTCCCACACTGGAAAAACTCTAGCCCCCCGCCCCCCTTGAATCCTGAAAAAGAAAAGGAAGGCAAGTTGTATTCTCACCCTTGGGCCTTCTGCCCACATCCCCTGTTCTGGTATTGGTGACCCAGGCACACATCAAGTTCTTGAGACAACTGCGGAATCATAGCCTGAGGGCTGAACAGCTGCTTGGCTGCCTGCGCTCAGTCAGTTTGGCTTTGAAGACCCTGCCTTAAAAACAGAGAGGTTGTGGATGGGGGAACTCTGCGCAGACCAACCCCAGCAGGGGAGTAGAGAGCCCACCTGAGCCTCATCCCACCTTCACTGATCACAGGCTGCAGGGCCTCAAAGAGGCGGCTCAGCATTTCTGAACCTCATTTTTCTCACCTGTAGCCCCAGGATAGTTAGATCTATTTACAGGGCTGTTGTGAGATTTAAATAAATTCACACATCAAGCCTAGCTCACTAACTAGCACAGAGCACCAGTCATACATCTTAGTGTGTAGCCGAGAAATGGCGTCAGATGGCTGTGCTGTGGGAGGAAGGCCTCTGCTGGGGGATGTTTCTCCCTGTTAACAAGCCTGCAAAGCCCACCCTCAGCTGCCTCTCACCCACCACCCCCACCACCTCCAAAGAAAGAGACCAGAGCTCTGGTATTTATTTCTGTTAGACAATAATGTTTCAGTGTTTCTCTGTCAATAAAGGTGCAGGTAATTCTTCAGCTTAATTAAAAGAAAATAATGCCCAGAACACACACAGATGAGCGCTCTGCTAATCCAGCCACAGCACCCTTGGTGACCGGCCTCAGACCACTCAATTTCTAGAGCAGCCCACAGGCCACAGATGCTACTTCATGGTCAGTATCTGCTCTGTTTCCTCCTCTGCAGACACTGGCTGTCAGCCTTGGACTTTTCATTTGTCATTGGGTTTTTCTCTGAAATATCACTCTTATTTATTTTGCCCCAACCTTTTGATATGCACAAGTTTCATTTTTCAGAAAGGAAAGATAAGCAAGACAGTCAACCCGAGGGAATGGTTTTGAGATTTTTACCCACATCTGATCAATATATGTTACAAATCATAAAAACTTTTAAGGCTTTGTTCCAAAAGAGAGAAAAGAAAAAAGAAAATCCAAGAATGCAACTGGGGAGACTCTTAAAAGAGTTCTGCAAGCCCCTCACTCCCAGAGGGTCTTCAGTTGGTGAAGAGATTTACAGATTTACAGATTTTATAGTAATTTTACTAAAGATCAGATTTCTTAAAAAAAACAAAAACAAAACAAAACAGAAACTCTACCCAAAAGTTTCCCTTTCTTCTATTGATGCTCATTGACAATGCTATGGATAAATCACTCTCCCAAGAGTCTTGCTCTGGGAATTTATTATTTCCGTTTTTTGCTTTTTAAGTCACTGTCATTTGCTACGGTATGTGCTACTGGCATTACTAGTGACCCCGCAATGGGCTTGATGTTCTCAGCCCTGCCACAGCTAGGATGCCCTGGGCCTGCCACCTCCACGAAGGCACTCAGACTTCCGCATGGAGTAGGCAGTTCTGACCCAAACCTTCATACAGAGCCTCAAAGTACAACCATTCCCAATTGGGTTTGTTTTTATTGTTGGTGAGGAGGTAGAGTATGGTGTGGGGGCAGAAAGGGGGTTCTGTTTTGGGGAAACACAAGGCAAGGCAGAAAGCCACTCAGAGAGGCAAATAGGAGAGCAGCCTCTTCTGCAACCATCACACTTGGAGCCCACCTTCCAGCTGCGGGGACACAGTATTGTTATCTGTCGAAAAGGCAAGATGACGTCTGGGTGTCCTTGATGGAGCTCTGTGAGGCCCTGGGCCTCAAGTGGGCTCTCCACTCCCCTGCTGGGGTCGGCGTGCAAAGGGAGTGTGCCTGCTCCTTGAGTGCCTCGTCTTTCCACAGCAAAGGACGACGTGCGTGGATTTGTTCTTTGTGCTCCCAGCAAGGGTTAATCCAAGTAATGACTGAAAATGTCTTTGCCAAATACGTAAAACACAATCTCAGCCCCAAGACTAAATGGTTTCAATTCCCCTCCTGCTCGACATCCTCCCTCCTGCCTTCACGATAACTCCAGGCGGACGAGCCGGGCAGGTTAGCAAGCGCCAGGACTCCATCCTCCCACAGCCGAAGCACAGACCTCTCTGCCTTTCTCAGAATAACCTTGCTGCTATTCTTACTTCTGTTCTGTGTCACCTTACTTGAAGCTTTCTTTATTTTATTACCAGCCAGAGGGCAAAGGTTTCTTCATGGAGTGCCATCACCCACCGCTGCTCCCGGGTGACAAGGTTATTCCTTTCTGCTGGCCAGAAAGCAGCCACGACAGCCATGGCCAGCCCTGAGCCAGGGTAGAGAAGGGTGTGTGTCTGTTACCCAGGAAATTGGGGATTTCTCTCTCTCTCTCTCTCTCTGTCTCTCGGTCTCTCTCTCTGTCTCTCTAGCTCCCGCTCCTTAAGCTTTCCAGGTGTCTTACACCATATCCACTCTACATTTCCACTGCATTTCCATTTCCATTTCCATTCCATACTACGTTTCCACTGGGGCTCATTGTTAATGAAGCCAGTTCCCAATAATGCTTTTATTCAGTGGACTCAGGCACAACTGGACTCCAACCCAGCTCCCGAGTGACCAGCTGAGACCCCAAAAAAAGTCACTCAACCTCTGAGCCTCAATTTCCCCGCCCAACAAATAAGGATGATACAGGTCTTACTTCCTGGGAGGGGGGCAGTGAGACAGAGTGTGGAAAGTGTTAGTACAGGGCCTGGCACATAGTCAATGCTCAGTAACAGCTCCAGAGGTGCTGGCTGGGGTAGGACCATCCATGCTATGGACAGTGACAGCTGGGGGCAAAAAGATGCATGGCATCTAGTCGAATCTTTTCACTTTACGATGAGGAAACCAAGGCCCAGGAATTGGAAATGAGTTTCCCAAGGGTACTCAGACATGTCTAGGCACAGGTGGGATTGGAAGTCGCACCTCCTCACGCCCCATGCTCTCCCTGGGACCAGGCTGCCTAAGGCCTGTCACACTGCTTCACTTTCGACAGCTGGAGGTCTTATACAGAGGGTCTCAGCAGTGAGACTGCCCAGGTGAGGATGAAGCAGAAGGAAACCTGGTTCAACTTGGCATGTACTTTATATCCAACCGATACTTCTGATCACAATTACCAACCAAGCTTCTAAGATTGAAATATGATAGTGTTTTCACAGCTCATTATTTTTCCTGAGAAACAATGAGTGTAATAAAGACAATTAAAATCAAGTCGATGGCTCAAGAAAAGCCATCAACTTTGGGAGGCCGAGGTGAGCAGATGGCTCAAGTTCAGGAGTTTGAGACCATCCTGGGCAACATGGTGAAACCCTATCTCTACAAAAAAATACAAAAATTAGCTGGCCATGGTGGTGCATGCCTGTAGTCCCAGCTACTCAGGAGGCTGGGGTGGGAGGATAATCTGAGGCCAGGAAGTTGAAGCTGCAGCAAGCCTTGATTGCACCACTGCACTCCAGTCTGGGCAACAGAGCAAGACCCTGTTTCAAAAAATAAAAAATGAAAAAAAAAAAAAGGCCATCAGGTCAAACCCATGGGCTGTTCAGACTAGGATGTATCACTCACAGTCCTGGACATGAGGTGTTTGGAGAGGGCTTTCCTCTCAGAACCAAAAGATCAGTGGTTCTGACCACTAACCTTTAAGTGAGTGGTCCCTAAAATGCCCATGTTTCCTCCATAGCTCATTAGGGCTCAGTCTTAGTGTCAGCAACTATCCTTCTCATCAATTTTCAAACTATTTGGATTTTCAAGCAAGACCTTCTCTCAAAACCGTAAATTCCAAGGCCAGGCGTGGTGGCTCACATCCATAATCCCAGCACTTTGGGAGGCCAGGGTGGGTGGGCCACTTGAGGTCAGGAGTTCGAGACCAGCCTGGCCAACATGGTGAAACCCTGTCTCTACTAAAAATAAAAAAATTAGGGGGCATAGTGGCATGCACCTGTAATCCCAGCTACTCAGGAAGCTGAGGCAGGAGAATCACTTGAGCCCAGGAGGCAGAGGCTGCAGTGAGCCAAGACTGCGCCACTGCACTCCAGCCTGGGCAACAGAGCAAGACTCTGATTCAAAAACCAAAACCAAACAACAACAACAACAAAAAAAAAAAACAGTAAATTCCAAATGTTGACCAAGTTTTCTGTCCTAGACTTCTGTGTTGAGCGTTTTAAGGACTGTCTGGGGTCTGCGTCCACAGCGTGGTGTTTGTGCGTACCCCTCACCGCAGCACCACTGCCACCCTGAATCCTGCCATTGCTTGATCTCCCATCAAGCCTTTCTCAGCCTTACCCACTGAATTTGGACAACAACCCTGAGAGGCAGGTCCTGTCAGTCCCCTCACCTTACTTAGGAAGCATATCAGGTTCTGAGAGGGCAGAGCCTCACCCAGCAAGGAGAAGCCAGGATCTGAACCCAGGACTCTGTGATGAACAAACTTGTGCTGTGGTCTCATCAAAATACCTGTTTGTCTTTGTCCATGGTTTCTGGCACAGAGCTTCCCAAACCCTTCGCATTTCCTGAGTGATTCCACTGTGCTTTGTTATTCAGAAACAGCCCCTTATACAACTCCTACCTGAGTTTGCACAAAGGAGGTGGCCCTCGCATAGTTTCAGGGGAGAGGCTGGCCACGTCAGAAAGGCCAAGCACGTGATTAGAGAGTTGGAGGTTTCAGCCCCACGCCCTGATCTCCAGGGAGCAGAGGGAGCTGAAAATTTGAGTTCAGTCACATGCCAATGATTTCATCACACATGCCTACTTAGTGAAACCCTGGACAAATACTGCAACAGTGAGGCTTGGGGACTTCCTGGCTGGTGAACATAATTGACTCTCTGGGAGGGTGCAGCACCCTGACTCCAGCGGGACAGAAGCTCCTGCACCTGCCGCTGTCCCCGCCCCCACCCCTGCCCCAGACCTTGCTGCCCTACATCTCTCCATCTGGCTGCTCATTTGTATCCATTATAATAAAACTGTAGTTGTAACCTGTAGCACATTCCTGAGCTCTGTGAGTCATTCTAGCAAACCATCCAACCAGAAGGGAGGTCATGGGAACTCTCAAATTTGTAGCCAAGTTGGACAGAAGTATGAGTAGCCTGGAGACCCAGGACTTACAGCTGGTGCCTGAAGTGAGGACAGTCTTGCCAAGCCCCTTCACCTGTGGGGTCTGCGCCAACTCTGGGTAGTTAACATCAGAATTGAACTGAGGTGTGGGACACCCAGTTGGTGCCAGAGAATCCGTGCTGGACGGACAGGCCCTTCACCCCTCCCAGGCCCTGGAAGGAGCCTCGCCTTTCCTCCTCACCAGCTTCTCCCTGATCACATGCCTGTCTTTTGATGCAATCAATAACAATAACCGCACACTTTCTCCAGCTCAGAGGCTTCCTGATTGTGTTCCACATGGTACCAGATTGTTAATAGAGCATCAAGAGGGGTTGAGACCTCGTAATTTTAATACTGAGGGGCAGATAATCTAGCCTGCAGTGGGTTGAAAATACACGATGAGAAACTCAAAATGCAGTTCTCTCTCCTTCCCTTAAATAAGGTGTTCACATGGCCAGCATAAGGCATAATGCTCAGATGGAAATATTTTGAAACACAATTCTGAAAGGCCCATCATCAGTAACGTGTGGGGCAGAACACATGGGAATCCCCACTGAGCAGTGTGTGCCCGACAATCAGTGCTAGCATAATCGTTTCACAAAGGTTTAATAGACTACCTTATAAGGTAGCATACTTAGGCAATTGATTTGGGACTCAAAGGGCCTACTCTTTTTATGTATGTATTTATTTATTTATTTTTCTAGAGAGTCTTGCTCTGTCACCCAGGCTGGACTGCAGTGGCACAATCATGCCTCACTGCAGCCTCAAACTCTTGGGCTCAAGCAATCCTCCCACCTCAGCCTCCCAAAGCACTGGGATTACAGTCATGAGCCACCACACCAGGCCCATTTTGAAAGCTAAGTTTGCCCTAGATGATTCCCTCCTATGCTCACTGATGTTACCCACACATTGCTGATATGGTCGACAGGCCCTTTAAATAAAGTTTCCCTTTCTTTCGTTAAAACAGAGACCAATAATGGGGGATTTTACGTTCTTTCCACAAATTCACTGGGAAAACACACAGTTTTATTTAAGACCATTTTTCCTTTTGAAACCCAGCATGTGATTCTCTAGCTTATTCTCCTAACTCAACACATAAAATTCCCCATGTCCCTAATGTTCCCTCGACCTCCTCAACGAAAGTGAACTGAAGGCTCCTCCAACAATAATACTACATTACACATTTACATTTCCAAATTACTTTCACACACATTACCCTGTCTCATTCTTTTTCCAGAGCAGAAAAGCTATTGCCATCTTCCTTTTTAAATATGAGAAGACCAAAGCCTCAAAACTAATGGCAAGCATGTATTCAACATTTCTCCTGCATGGGCCCAAGTCAGTTCCATATATTTCCCCATTTGATCCTTTCAGCACCCTATGAGACCAGTGCTATTAGTGGCCCAGTTTACAGAGGAGGAAACTGGACTCAAAGAAGCCAAAGAGATTACTTAGGGCCATATAGGGAGTGAGTGGCAGAGCCAGGCTTCTTACTCCTGAGTATACAAGGCCACCTCTGTGGGCTCCCGGCCTGGGGCTTCTTACCACTGGGTGCCTGTCTAGGGTGTAAGCTTCCAGGCCTTGTTCCCCCGGGATAATCCAATAGATCTGGACCCAATGGCATGAGGGCACATGTGCCCTGTCTCTTTCAGCTTCTTCCTCCCCCAGCCCCTTCCTACTAATATTCTCCCTTATGAAGTTGATGGAGTCAACGTCAGTGGACAGAAAACTCGCACATCTACTCACTCCTCAGACCCCCGGCACCTCCTGCATCTCAAATCTCTCTCCTGCTTTCATGCCCACTCCCTTCTCCTGGGTCTCCCGCCACAAGGATGATTCCTTCCCAGCCTCCTTCCCTGGCACCTCCTGTGCCCTGAGGTGCAGTCGTTCTCCAACCCTCAACACTCAGTGCCACACCCCTGCCATCCCTTCAACCACTCCCTCCATGCGGAGGCTGCACGTTTCCAGACGGTGGAGCTAAGGCCTTCAATTTGTCATATGTTTGGCCTAATTACTGGATGCATAGTATGGGTGAAATAAACATTCGTTTAATTGAATCATAAACCTATAAATAGAAGTAGCTAATGGTTTAAATGAGTAAGGCATGGAAACCACTAATGATAGAAGAGTTAGACAGATGAACTTGCTTCTACTCACTTAATTCTCACCAAAATGCTACAGTAGATGACATTCTTGTTCTCATTTTGCACTTGAGAGAGGAGAGTTTTAGAGAGGTCAGGTGGTTTTCCCAAAATGACATAACTAGTAAATAGCACAGCCATGACTCCAATCGCAGCCCTCACTCCAGGCCCTTGCCTGGTCTGCAGCAGTAGCTGACTAAGTGGCCTTAGCCATTGTCCCCACCCCGCCAGTCTCCTGGGGCTCTTCTATAAAATAAGGGAATTAAGGTGGTGATCTCTAAGGCCCATCTCAACTCAGAAACCCTGCAGTCCTCTCTAGAGTTCTGTTAGTGACATGCATTCTGCCAAAAAAAAAAAAAAGAAAAAAAAATCACAGGGCCGGAGACTCAGATTTTGTCAGTAGATGTGATTCACACTGTACTTCCTGCCAATGCATGCAACCTCTGTGCAAAGCCCTGGACAGAGATGATTTTCACTGTAATTTGGGAAGGGTGCCTGAAGAAGGGATGAAGAGGGAGAGAAAAACATCTCTTTTCAAAGATAATAATGCCTAAGCCTCGCTTTATTTCATTTGTGAAAATCATTATGTATTTTTGGCCTGAGAGCAACATCTGAGGCTTAAACCGGGACCAGCTTTGAATTGCAGACACAAGCTGCTGGATGGGACTTGTGGTGTGCACCCATCCCCCAACTCCAGGCTGTGCTGAGACCCCAAGCCACCGGCCCTCCTGCCCTCTGGTTTCCTTTCTTGGGCTCCTCTTGCCCCAGGAAACCCCTTCTTGCCCTGTCCAGAGCTTTTTTCTTTCCTCACATCCCAGTCAGACTGTGGGTGCCAGGAGCCCCCAGCAGGACCCAGTCCCTCTCCCCACCAGTGCCTGGCTCTCCTTCCTCCCAGCTCTGGCACCTAGAGAGCCCATGTCCCTCATACAGCTACCTCCTGCAACTCCAAGACGTGCCAGGTCCCAGAGGACCCTTGGGAAGCAAAGGGTGGACTCTGTTTTGCATTTTTGCATTTTTCTCCTGCAGAACAGCACCCAGGCAGTTAGACCATTGCTCACAGCCTGACACCCAGCTTCTGAGTCAACCCAGAACCTGCCAGAGAAGGTGAAACCGAGAGGCTAAACCAGGAACCTCTGTGAATCTCAGCCAGGAACGGAGCAAACCACAGACTCTCCCAGAACCAGCAGCGAGGGCAGGGCAGCAACCTTGGAGGCCGACTCGGCTATGCTTTGACTCTACATTCATCCCCAAGGAAGCAAGGCTTCTGTAGGCAGCACTAAGGACAAGGATGCCCAGGGCCCTTCACAAATCCTACACATCAGTGGGACAGGCAGGAATTGGCTTCTTACGAACACCAATAGGGTTGAGCATGGTCTGGAAAACAGACGGGGTGAAGGGCTCCAACCCCACCACTTCTGCTGCTCTGTGATCCTGGAGTCTCATCTGTGACATCTGTCAAATTATTTGTTCAAAGGGTCGTTATGAGGACTCAATGAGATAATGTATCTGCAGCTCAAGATAGCTGTTATCAACTCCCTTACAACTGTTCAGAGGCTCTTTGCTTGGATTTTAGTTCCACAAACGTGCATGTTTACAGAGTGACAGACAGCACCCCTGTGAGAACACTGCCTGAGAACACGGCATTAAGTCATTCCAAATGCCGTCTCCCTCTGCTGGCTCTTTCCATCCTTCCAAAGTTTAGTCTCCACACTTCACATCACTGTTGGTGGTCGCTGCTCTTACGAAGGCCAAACACACAGCAGGAGGAACTAGACAGATGACAACCATCACTCCCTAGGGTCCTGTGCGCTGGGCAGGATGTAATCCATCTCGATTTTTCCATCAGCGTCCTAAGGACTGAAATTGTGATCTTTCACTAACTAACGGTAGCCAAGCAGTACCTGGACCCATGCTTACTTCAAGACAGTATCTCCTGTTTCTGAAGATTCCTTTAGGCTATATTTCTTTTCTTAGTTGAAGTGGGAGTTCCAACTCACCAGAAAAATACACTTTATGTTTTGGCGGATAAAATGTCTTGAGGTCTGGATTTTCCACTATCCTTTTTTAAAGTGAGAATCTGCTCTGGCCAAGTTCTCCTCCTTAAAGGCATCTGACCAAATTTATATCCCCAAAAGTTTGGCTCTGAGATGAGCATAAAGAAAAATAAATTCAGCACAAAGGATCTGGAAAAGACAGGCCAGAGGTTGGCACATTCTTCCAGGGCCTGGGGAGGCACAGGCATGAGGCTGCAGACCCTCCCTTCCCCTAAACTGCAGATGATCTTCACTCATCTGCTTCTTTCGCTGCATTTTTTTTTTGAGTAGTTTTGAGTAAGAATATTAAACACACACACACCCATACTCATTTTGAAATTCCAAGCCCAATTCATTTCTCTCATTTCACAGGTAATAAACGGGTGGCTGGGAAAGGAATGATTGATTAGCATTGGTCATGCTTAAAATCCAGGTCCCCTCACTCCACGACCAGTGACCTGACCACAAACTGCTTCCTGGCCCCGGGAAAGGGGTCTTGAACATCCCAGCCCACCAGAACCATCTCAAACCAGGGCTCTTCCCCAGTAGATTCTCAAAAATATGCCAATGGAGGGAAAATGGTTCTTTGCTAAGTAAGTCTTCTTTAGCCATAGATACTCCAATGTTTTTTTCTGTGTGTTCACTTGGAGACTGGAAATCCTTTACTGGATAGAACAGAGAAGGCAAACTGGCTATCTGGAGAACAGATACTATTCCTAAATGTGTTTGTTTGACCTCATGGTTATGATTTTTGTTAATGCAAGGAGTTATCGACATTTAAAAATGAAGCATTTTTGCATTTAAAAAGTTTCGATTCCAGCTTCTCTTGGAAAAAAAAGATCAGAAAATCTAGCAACAATGGGCCCTCCTTTTCTCATGGCAAAACTTGGCTAGACCTCAGTGCTTTGTTCCATTGAGATGGGCATGTGTTCCACATTCCCCGCAGCCCCCACTCCCCTCTGCCTCACAGCCGGCCCTCTGTGCCCACCACCACCTGCCCACCGGGAGGCATGTCAGCTTGCACCCCAGAAGTCTACCCTGGAGCCTGGTTCTCTCATAATACACCCCTCTCCTGCCTCAGGTTCCCCACTCCTACCCCTACTCCCATCGAGTTGCCCCTCAGAGCGGAAAAGGGAAGCAAACTTCAGCTAGCTTCTGGAACGCTGGAAAAGCCACCCCCACCTCACAGTGTTTCCACATCTGACATAGTCGGGCAAAGAAATCACTGTTGAGTAAATAAATGAAGGAACTGTCATTAGTACTGGACCTGTTTGTATGTCTCAGGTCTGTTTCGGTGCTGGATTTATCAAAGCATGATATACTATGTATCTAGTGAAAGTATTAATATGTCTTTTTCCACAGAGAGTAAAATCTAAAGGGACAGAATTATTCAATAAGGCTCTCCAATACTTCTGATCCAAAAAAGACAAAACTCATGCCATTGCCTGCAAAGATGAGATAGGCCAGAAATAAGCGTGGAGAGAGAAGCCTCCCAGGAGAGCCCGCCTGGTCCTGGCATCAGGTGGAGTGACCCAGCAGGGGGCTGCAGGCTGGTGGGGAATGCCTGTCCTCACACTGAGCCCTGCAAAAATCTCACAGCCTCCTCCACTCCTCTTCCTAAACTTAAACTAACCCATCTCATCCTTAATATGCCTTGGAAATAAAAGCAATATTTGACTCTGCTGCCTTCAAGTTTCTCTTCCCTTATCACTTCCTTCCACCTTCCTTCTGTGATGCTAGCCCAGGAGTGTGAAGCCTGGCCTCTCCCCATGGCACCCAAGGTGACCCTGCTCTCTAATGACACAAATCTATGGTGCTTCCCCCTTCACTGTGCACCCTCCTCAGACAGCACATTTACATCTTCATAAATGCTCCCCAGAAAACATGTATGCGTGTGTGAGAAAGTGTGATGAAGCACTGTGCAGGCAGGGTTTTAAAGTAGTCTTTAAGGTCTCGAACTCTTTCTTCAGGTGGAATTTTATGAGAAACTGCAATATGAGAAACAAATCATGGGGCTTGTCTCAGACTGAAGAAGGTTTTACAAGTGTAATCTGAAAACCTCTGCTCTGAGTGTGGTCCACATGTGGGATGAGGGTGGTGAGGATGCTGCTGGTGGTGGTGATGGGGATTATGATGGAGGTGATGGTAGTGGTTGTGATGGCAACAGAGGTGGTGATGATCATTGTAGTGGTGGTGAGTGATTGTAGTAGAGATGATGATGGTGATGGTGATGTTGGGACTGAGGTAAAGGTGACAGTGGTGTTAGTGGTAGCGGTGGTAGTGACAGTGATGGCAGGGATCTTGGGGGGGCGGTAGTAGTAGTAATGTTATGCTGATGGGATTGGTGGTGGTGATGGTAATGTTGATACAGGTGATGGTGGTGATGATGGTAATAGTAGTGGTGATGACCATTGATGGTGGTATAACTGCAATGATGGTGGTGATGGTGATGGTGGTGTTACTGGTAACAGTGGCCATGATGGTGTTGTTAGTATTCATGGTAGTGTTGATGGTTGTGTCATTGGTAGTGACGGCAGTAATGGTGATATTAGTAGTCATGGTGGTGGTGACGGTGGTGTTAGTGGTAGTGCTGGCAGTACTGGTGATATTAGTGGCAGCAATGATGGTGACAGCAGCATTAGCAGTACCAGTGGTGATGATGGTGGAGCTGATGGTGGTGGTGATGGTGGTGGTGGTGGTTATAATGGCAACAGTATTAGGTATAGACAAGATTCTACTGAAACAAAGGTTTATTAAAATGTTATTAATTTCAGGCACTCACTATGGTAAAGAAAATAAAGAAGTAAACCCTTTTTTTGAAAAGCATCTGTATTGGTCCATTTTCACACTGCTGATAAAGATATACCCAAGACTGGGCAATTTATAAAAGAAAGAGATTCAATTGGACTTACAGTTCCACATGGCAGGGGAAGCCTCACGATCATGGCAGAAGGCAAGGAGGAGCATGTCACGTTTTACATGAATGGCAGCAGACAAATGGAGAGACTGTGCAGGGAAACTCCCGTTTTTAAAACCATCAGATCTCGTGAGACCCATTCACTATCAGAAGAATAGCATGGGAAAGACCCGCCCCCATGATTCAATCATCTACCACCGGGTCCCTCCCACAACACGTGGGAATTATGGGAGCTGCAATATAAGATTTGGGTGGGGACAGAGAGCCAAACCGTATCAGCATCAGCTTCTAATTCTTTTCTATTTCTCACTGGTATACATATTACAGGCAAAGGCACACAGTAGGCACCAAATAAATGTAATTAATTTGCGATTTTTATGTCTTAAAAGAAACAGCTGATCCAGGAAATTCTGTTAAGATATCCCTAAGCCCAAAAGGACAACATTAAGCGGTGATAAGAAAACTTTTGCTGAAAAGTTATAAAGGTACTTTAAAATGAAAGGAAAAGAGAGCAGAGGAGAGAGGACAAGGAAACCTCTTAAAATCAGGGAGGTGGATACCAGCCCTATCTAGGAAGGAAAAGGAAGTAAGAAAACCATGGAGTGTGGAGCCCCTTGCTGACTCTTAACAGTCTTGCAGGGCAGGCTCTGTGACCTGCATTCCACAGAGGAGAACAGAGGCTCACACAGGCAGAGGCCAAGGCACTGCAGAAATCACAGCCCTGGGCCCAGAGGGCACCAGCCTGCCCAGCTCTCTCCAATACCAGCTCTAGACCGTCAGCCTGAGGAACGAAGGAATTCTATGGAATGGCCCTTCTGGAAGCACATGAAGCTCTGAGGACTTTAGCCATAAGACTTTAGCTGTAGTATCCAATGTGGTCCTGTTGATGGCATTCATGAAATATGCCTGACAGGGGTTGTTTCTCCTCAGATTTTTGAAACTTCCTTGTCCAGTTTTGAGGTAGGCAGTGGGACTCGACTCTGAAGGCAGGGCTTGGACTCCAGACCAGATTAAAGACTGGCTGAGACAGGTAAGAGGCTAAAGTACCTCTCCATAAGACATGCCCACCACTGCCATGTCAGTTTACCACTGCCATGGCAACACCTGGAAGTTATCAACCCTTTCCAGGGCAATGACCCAGAAGTTACCACCCTTTTTCTAAACATTTCTGCATAATCCTCCCCTTAATTTGCATGTAATTAAAAGTGGGTATAACTATAACTGCTGAACTTCCCCTGAGCTGCTTCTGCGGGCACACTGCCTATGGGTAGCCCTGCTCTGCAAGGAGCAGTTCCTCTGCTGCTGCTGTACACTGCCGCTTCAATAAAAGTTGCTGTCTGACACCTCCAGCTCACACATGAATTCTTTCCTGAGTGACACCAAGAACCCTCCTGGGCTAAGCCCCAACTTGGGCGCTCGCCTGTGCTGCATCCATTTGATTTCTGCCTGCCTTAGGTTTTCACTCCAAATGGATTGTGGCTAAGACACCAAGTCTATCATTATGTTCCACTGCAAATCTGAGGCTACACAAAGAAACAGTGAATACATGTACGTGTGTGTGTGTGTGTGTGTGTGTGTGCGTGTGTGTGTGATTTATTCTGAGGTATTGGCTCACACATTATGGAACCTGAGAAACTCCATGATCTGCCATCAACAAGCTGGAGACCCAGTGGTGTAATTCAGACCGAGTCCCAAGGCCTGAGAACCCAGAGAGCTAATGATATACATCCCAGGCCGAGGGTGGAGAAAATGAGTTGAGATGCCCCAGCTAAAGCAGTGAGGTAGAAAAGAGGCAAGTTCCTCCTTCCTCTGTCTTGTGTTCTGTTCAGGCCCTCAGTGGATTGAATGGCACCACCCACACTGGGGAGAGAGGTCTCCCTGACAGAGTCACTGATTCAAATACTAACCTCATTCTGAAACACCCCACAGACACATCCAAGAGTGTCCTGCGACCCACACAAATTCACATGTAAAACTAACCATCATGAGAGCAAAGAACCAAACTTGCATGACTGGAGTAGACCACGCGCATGGCCAGGCAGCAGTGGTGGAATCCCTGTGCCCGCTTTTGACATTGCTGAGTTTCTTACTGGCCTGATCCAAGCTGCACACTTGATTACAGAGCATGACCAAAAACAAAAAAATACATTTATTCACCCCCTAAGTCACATAACACAGGTGACCTAGGACAGGTGCTCCCCACCATTGAGGGCCCTGCTCTCCCACCCAACTTACTGGATTTTTGTGATTCAGAAAAGAAAAAGTGAAAGATTTGATTTTTCTGTTTACTTTGCATTTATTTGCCATGGAATAAAGGCAATATACATGTATTGATGACAGTTTGGAAAACATTAAAAATTACTTTCAAAAAGCATGGAAAATCCATCCCTAGTTTGACCATCAGTAAACAAGCACAGTTAACATCTTGGCATTCCCGCCCTTTTTCAAGGTGTGTGTGCGCTTGATGAGGGGTGTGAGGAGGGTTGCTTTTTTTGTTGTTTTTGTTTTTTTTTTTAATATAATCAAGCTCAATTTCTCTAAATCAATTTTGATTTTTTTTTAATTTAAACTCCATTCACAAGCATTTCTAAACCATTAAATATAAAATAGCACCCATCCATTTAGTCTGTTCACAACTTTGTGCTGGGCACCTACTAGTTGTCAGGCACCAGCTGGGGACACAGAGGTGAACAAGACAGAAAAGTCCCACCCGTACGTCTAGAAGTGAAGGTGGACATTAAACACTCACCATAAACCAAGGGAGGGCTGAGTCAGGGGGCCAAGAACACGGAGAATGAACGCTGAGGGCGACTGTCCCGCCTGTGCGGCTGCTGGTCACCCTCTGTGAGGTCAGCCTTTCCACTGCACTGTGCCCACTCTGCGTGTGACATGCTGCCTTGGTTTTAGAGCAAATGGAAATTTAAGTGTATTTAGTTATGAGAACTTGCAAGGTTGTTTTAAAACACCCTCTTGTGGTAACAGAAGGGGATCTAAGATGTCTCCAGAGTTTTGGTCAACAGATCAACCCATTGAAAAACCATGACGAGCCCCGCAAAAGTGCCTCCCGCTGCATCACCACTCTCCTTCAGCTCAAAGGCTGTGGCCAGAGGAGGGGGCTTGGGGTGCAGGTCCTCCCTGGGAGGGACAGCCCATATGAGGCTGCGGCACAGCCTTCAGATCACGTCCACCTCCAGCACAGAAGGCCATTGAGGTGTCCGTCAGGAAGTGCTCTGTGACTTGACGGACACATATTTGTGAATACAGAGCAATCAGGAAATATGCCCTGGCTTGAGTGCAGCCTCAATTCTGACATTTCATCCTCAGCAACACAGCTTCAGAGAGGCGGGCCTGCCTGTGTGGCAATAATAATAGTATATGATAATGCACACGCTGGGGCCTGGGCTGACATTGCAGGCTGGGCCCTGTGCTGAGAACTAAGCATTTTTCAGAGATCTAATTTAACAGGAGCAAAGGTGGCTAGCAGACCTACGGGGGCAGCTTCCCTAATCAACCTTTTCACACCCCAAAAGGTAAACACCTATGCATTAGTACAACTTAACCCAACAGCTAACTAGGACAGCATGCCCAGAGCACCTCTATTTTAAAAACAAATTGTGCATGTTAATAATTTTAAGTAAAGCTGAAATTTTTAAATTAACTTTTTAAATTTGTTTTTCGTTTCAATTGCTCTAAACCAGGCATGGGCCTGGGCATGGAATGAGCATTTCACATTTATAGACAAGTCTGAACTCGACAGTGATCTATAAATAAACTTTTTAAACTGGAGGTCCCAGCCACCTGCACAATGCAGCTGTGGCCTTATGCACAGACACTAACCCCAGCCCCCAGCTCCCAGCCCCCACCTCTTGGCAGCTAGCAGCCAACATCGTCTTCTTGGGGAAGAGACTTAGGACGCATTGGAAGATCTCCACAAGGCAGGGCACGGGGAGAAACTTGGCTAAAGAGAGAAGCAGTGGTGGTACTGGCGATGAAGAGGGCAGGCAGGTCGCCCCTCTCCTCCACAGTGTGACTCTCAGGCCTGCTATGGACAGAGGGAAGGGGCCACCTGCCTGCCAGTCAGAGTGGCTCGCCTTGCTGATCTTCAGTGCTGCTCCTTGGGTCAGCTGTAGGATGAGAATTACTCTACCTGGGCTTGAAGATACCATTCTCTTCTCCTCAGACTCATTTGTGAAGCAGAGTTTAACATGTGGCAGCTATTCCTTCTTCTTTTTTTAATTAATGGAATAACCATCATGTTTCAAAATGTTCCAAGACACAGACATGCCATGGAGAAGTGAAGGGTGGGAGCACATGAGTGTATCTTATTTCAATAAGAATACAGAGCCAAGGTATTTGAGCATAAGTAAATTAAAACTCGAGGACAGCCCCGAATAACAAGAGTGGGATGATCAGTGAAAGAGACCCAAGAGGAAGGAAACCAAAGTCAATACGAAAAGAGCTGGCCCTGGCCTGACCTTCCCATGGTAACGGTCAAATGCTCACTGGGCTGGTGACGTCAAACCTTTACCATCCCCTTGCCAAGCTTTTCCTCACAGAGTTGCAACGCAGGCTGGAGGAAGCGGTGAAAGGGCAACAAAGGAGGGACCCAGCTGCCTCCACTCTCAGTTCAGGGCCACTGGAAGGCTTCTGCCCTGGCAGGCAAGTCCTCAAAAAAAAAAGGCAGTGAGCCTCAGTTTACCCAGGAAACTCTCTGGCATCAGGCCTTCCCCACCTCCTCTGACCAACTGGCTCCGCTGCCTGGAGGAATTGGCATGGTCCTAGGTGAGGAGGCACAGGAATCAGACTTGGTACCTGGATGGCGACCCTCTTCTCTCTTGGGGACCTGTCCTTTGTAGGAGGCCTCTGTGGAGTGGGATAGCCCCAACTTCCCAGAAGGGAAAAAAACTTTTGTAAAAGTGAGAAACAGCCCTCTCCCTCTCCCCGGTCTCCCTCTCCCTCTCCCCGGTCTCCCTCTCCCTCTCCCCAGTCTCCTTCTCTCTCTCCCTCTCTCTCCACGGTCTCCCTCTGATGCCGAGCCGAGGCTGGACTGTGCTGCCGCCATCTCGGCTCACTGCAACCTCCCTGCCTGATTCTCCTGCCTCAGCCTGCCGAGTGCCTGGGATTGCAGGCGCGCGCCGCCACGCCTGACTGGTTTTTGTATTTTTTGGTGGAGACGGGGTTTCGCCGTGTTGGCCGGACTGGTCTCCAGCTCCTGACCGCGAGTGATCCGCCAGCCTCGGCCTCCCGAGGTGCCGGGATTGCAGACGGAGTCTCCCTCACTCAGTGCTCAATGGTGCCCAGGCTGGAGTGCAGTGGCGTGATCTCGGCTCGCTACAACCTCCACCTCCCAGCCGCCTGCCTTGGCCTCCCAAAGTGCCGAGATTGCAGCCTCTGCCCGGCCGCCACCCTGTCTGGGAAGTGAGGAGCATCTGCCTGGCCGCCCATCGTCTGGGATGTGAGGAGCCCCTCTGCCCGGCTGCCCAGTCTGGGAAGTGAAGAGCGCCTCTTCCCGGCCGCCATCCCATCTGGGCAGTGAGGAGAGTCTCTGCCTGGCCGCCCATCATCTGGGATGTGAGGAGCCCCTCTGCCCAGCCGCCCAGTCTGGGAAGTGAGGAGTGCCTCTTCCTGGCCGCCATCCCATCTGGGAAGTGAGGAGCGTCTCTGCCCGGCCACCCGTCGTCTGAGATGTGGGGAGCGCCTCTGCCCCGCCGCCCCGTCTGGGATGTAAGGAGCACCTCTGCCTGGCCGCGACCCCGGCTGGGAACTGAGGAGTATCTCTGCCCGGCCAGCCACCCCGTCTGGGAGGTGAGGAGCGTCTCTGCCCGGCCGCCCCGTCTGAGAAGTGAGGAGCCCCTCTGCCCGGCCGCCACCCCGTCTGGGAGGTGTACCCAACAGCTCATTGAGAACGGGCCATGATGACGATGGCGGTTTTGTCGAATAGAAAAAGGGGGAAATGTGGGGAAAAGAAAGAGAAATCAGATTGTTACGGTGTCTGTGTAGAAAGTAGACATAGGAGACTCCATTTTGTTCTGTACTAAGAAAAATTCTTCTGCCTTGGGATGCTGTTAATCTATAAGCTTACCCCCAACCCCCTGCTCTCTGAAACATGTGCTGTGTCCACTCAGGGTTAAATGGATTAAGGGCGGAGCAAGATGTGCTTTGTTAAACAGATGCTTGAAGGCAGCATGCTCGTTAAGAGTCATCACCACTCCCTAATCTCAAGTACCCAGGGACACAAACACTGCGGAAGGCCGCAGGGTCCTCTGCCTAGGAAAACCAGAGACCCTTGTTCACATGTTTATCTGCTGACCTTCCCTCCACTATTGTCCTATGACCCTGCCAAATCCCCCTCTCGGAGAAACACCCAAGAATGATCAATAAATACTAAAAAAAAAAAAAAAAAAAAAAAAAAAAAAGTGAGAAACATAAAAACAACTCAGACACACATGAAAGGAATCTGTAAATTATGAAAAATCTGGTGGTTCTATTTCATTCTGCAACAGTTTAAAAACTGCAAGATAAAAAAGATCGAGATAAAAATAGAAACCTACTGTTACCATGTCTAAGCAAATTATGCCATTCCACCCCCAGCCCTGCAAACATTCTAGGTATGCTCCTCTGGAGGTCACGAACCCAGACGCAGGCAGGGGCTGGTGGTTCAAGGGACAAATAAAGAGGCCCGGCAGCCCCAGAGACCCCTGCCCCATGTGCAAGGGGCAGCCACCACTCACCTCCTGCCCACTTGCAAATTTCCAAGAGAGGCAGAAGATCCAGATTTTAAATCTCCTGCTTTGAAATATTAACAACTAATTTTTTCCAGCATTTAAACACTGCCGGCCAAATAGAACACATCTAGGGGCAGATTTGTCCAGCAGCTCCTCTCTTTCCCCATTTGCACCCTGTATTCTAAACCTCTGTGCTATTTCTAGTTGAGGTCAGATAATTGTGTTTTTCTCCTAAAAGTCAGGCTTGGCTCTGGTACACTTCTGGCAGAGCCATACGTTGGCATCACTTTTTGGGGGAGGACAGTTTGGCAGTATTTATCAAAATCTGAAATATCTTTCTATCCGGCCATCTCACTCCTGGGAATCTATGCTAAAGACACACTTCCTCAAGGGTACAAAGATATAGACATGCAGAATGATCCATGGGTTTGTTTTTTAAAACAAAAAATTGGGAAAAAAATTTAAATGCCCTTCAATAAAAAGATGTTTAAATAAATCCTGCTATCCCTGGGCCATCAAATGCTACCCAGCCATTAAATGAAATGACTTGGGCCAGGCGCGGTGGCTCATGCCTGTAATCCCAACATTTTGGAAGGCTGAGGGTGGGTGGATCACTTGAGGTCAGGAGTTCGAGACCAGCCTGGCCAACATGGTGAAACCCCGTCTCTGCTAAAAATACGAAAAGGTAGCCAGGCGTGGTGGTACGTGCCTGCAGGCCCAGCTACTCAGGAGGCTGAGGCAGGAGAATCACTTGATCCTGGGAGGTGGAGGTTGCAGTGAGCCAAGATCACACCACTGCGCTCCAGCCTGAGTGACGGAGTGAGACTCCATCTCAAAAAAAAAAAAAAAAAAAAAAAAAGGCTCAGATCTGAGCACACTGACATGAAAAGATGTCCATGGAATGTTTTTGTTAAATAGCCACAGAAAAATATACATTTGGGGGCCATTTGGGGGCCCGTATTGTGTTAAATGGAATGCTCAAATATTTGCATGTTTGTGTACAAATATAAAAAAATTTGGAAGGACAGTCAACAAATTATGAACCATGCTTATGGAAAAAGTAGGTTTCAAGGTGATTTTTACTTTATAAATTAAGCGATTGACTCATTATTTTTGTAACTGGTGTATTTTATTTGAAAGTGAAACTTAAAACTGTACTCTTCCAGGGATGGTGTCTGGAGGCACTCAGAATGGTCCTGCATTGGGCATAGGCTTTCCTACAATGCAGCCTCTAACAAAACTAGACTTTCCCAAACTTCTGATAATAGAATTGCTTACCTTTATACCAAGAAGGCTGGGAAGACACCCATATCTGCATGTGACCTGTGCCCAGGCAAATGGAGGGATTTGCGCTGTGAGACCAAAGTTCTTAGGAGATTGTCTAGAATGAAAAAAGTCAGCAAGGCTGATGGTGGTCCCATGAGTGCCAAATGTGTCTGTGACCGGACCAAGTGTGCTTTCCTTATTGAGGAGCAGAAAGTTGTTGGGAACATGCTGAAGGCACAAATACAGAACCAGAGAACTAAATTTAAAATAAATAAATAAATAAAGCTTTTTTGAGTAATTAAAAAAAAACCCCAAAGGCAAAAACACACAAGAACATCCATTGTCTGAAAAACGAGAGAGAAACTGAAACCAGTTTAAATGCAAGCCTAAACTATAAATTATATGAATATCAATGTTTGGACTCAGTGCTGTGGGCTCAGATATTTATCATCAGTAGTGAGGTATTTCTACTTCCTCTAAAAAAAGGTTATGCATAGTAACTACATACCTGGACCAAACCCCTAGAGATCGTCTTGCACATGTCCCTAAGGGAGAGTGTGCCCTGCAGCTCCACATGGACAGCAGAACGGTGGAGACAACCGAATATCCACTGACGGCAGTGCAACAGGCTGAATGCGTGTGTCCCCCAAGAATTCATGTGTTGAAACCCAATCCCCAATGTGATGGTATTTAGGAGGTGGGGCCTTTTGGAGGTGATCAGGTCACGAGACTAAGATCCTCATACAAGGGATTAGTGCCTTTATAAAAGAGGCCCCAGAGAGCTCGCTCACTCCTTCCACCACGTGAGCACACAGCAAGAAGGCAACATCTGTGAACCAGGAAGCAGACCCTCACCAGCCACCAAATCTGCTAGCACCCTGATCTTGGACTTCCCAACCTCCGGAACTGTGAAGAATAAATTTCTGTTGTTTATAAGCCACCCCAGATGGCATTCTGTTATAGAAGCCCAAATGGATTGAGACAGGCAGAATGGAGAAGTAGAATATGCCCTGGTCAGCAGTTAAAGGGAACAAGCTAGTTCAAACTCCAGGAAGATACAGATGACAGTGATGAGCTAAAATAAACAAATAAGTAAAACTTCTGCACCTACAAAGAAGTCCTGTCCCAAAAGCTGAACCAGCTTCTAGTCCAGCCTTTAGATAAATATCCATTTCTTGGAGTTAAAGAAATACAGGATCAGGCTCTATGACACTCTGAGAGCAAAAGGAGACCCCCAAATGGGGGCTGTTTTCCAGGCAAGTGATTGGGTTCCTTTGCTTTCATGGAATAAAAATAAAACAGGGGAGGGAAGGATGCTCCACACACAGCGTCTGGACTCTAATTCACACAGACCAACCGAAAAAGATATTTTTAAGACAGGGAAATCTGACTACAGATGGTAAGAAATTCTTACTGCTTTTGTTACATTTGATAGTAGCTTTGTGGCTATGTAAAAAAAAAAAAAAAGTAAACAGTGTAGCATTGCACACAGCTGTTAGGATGAAATGACAGGATGACTAGGATCTGTGATAAAACGCTTCAGCAAAGAGGATAGGAGGAAAGTAAGCAAATGTGGTAACATCCTAAGAACCACAGATGCTGAATGGTAGGCATAAACTTCTCTGCTCTGGCTGTGTGTGTGGACTGTATGGACAAGTGTAAGAAATGGGCTGGAAGGGCACAAACCTGTAGTGAGGAGGCTGCCTCTGGGGCAGGGGGCCCGGGGAGTGGGGAGAGCCAGTGAGACTCCCACCTCTATACAATGCCTTAATATAGCATTAAAACAAAGACCCAAGGCAAGAATGACGAGACAGTACTGATGACCGAATCCGGGTGGTATGAGCACAGGGATTGGTGTGTTCTCTGTGCTTCTGTGTATTTAGTTTTTCACAATAAAATAACTTCAAAACAGAAGACACAGGAAGATGAAACAAGAGCTTATGCAACCCATGGGAAGATACAGACCCTGGAGCCAAGGATGTGGGACCCACTTGGCTCATGGAGCTGCTCGCCAGGAAGGCCCAGAAACTCGGCATTTGGTCACACAGGTGACTGGGGCTTTGGCCACACTGACTGCTGGAGCACCACGGGCCCTGGGAGCACTCTGGGGACACAAAACCACATATGAACATATATGGCCACGTTTGACAAATGGAGAGAAACCTGGACTGCTGGTCACCCTCCACAGACCTGAACAAAGGATTTAGTAGTCAGGTGTCTAAAGCTGGGCTGGTATGGGGACTTTCTTCTTTAGGAACAGGCTCATTTCCTTCAACACCATTGATTATTGATTGTTATTTAAAAGCTCCATACATTTAGCCATTCAATAACTATTCAGCAAGTGTCTGCTCCTTACCAGGCACTCAGGTCCCATACAAGAGTGGCTGATACCAAGCTACACAGCTTGGCATCATCCTAGCCAGCCAAAGCCTGCAACAGGAGCCCCACCTGGGTGCCCGCCCATCCCCACACCTCCCCCTGGTATCTGCAAATGGGGTAATCAGAGCACCTGAGGAGGGAGAGCCAGCTAATTATCTTCAAGCTCTTAGACCAGTGCTTGCCTCACAGAAGCCCCCAAATACGCCTATGGGCCTGTCCCCATGGACCCTGTCCTTGTTCTTATCCTGTCCTCGGGAGCTGCCCTGAATGCCCCTTTTTAACAAGGTCTGCCTTCCCTGGGGGTTTGGAGTGGCTTCCACGTAGCCTTGGCCCCAAGCTTACCGCTAAGGAAAAGCCCAGGGCTCACTTCCCTCTGAGTTTCAACAACAAAAACATTCTAAGAGAGATCACATGTATTCAGGAAAATTTCAAGAAAGGAGACCATGGAGAATCATTGATTTAAAGTGATAGAGGGAGAAGGTAGAAAATGACAAGCAGATTAAGGAAGCCCAAAATAAAATCAGCAAGAATGCAAATCCTGAGTAGGATTTTATGTGTGTGTGTGTGTGTGTGTGTGTGTGTGTGTGTGTGTGTACCTCCTTCTTTGTACTTTGCTGATTTTCATTTTTTTTTCAAACATGAGCTTATATTACCTTTATCTTTAGAAAATAAAAACCTATTTTTAAAAAACCTATCCATTCAAAGTGAATTGTGGTGATCAGATTTCACCTGTTTTTCATTCACAATAGTTTGACATAGAATAGGGACGGGAACCCTCATTAACCGCATAGAATCAGGTGCCTCCAAAACTGCACTTGGGGGATATCTTTACGTGCAGCAAATTAAACCAAGCCAGTTCAAGGTTACAGAAAGCATTCCACAGACAGGGGCACCCCATGACAGAACCCGAACCACGTGGGAAGAAGTGTTTTCAGCTGTGCATAGCAATCACAGCTAGACTATCCACATTCTGATTGCTTTAAAAAGATACACCTTTTCCTGTTTTAAATCAGCAGATGCAAATGCAAAATGCCAGCCTGTCCACGCCGCAGCTTGGTAACAGTCAGGATGGGACTCAAGAAAAATCATGATTATAGTTCTGTGCTGAAATGGAGACAAACAGAAGATTTTCCTGGGTGGGGGCTTAACTGCCAGAACTGCCCTGCCTCCCCCCGCCCCCCTTCCCTGAATCTAGTCCTTTGCTTCTCTTCTCCTAAGCAGTCACGGCTCATTTTCAAGTGCCTCGAGGAAGCTTGTGTTTTCCTTTGATCTGATGATGCTGAGTCAGGGGAGTAGGTAGATGAGGAACAGAAGGAGAAAGCAACATCGGGGTGGAAGGACCAGGGCAAGGTTGCCTTGGGAAATGGAGTGATTTTCTAGGTATTTGATAAACCAAAAACAATGTGATCCATGTGCACTACATTTGATGATTTGTAAAATGCAAAAGTCATGCATTATTCATACAAAATGAGTAATTCACCAACTGGTTCCCAACGATCAGGCACCAGGCCTACACTGACACCTTGATTCCTTACAGTAGCTAAGCCAGCAGGCAGCAGCAGCCCACGACACCCCCAGGAAAACCCAGAGTGGGGGCAGAGGGACCATTCCAGCCCGCGTCTGCCAGGCTCCAAAGCAATCCCCTTGTCACAGCTCCATATACAGCTGCAGAATGTTAACATTAAAAAAAAAGAAAAAATAGCATAAAACTGATTGCAGAACAAAAACCAAACTTTGGGCTTAAAGTTAACTGTCAGTTCATGAGAGTAGTGAGCTTTGTCTGTTTTATTTACTCCTGGGTCCCCAGGCCTCAAAAGGAAAGCAGTCACACTCAAGAAGACATTAAATGAAAACAACACAAAGCTCAAAAGCCACAGACTTGCATCATCATTTTAAAAATCACAGATTTCTGTTGAAATGAGAGCTGCCATGTGCATCCGTGATGATTCAATGCCAATGAGAGGCTTCTTGGTGACAGAAACCACTGGGACGTATTCTGTATCAGATGAGATGGCAGTGGTGTACAATGCATTGGTCACACCAATGCTATCCTAGTCTTGCACCAAGAACTGAATTTTTCAGGTGAGCAGATGAAAAAATGGAATTCTCCCCCCAAAAAGATACCACAGCAAGCATTGTATTTGCTTAAGTTTAACCTGCACCAGAAGGATTCTTTTTTATTTTTTTAGAGACAGGGTCTCACTCTGTCACCCAGACTGGAGTGCATGGCACAATCATAGCTCACTGCAGCCTCAAACTCCTGGGCTCAAGCAATCCTCCCACCTCAGCCTCCCAAGTAGCTGGGAACAAAGGCACCTGCTACCATGTCTAGCTATTTTTTTATTTTTATTTTTGTAGAGATGGGGTCTCACTATGTTGCCCAGGCTGGTCTTCAACTCCTGCTCTCAAGCGATTCTCCTGCCTTGACCTCCCAAAATGTTGGGATTATAGGCATGAGCCCCATACCTTGCCCCACCCAAACAATTCTGAGTTGTTTATCATCCCTAATACCCTCTATGAAGAGGGCCCTGCACCCTGGGCAGCAATGGGTTCCACTGAGCCCCACGACAGGCCTGGGTTGTGAGATGGGAATAGGAGCAGGGACAGGGCTGAACTGCACCTGGTAGTCAAGGATGGAGACTTCCCAGCTGTGTAGAAGGTGGTCTGAGAGGGGACATGAGTGCTGTGACCGATAAACCTCCATGCTCAGAGATGTCTCACGATGAAAGTTCTTTCTTGCTCACAGGCAGTCCAAGGTGAGTGTTTAGGAGGCAGCCTTCCACACCATGGTTCAGGGATCCAGGATCCTTCCAACTCGTGGTGGCCTCTGGCCAGTAGACAACCACTTAGGTGAGGTGACCCACATCACGTCCACTCCCATCTCACTGGTGGGAACTGGTCAAGGGGCCCCATCTAGAGGGAAGGGAGACTGGGGACATGACCCTTGCCAAGCCAGCTGTATCCATCACAACTCCATACAACGGGAAAGGAGCAGGAGCCTCCTCTGGTGGGGATGAAGGAAGTCCTGGAGGATGAGAGCAGCCACTGAGGCTGGGCTGGGCTGGAGAGGGGTCGGAAAGAGAGCCCTCCAGAGTCCAGCGAGGATGTGTCAGCTGGTGGCTGTGATGACATGAAAAACCTCCTTTACATCCTCCCTAGAAAACTCTCAGTGATGTTTTATGGGGGATAGCTAGAAAGGCACTGAGTTCTGTGTTGGCTCTTACATGAAAAGAACTACAAATACCAGAGCCAGCCTGCATCAAACTTACATTACGTGAATGGACAACCCCAACTTCAAGATAGCCTGATGCTATGCATGCAAATTTCAATACCATCATGTATCTTGCAACTGTGGTCCTGAAATGAGTATCCACATTTTGCACATCTGGAATTCGAAATGTACATTGTAAGAAAGGTGTACTGGGTTCACAAGTGTTCCTCCAAAAATTCAGGTCTATCTGGAACCTCAGAATGTGTCCTCATTTGGAAATAGGGTCTTTACAGATATAATTCATTCAGATGAGATCATACTGGAATAGGGTGAACCCTAAATGCAATATGATTGGTGTCTTTATAAGAAGTGGAGCGACACACAGGGAAGAAGACTATGTGAAGACCAAGGCAGAGAGATCGGAGTGATGCAGCTGCAAGCCAAGAACACCAAGAATTGCTAGCAGCAGCTAAAAGAGACAAGGAAAGGATCCTCCCTTATAGCCTCCGGAGGGAGCAGAGCTCTGCCAACACCTTGATTTCAGACTTCTGGCCTCCAAAACTGTGTAAGAATAAACGTCTGTTGGTATAAGCCACCCAGTTTGCTTCCTAGGGCTGTTTGGTTACAAATCCTCATACAGTAGGGGATGGTCAGAGGGCAAAGTTAACAAAAATGAGTATAGAAGAAAGTATAGCTATCAGTGGCTCTTCCCAGTCTATCCCCACCTCTCTCCTTAGCACTGGATATTTTTCCAACAGACTGTAAGTCTCCCCAACCAATTGTCTTCAAACATGTCAAATACATGAAGTCTAGAGCCCTTCTCATGCCTCCTCCAACCACCCCTCTCTATGAGCCCGCCTTCCTATTTCTCCATCTGCTCACGTGTCCAGGCTGGAAGCCTTAGAGTCAAGCTCACCTCCTCTTTCCCGCACACCTCCCACATCACACCCATCACCCAGTCCTCACCTCTGCCTCCAGGTTCTTTTCTCTGATATTGAGAAGTGACAGCGTGCTGGCAGTCCTCAGAGCCCTCGCTCGCTCTCCGCGCCTCCTCTGCCTGGGCTCCCACTTTGGCGGCACTGGAGGAGCCCTTCAGCCCACCGCTGCACTGTGGGAGCCCCTTTCTGGGCTGGCCAAGGCAGGAGCCGGCTCCCTCAGCTTGCAGGGAGATGTGGAGGGAGAGGCGCGAGCGGGAACCGGGGCTGCGCGCGGCGCTTCCGGGCCAGCTGGAGTTCCGGGTGGGCGTGGGCTTGGCGGGCCCCGCACTCGGAGCAGCCGGCCGGCCCTGCCAGCCCCGGGCAATGAGGGGCTTAGCACCCAGGCCAGCGGCAGCGGAGCATATACTGGGTCCCCCAGCAGTGCCAGCCCACCAGCGCTGCACTCAATTTCTCACCGGGCCTTAGCTGCCTTCCCGCGGGCCAGGGCTCAGGACCTGCAGCCCGCCGTGCCTGAGCCTCCCACCCCCTCCATGGGCTCCTGTGCGGCCCGAGCCTCCCCGACGAGCGCCACCCCCTGCTCCACGGCGCCCAGTCCCATCGACCACCCAAGGGCTGAGGAGTGCGGGCGCACGGCGCGGGACTGGCAGGCAGCTCCACCTGCAGCCCCGGTGCAGGATCCACTGGGTGAAGCCAGCTGGGCTCCTGAGTCTGGTAGGGACGTGGAGAACCTTTATGTCTAGCACAGGGATTGTAGATACACCAATCAGCACTCTGTATGTAGCTCAAGGTTTGTAAACACACCAGTCAGCACCCTGTGTCTAGCTCAGGGTTTGTGAATGCACCAATGGACACTCTGTATCTAGCTACTCTGGTGGGGCCTTGGAGAACCTTTGTGTCTAGCTCAGGGATTGTAAATACACCAATCGGCACTCTGTATCTAGCTCAAGGTTTGTAAACACACCAATCAGCACCCTGTGTCTAGCTCAGGGTTTGTGAATGCACCAATCGACACTCTGTATCTAGCTACTCTGGTGGGGCCTTGGAGAACCTTTGTGTCTATACTCTGTATCTAACTAATCTGGTGGGGACGTGGAGAACCTTTGTGTCTAGCTCAGGGATTGTAAAAGCACCAATCAGCGCCCTGTCAGAACAGACCACTCGGCTCTACCAATCAGCAGGACGTGGGTGGGGCCAGATAAGAGAATAAAAGCAGGCCACCGAAGCCAGCAGTGGCAACCGGCTCGGGTCCCCTTCCACACTGTGGAAGCTTTGTTCTTTCGCTCTTTGCAATAAATCTTGCTACTGCTCACTCTTTGGGTCACGCTGCTTTTATGAGCTGTAACACTCACGGTGAAGGTCTGCAGCTTCACTCCTGAGCCAGCAAGACCATGAGCCCACCAGCAGGAACGAACAACTCCAGACGCGCCACCTTAACAGCTGTAACACTCACTGTGAAGGTCTGCAGCTTCACTCCTGAGCCAGCGAGACCACGAACGCACCAGAAGGAAGAAACTCCAAACATATCCAAACGTCAGAAGGAACAAACCAGACGCACCACCTTAAGAGCTGTAACACTCACCGCGAGGGTCTGCGGCTTCATTCTTGAAGTCAGTGAGACCAAGAACCCACCAATTCCGGACACAATATGGGCCTTAGCAATCACCTCCACATGGCCCCTGCTCTCTGGTCTGTCACTTGGCAATGCTTCTTGCATGCCCCCATAGACCGCGTGTGCTACACCTCCAATGGGAACATATGCCCCAGCTTCAGCATGTCTGCTCACCCTTCCCCAGCTACCCCCTAATCTTCCAACGTGTTAAAGTCTAGATCCCTCAAGGACATGTAAGTCAAGAACTTGACTTGGGTCACTTAAATTGCCCCCTTAAATCCACTCTAAAGTTAGGTCCAGGCATTAACCCATCTAATAGGTAAGAGTGAGGAAAGATGAAGTTACAAACAACTTGAGGTGAACTGTGCCTCCAAATTAAGCCAGTTCTGTTGAAAAGCTTCAACTCGAGATTGGAGAATAAGACATGAATTCTCCCAGAAGTCAGAGATCTGTGCCCCTGTTAAAATACTAAGTTCATCATAATAATTATGGCATAGTAATAATAACGAATGATGTTGGGCTATTCAAAAATGAGGTTAAGCCTTGCGGGTTTACAAGATCATCCATGGAAAGTCCCATCACTGAGATCTCTTCAGAGTCTTGAAAATCCGATCTTAGCCAGGTGCGGTGGCTCACACCTGTAATCCCAGCACTTTGGGAGGCCAAGGCGGGCAGATCACTTGAGGTCATGAGTTTGAGACCAGCCTAGCCAACATGGAGAAACCCCGTCTCTACTAAAAATACAAAGATTAGCTGGGTATGGTGGTGCGCATCTGTAGTCCCAGCTACTTGGGAGGCTGAGGCACAAGAATCACTTGAACCCAGGAGACCGAGGTTTCAGTGAGCCGAGATCACGCCACTACACTCCTGCCTGGGCAACAGAGCGAGACTCCATCTCAAAAACTAAATAAATAAATAAAATAAAGTCCGACCTCATCCAGGTGGGAGTTCCCTAGTGGCTGGAGTTGGGGAGCACAGAGGAATGGAATGTGCACCTGAGGAGTCTTTCTTCAGAGCTCTTCTAAGAAGGACTACCCCCAACATGTCTAGGCAATAAAGCTGAATATCATGCACCTCTTAGCTAAGCAACTAAATCTTTAGAAACCAAAATAACATGTAAGCAAAAGGAAAGTAAACATGCAACATATGACCCCATTCAGACCCGGCTTCAGAGCTCCTACCCCACTCCCCACCCTCACCTCCCTTGGTGAGCTTAAGTGTTTAGCCAAATATTTTCAAACCATATTTTTCCTACTGAGCTGGCCAGAAAAACATAAATATCATACCAGGCACAAATTACTTTAAGGAAATAATAATTCTTCTCTTAACACACAGTCTTTTTTTCTACAAGAAAAATGGAAGAAATCAAATTTTAGATACAAAACCTATGTCTTTCAGGTTCCAGGTACCCTATCTGTGACACTTCTGACCCATCATGTCGATATGAAAGATGAACCCTGCTAAGCCACATGCACAGGGCTGCACCCCCACAAGTGCTGCTAAGGCTGCAAAGTTCCCCTCTTGTGACTGTATTCGTTTTATGTTGGTGCATATCAAATTATCACAAACTTAACAGCTTCACACAACACCCGTTTGTTACATACAGTTTATTAGGTCAGAAGTCTGGGTGTGGTGTGCCTGCATTCTCCCTTCAGGGTCTCATAGGACTGAACTCAAAGCATCAGATGAGCAGTGTTGTTTTCTAGAGGACCAAGGGAAGATTCTGCAAGCTCATTTAAGTTGTTGGATGAATGAATTGTAGAGTGGAAGTCCCTACAGAACCACAAGGAAACTGAACTCTCCTTGTTGGCGGCCATCAATATTCCCTGCCATTTCTTACACCCCAGCAATTGAGTATCTCCCTCGCATCCACCCCTCTTAGATTCCAAATCTCTTGCACCAACAAGAGCCCGGGCCTTTCTAAAGGCTCACCCAATTAGGTCAGGCTCACCCAGGATAGTCTCTTTTCTTTACAGTCAACTTATTTGGGACCTTAACTACATCTGCAAAATCCCTTCATGGCAGCACCTCAATTCGTGTTTGACTGAACAGGTGGGAGAAGCCGTGTGTAAGCCAGGGGGACAAGCATCTTCGGCACCATCTTAGAAGTCCACCTACCACAGTGGTTTAGCCTTGGTTCACAGGCCTCATTGTCTTCTTTATTCCAAAAGAGCAAGAAAGGTTCCCTTTCTTCTAATTATTTCAATATGCTAGAAAATGAAACTTATTTTGGAGCTGACAATCTATTCTGTGGCCAAATTGGCAAAATTTCAGAGACCAAATAAGATCTAGCCTACTCTGAAACCTGTTTGCACAGGGCCTGGTCTTAAAGTATCTTATCAGTTATTGCTATCATCAGAACAGCAGGGCACCTCCAGAGAATTCAGGCCCCATCCCAGACCTGCTCTTCCAGAATCTGCCTGTCAACAAGATTCCTGATCATTCATATGCACTTTCAAGGGTTTTTTGGGGGTTTTTTTCTTAATTTTTTATTATAGGTTATTGGGGAACAGGTGGTGTTTGGTTACATGAGTAAGTTCAATAGTGATTTGAGATTTTAGTGCACCCATCACCCAAGCAGTATACGCCGCACCCAATTTGTAGCCTTTTTTTTTTTTTTGAGACGGAGTCTCGCTCTGTCGCCCAGGCTGGAGTGCAGTGGTGCGATCTCAGCTCACTGCAAGCTCCGCCTCCCGGGTTCACGCCACTCTCCTGCCTCAGCCTCCCGAGTAGCTGGGACTACAGGCACCTGCCACCATGCCCAGCTAATTTTTTGTATTTTTAGAAGAGACGGGGTTTCACCGCATTAGCCAGGATGGTCTCGATCTCCTGACCTTGTGATCCGCCTGCCTCGGCCTCCCAAGGTGCTGGGATTACAGGCGTGAGCCACTGTGCCCGGCCCAATTTGTAGTCTTTTATCCCTCACTCCCTTCCCATTCTTTCCCCGAGTCCCTAAAGTCCATTGTGTCATTCTTGGGCCTTTGCATCCTCGTAGCTTAGCTCCCACTTATGAGTGAGAACATATGATGTTTGGTTTTCCATTCCTGAGTTACTTTGCTTAGAATAATAGTCTCCAACGTCATCCAGGTTGTTGCAAATGCCATTCATTCATTCATTTTATGGCTGAGTAGTATTCCATTGCATACATATACCACAGTTTCTCTATCCACCCATTGATCGATGGGCACTTGGGTTGGTTCCACGTTTTTGCAATTATGAATTGTGCCGCTATAAACATGCATGCCTGTGCACTTTCAGGTTTGAGGAGCATTGGTGTCAACCACATGCCCGAGGACCAGAAATAAGTCATTTTTCTCTGGAAAATGCACTGAAGACGTGGTGAAGATTAAACAGCATGTCACCCCCTCCTCCACACAACTCACATTCATCCCTGCCCAGGCCAAGCCTTGGTAATGGATTAGGTCTATCCTATATCTAGTGTTATGGTTTAAATGCATGCGTACCTTCAAAATTCATATGTTGGAACCTAACCCCCAAGGTAATGGTATTAAGAAGTGGGGTCCTTGGGAGATGATTAGGCCACGAGGGCTCCACTCTAATGGATGGGATTATGCCCTTCTAAAAGAGGCCTCAGAGAGCTGCCGCCCCCATTTTGCCCCTCTACCCTGTAAGGACACCAAGATGCTGCCATCTATAAGGAATAGGCTTTCACCAGACACTGAACCTGCTGACACCTTGATCTTGGACTTCTCAGTCTCCAGGACTGTGAGAAATAAACTTCTATTACCTATAAATTACCCAGTCTGTAGTATTTCTGTGGCCTAAACTAAGACATCTAGCCAAGCTAGAGGACTCTCTTAACTTAGGCAATATTTCCCTAAAATCATTCCCATGTCCTGTGTTGCAGGCCTGAAGCTGGTGACTGAGGTGAGGCAAGTGCAGAGCTGACCCAGTGGGCTGGTTAGGGACCTTCTCTGTGACCCGGCGTAATAAGCACTGCCCTCACAGGGTCATAGGTGAAGCAGCTGGCATGGAATCAGTGCCCAGAGCAGGGCAGAGAGAGAAAGGAGAGTATGACGAGGCCACCTGCTCACTGAATAACTTCTAACAGCTTTCCAAGTCATCTGAGGCTGGTGTTCAGCTCCTCTTTCCAGCACATCTTCTGCCCCAATTAATTCTGGGACCCACCATGTGTCCAGAGAAACGGGCACTCTGGGAAGCAGCCTCTGTCACTGGCCCCTTGGGCCTCTCATCATTACTCCACAGCTGTCTGCATCAGGAACCACAAGTCCATTATTGGGAGGCAGGATGCCTGCACTCTGGAAGCAGCCCTGGGTTCAAATCCTTTCTCACCGCTTTCCAGCCATGTGATAGTTTTGGCACAGTGCTGAAGCTCTCTGACTGATATTTTCCTTGGATACCTAATTCTCTTGGTTTGGCTTTCTCTGCCAGATGGTCATCACTGCCCAGGGCTAGGAGGGCCTTGGTTTTCAACTGCAGCCCCAACTTCTGGTGCTCACTGGGGTCACTCAGGTACACTGATTGATAGAGGAACACTCTCAAGGGTCTCAGATCAGCACTTAACAGTATCACTTCAGCTCACAGCGAATTGGCCAGGACTGGTCACACTCTCCACCCAGCCATGAGGAGCAGGAGGTGCCAGCTGCCACACTAGGAAGTGGAGACTGTCCAGTGAGCACTGCTTATAATTGATGGAGAATGTGAGGATGGTCTCAAGGCCTCCAAAACCCCCCTTTTGGCCTCCCACGTTCTCAAAGCATTCTGAGACGGCAGGACATGATCTGAGGTGCCCTGGAGCCCTCTCTCTAACAGCAGATTTTCTGATGGATAACGAGGGGGCAGGGGTGTGTGTGGACTCAGTTCTTGGGGTGAGCACAGACCGATCTCCAACTCCCCAGGCTCGCCCCAGCACCCGCGGAGCTGCGGGGCCTGTGTTGGCCCGCAGGTTTCCTATTCCATCATCCTGCAAGAAGATGGGGCTTCCCTAACAGAACCCAGACCTGTCACGCTGGTGAGGGGCTTCCCTGGGCCAAGAAGTCCCAGAGCCTGGCTGCTCGGTTTGTCATCTGTCAGAACACCAGCTCTGCTGCAGACTTTGAGGCTGGGCAGCCTGCTTTCTAGTCCCTTTTACTTCCCAGCAGAGTGACTGTGAGCAAGTCACATGACTTTAAAGTGACCAAAAGGTTCACTTGTTGGTCCTCAGTTTCATGAAAGGGCCTTAACAGCATCTCCCTCATAGGGCAGTAGGGAGGGTTCAAAGCCTCAGAGGATTGAAAGAGTCAGAAGACTGAACAGTTGGGGGACTAAATGCACCACGTTTGCTATGGAAACTCTCATCCTAAGAACTCTTGCTGTCACACCTCGGGGAGTGATAGATTGGGATGCAGTTTTTTGGGTGGAGCCAGTATTCCTCCCTGTCCAAACTCTCACTCCCTGTTCTGCATGGGAAACGGAGCAGGCTTGCATTGTGTGCTGCCTGTGTCTGTGAAGTGCTCTGAACCCTGCCTGGCCCCGAGCGTACGCAGCTGTTACTAACTAGTGAGAGAGCTTCCAAAGCACATCCGCCGCTGATGGAGGCACAACAAGGACCTGTTGGTTACTTTTTTTTTTTTTCCCCCAAGTGAGGAACCAGCTTTCGAGTTCTTTCTTATTCTCCAGGGTTCCTATCACTGTGATGTGTACATAAGGGGCAGCTCTGAACTTTTATTTTACAAACAAACTTCCTGACATGGGCCGGTTTGGATTCTTAACTGGGGCTCCTATCATGGATGGAACTGAGTTTGGGATGGTAAGTGCTGTATGCCTCCCAGCTTCGCTCCAAGCCCCGGCTGGGGACACCAGCAACAGCTGGACATCCCAGCCTGGCTGAGGACAGGCCCACCTGACCCCATCACACTCAGGTCCCAGCTATGGATCCAAGAGCCTCCAAGTTCTGCCACCCAGCAAAGGCGCCTGAGTGATTTCCCATGCTGTGGCTCAAGCCCATGGCAATCCAGTGGGGCATGTCCCACCAGAAGCTGTGCCCAGGAGCCTGATGACCACAGACAGTAGACAAAGGGTGCAGAAGACAGAATTTTGCCTTTTGTCCCCATGGTAATTGGGGCTCCTTGTAAAGCTTGTGATACTCCACACCCCATATTTAGTAATTGGCAATGTTTATGCAAGTCATGCTCCAGTACCTTTGCTACAGTGAAGACCAGAGGGCCTTCTAAAGAACCAATTTTTTAGAGAGTATTTTTAATGGTGGTTGTTTTGGTCATTTCAAGCAATATAGGGGAAAAAAATTACCTGTCCAGAAAAACCATTGTAACATGTTGTGATTCAAAGGGCTAATTTTGGATGACCCTCAGAAGTTTCTGGACTTTTACAATGGTCAGGTGTTCTCAGTGGGAAAGAGAGAAGCACCTCTTTAGCAAACAGAGATGATGGCAGGTACAGTCTGCTTTCTGATGCTCTACAAAATGTTTCATTCATGCAAGTGGGTTTTCTCAGGGCAGGGGTGGGAGGAGGCCCCCTCGGAGAAACTTCGAAAATCAGTAGGGCCTTTTCTGTCATCACCATGACAGGGAAGGGACACTGACAGAATTTGGCAGATGCAGTAAGAAATCCAGAACAATCCCTGACAACAAAGAATCATCCCACATCCCAAATGATTTTCAAACATCCTTGTTGACAGCCTCATGGGTAAAAATCTATTAATTACCTGAGCCTGGAACCTAATTCCATTTTATATGTAAACATTGTACGGGGTGTTTTTTACATGGCTTAAAATACACTGAATTTCCCAGGAATGCAACCATTGTACCCATCAAGAGAAGTCTGTATTTTGATTGGTTTGGAACTTTTCTACGAGCCGTTCTCCAGGCTGGACAATCTGATTACAAACAGCATTGCTTTCCAAGTATTTCAGTTGCCAGCACCACACCCCAGCTCCAGTCTGCATTTGTCAGTGACAGTGATTCTACGCTTAGGAGAAAGTCAGTGTGCAGACATCATTCAAAGAATCCTCTCACCAGCCGGGCACACTGTCAAGGGGCTTCTTGGGGTAGTGACTTAGAGACCTAAGTGAGGAAAAGAAAGCTGAAATATTTATCCTAGGTTCTCCAACACTTGAATGTATACCACTGACACAGAGCATAATTGCATCTAAGAGAAAAAAAGTCCATAATATAAAAGTCCCCTTTTGGGACAGGATGATTTGCGTAATCAGCATTCAGGTCATATGGCCTCCAAATCTACTCCAAGATTCTGTCTCCCACACTAAGAAGGACCTAGGCTCAACAAGAGACCTCCCTGGGCCTGAATATCCTTGCAGCTTACAGCTTTGCCATTCTCAGCAACTTCCCTACCTGGCTAAGGTCAAACACTACACCCATAGCCCAGTGACAGAGCCTGGATTTGGCAGCAACCAGTATACCCCTAGTTCTTCTCTCACCTACTGGGTAGAAGCCCCACTGCCCAGTACAGGAGTCAATGGGCCCAGATTCAAGTCTCAGTTCTCCCTTTGCCAGCCAGGTGGCCCCAAACTGAGTCCTCACACTTAGCTTCCATTTCCTGAGAGAACAGCAGTATCTTCCCCATAGGATTCGGTTAGGAGCTGCATGGGGTAAAGCAGTGGTCCCGGGGTCAATGTTAAGAGAAAGAGGTCTCTCCCTTACCAATGATGACCATCCCACTGCTGTGATGTCTGAATTCCACTGTCTTACAGTAGGTTTGGTGTAGCTCTGAGCTCAGGGGCAAGGTGAACCCCTTCCTTTACCTTCTATTCCAAATAACATCTCATCTTGAGGGTCCCTGGTCCAACTTAGAGGCATCCTAACACCCTGCTGGGGTAACACTGGAAGATTTGGCAAGCTTGTCACCCTCACAGTTTCACAAGTATGTGACTCCTCCCTGGGATTCTGCAGCGCTTGCCTGTCCTCAAATCTTCGTTTATAACATTCTCCCACCATGACACTGAGCTCTGCAAGAGAAGGGGCTAAGTCTCGTTACCTTCTGTCTTCCCAGAGCCATCTACACAGTAGGTGTTTAACAAGTGTTGGTTGGATGAATGGATGGTTGAATGGACAGACAGATGAAGGGATGGATAAATGGTAGATGGATGGACAAACAGTGAATAGTTAGATGGATGGACGGATGGATGGATGGATCGATGGACAGATGGATGGATGGATGGATGGATGGATGGATGGATGGATGGATGGACAGATGGACAGATGAATGGATGGATGGATGGTTGGTCGCTAGCTGCAAATACAGCCCAGGTGGGAAGCTACATGCAGGTGAGCATGGTTTCAAAGTGGCTCTCTCTGTTCCCAGGGAAAGAAAGCATCTCTCCTCTCCTGCCTGAGGCCCCCTCTCCCAGGCTCTCCAAAGCAGCTGAGCCAGGAGAAGCTGGTGGTAGTTTGGGTTCATCACAACATCTCAAATCATTTTTCAAACTCTTGGCCCAGCCCCTCAAACTCTTTGCCAAGCACTTTTGTCTTCGGTTTATACACTCTGGGGAAATGTTATCTGAATGTTTCCAATTCATTTATGCTCAGCTCATCAAAATGCCATTTTATAAGAGCTGTCTAAACTCCAAAAGGTCTGGGAAACTTTCCCTTCCTATATTTATATGTGGAGAGCAGCCTGGTTTCTCCTGTTAAATGGAGGCCCTGCTGTGCCACCAGGCCCCACTCACTCTGCTTGCGCCTGGCTGCCCCATGACAACCTGGGGTAACTAAAGCACAGACACAACTCAGGCCATTTCAGGGCAGGAGGGCAGACTGGACACCACCCAGTCCACCTCACCTCCACACCCAACAAAGTCCTCTTGGACCCAGGGAGGAGACTAGGATGCCCAGTGCAAACGTTTTCAGAAAGAATCCTCCTGAGGTCACTGTCCTTAAGCACAAGTGAAGAGCTCAGAATTCTCAGGATCTTCAGGTAAGGAGGGACACACTCACCACATAGAGGCTTAGGGAGTCTCAGCTTCCTCATCCATTTCTTGCTGACAGGGCTTATGAGGTTTTAAACTAGAGAGTACCCTTCAAGCACCCAAAGCCCTGCCAGAGCCAGAGTCCCCTTAAAGAGAGGTCAGGAAGTGCTGGTGGGGGCTGCCTCCTCACCACCTTCAGCTCATTCTGCAGTGCAACCTGGAGTCAGAAAGAGAGTAAATCAACAACACCTACTCTAGCACCCCCTCTCAGCTACTTAGGCTGTTGGCCTCCACCTTCATCCACTCCCGTCTGCAACTCCCTAAAGTGGAGATGGCTTCCTCACCCCACTCACTTCTCCTAAGCCCAGTTCAAGCTTCTCCTGCTGGAGGGTGGAGGAAGAACACCAGAAATCAGAACAAAGCAAAAATCAATAAAACTGAAAACAGAAAAATTAATACAGAAAATCAGTGAAACAAAAAGCTGGTTCTTTGAAAAGATCAATGAAATTGACAAATCTCAAGCAAGAAAAAAGAAAGGGAAAACACAAATCACCAACATCACAAATGAAATCGGAGATAAAGCCATAGCTATTGTAAACACTGCACAGATAATAAAGAAATACTACAAACAACACTACATGCATAAATTTGACAACTTCAGTGAAATAACCCAATTCCTTGAAAAGTACCAACTACCACAACTCACCAAGATGAAATAGAGACTATCAATAGCCCTGAAACTAATAAATAACTAATAATTTTTAAACTGTCTTAAAAAAACTCCAGGCCTAGATGGTTTCACAGAAGGAAATTCTAACAAATATGTTTAAAACACCAATTTTATGCAATTTCTTCCAGAAAATAAAAGAAAGGAATACTTCTCAATTTATTTTATGAATCTAGTATCACCTGATAATAAAACCAAAGACAGTACAAAAAAAACTTAGAAACCAATACCTTTCATTAAGTATAGATGCTAAAATTCTTAACAAAATATTAATAAATAAAATTTAGTAATATATAAAAAGAATTATACCACATGACCAAGTGGGGTTTATTTCAGGGGTGCAAGGTTGGTGCAATACTTGAAAGTCAATCAATGTAATTCACCATCAACAGGAGAAAGAACACAAATCACATGATCATATCAACTGATGTGGAGAAAACATTTGACAGAATTCAATACCCATTCATGACAAAATCTCTCAGAAAACTAGGAATAGATGAGAATATCAACTTGATAAACAACATCCACAAAAACGATGGCTAACACCAAACTTGATGAAAGTGAATGTTTTCCACCTAAGAACAAGGTAAGGATGTCTGCTGTCATGCTATTATCAACTTAGTACTGAAAGTTTTAGTAGCACCATAGGCAAAAAAAAAAAAGTAAATAAAAGGAAAAGGCGTACAGATCAGAAAGAAAAAAAGTAAAGCGTTGCTCTTTGCAGATGACATGATGATGTCCATGGAAAACGCTATGAAATCTACCAAAAAATTAAAACTCCTAGATCCAAAAAATAGTGATGAAAGAAATCAAAGAACTAAACAAATAGATATACTATGTTCATGAATTGTAATAAACAACATAGTAAAGTTGCCAATTCTCCCAGATAGATGTACAGGTTTAAATAATTTCTATTGAAATCCTAGAAAGATATTTTTAAATATAAATAAGGTTATTCTACGACTTATATGGAAAATCAAATAAACTAGAATAGCTAAAACAATTTCAAAAAATAAAATGGGAGGAGTCCCTTGGCCCAATTTTAAGAGTTATTGTATAGTTCAGTAATGAAGACTGTGTGATATTGGCAGGAAAATAAATGCACAGACCAATGAAACAGAAGAGAAAGCCAACTGATTTTTGATAATGGTTCAAAAGCAATTCTATGGAAGAAGAGTAGTCTTTTCAATAAATGATGCTGGAGTAAGGGGATGTTCAATGGCAAAAGGAAGGAAGGAAGAGGGAAGGAAGGAAGGAAGGAAGGAAAGAAGGAAGGAAGGAAAATTTTTTACTTACACCTCATTTTTTACACAAAAATTAACTCAAAAAGAGATCATATATTTGAATATAAAATGTAAACTATGGGCCAGGCATGGTGGCTCATGCCTGTAATCCCAGCACTTTGGGAGGCTGAGGTAGGTGGATTCCCTGAGGTCAGGAGTTCAAGACCAGCCTGGCCAACATGGCAACACCCCATCTCTACTAAAAATACAAAAATTAGCCAGGTGTGATGGTGTGTGACTGTAGTCCCAGCTACTCTACTCAGGAGGCTGAGGCAGGAAAATTGCTTGAACTCGAGAGCCAGAGGTTGCAGTGAGCAGAGATCGTGCCACTGCACTCCAACCTGGGTAACAGAGCGAGACTCCATCTCAAAAAAATAAATAAATAAAAAATAAAATAAAATAAATAAAATGTAAATTATGAAACCTTTAGAAGAATACCTGGGGGAGATCTTCAGAACACAGGGCTTGGTAAACAGTCCTTAAACTTGATACCAAAGCATAACCCATAAAGGAAAATAAATGACAAATCAGACTTTATCAAAGTTAAAGCTATTGCTCTGTGAAAGACCTTGGTAAAAAGATGAAAAGACAAACCACAGTCTATGTATTAGTGCTCCGTTGCTTCCATAACAAATTACCACAAATTTGGCAGCTTGAAACACCCATTTATTATCTCACATTTCTGTAAGTCAGAAATCTGGCAGGCTCAACTGGTTTCTTTGTTCCTAATCTCCCATAGCAGGAAGGTTGTGTGCCTTTCTGGGGGCTCTGGTGATTAATACACTTTCAGGCTTATTCTGGTTGTTGGCAGAGTTCAGTTCCACGCAGTCATAGGATTGAGGTTCCCATTTTCCTACTGGCTGGCAGCCCAGGTTTATTCTGAGCTTCTAGGCTCTTCCCGCATTCCTTGGCTCCTGCCTTACTTCCTCCATCTTGAAGTCATCAGTGGTGGGTTGAGTCCTTTCTCACTCTTGGAATTACTCTGACCTCCTCTTCTGCCTCATCTCTTCTGTTTTCCTCATTCAGATAATTCAAGAAAATCTTCCTATTTTGAAGTCAGCTGCTTAGTAACCTTAATTGCATCTGAAAATCCCTCACAGCAGTAGATCCGTGTTTGACTGAATAGGGGATAAGGTTCTTGGGGAACATTTAAAAGTTAATCCTATCACAGACTTGGAGAAATAATTTGCAAACCATATTTGTGACAAAGAGCTTATATCTAAAATATATTTTTTAACTCTTGAAAAACAGGAAAAAATTCAATTAAAAAATGGGCAAAGAGTTGACTGCAGGACAGTTTACAAATGCCAAATAAGCACACGAAAACATGTTCCGCATTACAAGTTGATATAGTTTAGATATTTGTACCCTCGAAATCTCATGTTGAAATGCAATTCCTGATGGAGGTAGGGCCTGGTGGGAGGTTTTGGGTCATGGTGGCAGATCCCTCATAAACGGCTGGGTGATGGGTGAGTTCTTGCTCTGTGAGTTCACACAACAGCTGGTTGTTTAAAAGAGCCTGGCATCTCTCTTGCTTCCTCTCTTGCCATGTGACACACTAGCTCCCTTTTCACTTTCTGCCACGGCTAAAAGCTTCCTAAAGCCTCACCAGAAGAAAATGCCGCACCATACCTCCTGTACAGCCTGCAGAACTGTGAGCCAAAATAAACCTCTTTTCTTTACAAATTACCCATCCTCAGGTAGTCCTTTATAGCAATGCAAACTAACTAACACACAAGCCATCAGGGAAATGCACATTAAAACCAATGATGATGTGATATCACGACGTACCTATTAGAACCTCTAAAATAAAAGTAGTAACAATGGCAAATGCTGATAAAGATGTGGAGAAACTGGGTCTCTCCCACATTGCCAGTAGGAACATAAAAATCTACAGCCACTCTGGGGAATAGTTTGGCAGTTTCTTAAAAAGCTAAACATACCCTTACCTTATAACACAGTAATTGCAATTCTGGGTATTTATCCCAGAGAAATAAAAACTTATGTCTGCACAAAAACCTTTATACAAATATTCATTGTTACTTTATTTATAATAATAGCCAAAAACTGGAAACAACCAAAATATCCTTCAATGAGTGAATAGTTGAGCAAACTGTAGTATATCCATGCCATGGATGTATTAGTCAGGGTTCTCTAGAGAAACAGAACCAATAGGTGTGCATCTGCATGCATGTGCGAGCGTGTGTGTGTGTGTGTAAAGAGAGAGAGAGATTTATTTTAAGAATTGCCTCACATGATTATGGAGGCTGGCAAGCCCAAAATCTGCAAGGTAGGCTGCCAGGCTGGAATGAGTTGAGGTTGCAGCTCAAGTCTCAAAGCAGTCAGCTGGCAGAATTCCCTCTTCCTTGGGTAACATCAGTCTTTGTTCTATTAAGGCCTTCAAATGATTGGATGAGGCCCACCCACATTATAGAGAATAGTCTGCTTTACTCAAAGTCTACCGATGTAAATGTTAATCTCATCTTAAAAATACTTTCACAGAGACCGGGCGCAGTGGCTCACGCCTGTAATCCCAGCACTTTGGGAGGCCGATGTGGGTGGATCACGAGGTCAGGAGATTAAGACCATCCTGACTAAAGTGGTGAAACCCCGTCTCTATTAAAAAATACAAAAAATTAGGCAGGCGTGGGCTGGGCACGGTGGCTGACGCCTGTAATTCCAGCACTTTGGGAGGCCGAGGTGGGCGGATCACAAGGTCAGGAGATCAAGACCATCCTAACACGGTGAAACCCCGTCTCTACTAAAAATACAAAAAATTAGCCTGGCGCAGTGGCGGGCGCGTGTAGTCCCAGCTACCTCAGGAAGCTGAGGCAGGAGAATGGTGTGAACCCCGGAGGCAGAGCTTGCAATGAGCCGAGATTGCGCCACTGCACTCCAGCCTGGGCAACAGAGCGAGACTCTGTCTCAAAAAAAAAAAAAAAAATACTTTCACAGAAACATCCAGAATAACGCATGACCAAATATCTGGGTACCATGACCTAGCCAAGTTGGCACATAAAATTAATGACCACCATGGCGTACTACTCAGCAACAAAAAAGAATGGACTATTGATATATGCCACAACTTGGATGGGTCTCTAGGGAATCCTGCTGAGTGAAAAAAAACAAAAAAACAAAAAACCCAGTCTCCAGCTGGGCATGGTGGCTCACACCTGTAATTCAAGCACTTTGGGAGGCCAAGGCCGGCAGATCACTTGAGGCCAGGAGTTTGAGACCAGCCTGGCCAACATGATGAAACCCCATCTCTACTGAAAATACTATATAAAAATTAGCCAAGAGTGGTGGCACATGCCTGTAATCCCAGCTACTTGAGAGACTGAGGCACGAGAGTTGCTTTAACCCAGGAGGCAGAGGTTGCAGTGAGTCAAGATCACGCCACTGCACTCCAGCCTGGGCAACAGAGCCAGACTCTGTCTCAAATAAATAAATTAATTAAATAAAATCCAGCCTCAAAAGGTCATATATTGTGTGATTCCATTTATATAACATTTCTAAAATATAGACACGGAGAACAGATTAGTGGTTACGGGGGTTGGGGACGATGGGGGCGGAGGGGGTGTGACTGCGGAGGGGAAGCGCAGTGTCCCTTTGTGGCGACGAATCAGTTCTGTGTCCTGATTGTGGTAGTGGTTTCAGTGCTCTCCACATGTAATAAAATGTCATAAAACTATACACACACAATATACCAATGCCAGGTTCCTGGTTTGGGTACTGTACTATAATTATATAAGATATAACCAATGGGGGAACCTGGGTGGAGGGTACCCAGGACCTCTCTGTACTATGTTTACAACTTCATATGAGTCTATAATTATTTCAAAGTAAAAATTTAAAAAAACAAGAAGATACATAGCAGAGAGTCAATATACACATTTTCAACAATAAACATGTAGACCTCCTGAAAAAAACAAGCTTTTTTTTTTCCTTTTCCTCTTAACAAGGATGTGCACAACTTTTCCCTTGGAAGGAACTTAGACACACACCAATTAACCCCGTGATGCCTGTCAGTAATGTTGGAGGAAGAGAGACAGGGCCTCTCAGGTGCAAGAATTAGGATGTCCCCAGCCTGAATGCCAAGAAACTCCTGTGGCAGCCAAGCCCCCAGGGTGTCAGACCCCTGAAGGGAAGTCTGAGCTCCTCTTTCTTTCCTTAAGTGATCCTGGGAGAGGTCACAGGGCAGCAGGGCCGGGAAAATGGCACGTGGAAAGCGGTCACTTCAGAACCAGAAGGTGTTCTTTTCCATCTCATCACCTTCTTAAGACAAACCACTTTCCCTCCTTTTCAGTTCTATCTGAACCAACAGCTACAAATAAATAAACACCACTGTTTGCAAAGGCCACAGAGATTAATATTATTATTAATATTAATAGTATTAATGGAGTCTAATCATAGTAAATACATAGAGATGAAAGATCTTTCCCAAAGCAAGTTATTGATAACTATTAGGGTTGACAACTGAAAGATACATTTGCAATTTATTTTTGAAGCCACATAGATTCATTTCAGCCGACCCTCTAGTTATGGGACTAGACCACATTCAAGTTGCCTTTCAAATAGTACTGTAAAATTAAAATTTAAAAAGCATGTAGACGTGACTTTAAGGGACACTCAAGGAACTACCAAACAAGAGCTCGGCAGCCAACACCCTTTAGTGAAAAGGGTAGGACAGTTTGGGGTTGGCACCTGGGAAAATGGTCCACATGATGACCTTTGCAGGGGTGCTGCCCTGTCCTGTTCCCAGCAGCCTCGCCCCCTTTCTTGCCCGGCTCGCTCCTCCTCCTCCTCTGACCCTGTCAGTCAGGCGTTAACTGACCTTCCCAGGGCTGGGCACCTTCTATAGGAGCTTCCTCCCCTTCTCCCCGTCCATGGGAATGAGTCAGCAGGGTTTGGTTGGCTCCACTTCCTGCCTGTGGTTATTATAGCTGACTCATCAGACCATCCTGGGTACACAGTTCAGAGTCTTGATGCAATTCACTTCACGTTAGATCATATTTCTCTCCGTCATTAAATATTCTTGGAAAACATGATTTTCAATGGCTGCAAATATTGCCAGGACCATCTGCTTGCTGAATGCTGGTGTGCGAGCTGGCAGAACCTCCATGTGCTCCAGGTCTCTGATCCATACGTGGAGAACGCACACCCACATGTGGCCATTTGCTGGTATTCCGTCACTCACTAAGTCCCCAGCAGAGCTACTGCTCTGAGTCTAAGCATCTAAGTATCAAAACATGATACACACACACACACACACACACACACACACAGCCCTAAAACAAATGTTACTGTGATCCTGAAGCCACTTGTTTAAAGAAGTTTACTTTCTTTTCCACCTGAACAGTGATAGACAGCCAGTGTGCAAGTTCAAGGAGATAATATTAAAGAATTATTGGATCATAGATGTTTTGAAATAATTATGCTCACCACACATAAGATTCATTCAATAGGCATTACATGCCCAAAACACATAACAATCTAAAGGCTTTAAAATAAGGCAGTTTAGGCCAGGTGAGGTGGCTCACACCTGTAATCCCAGCACTTTGGGAGTCCGAGGTGGGTGGATCACAAGGTCAGGAGATCAAGACCATCCTGGCTAATATGGTGCCTGTAGTCCCAGCTACTTGGGAGGCTGAGGCAGGAGAATTGCTTGAACTTGGGAGGCGGAAGTTGCAGTGAGCTGAGATTGCGCCACTGTACTCCAGCCTGGGTGACAGAGCAAGACTACATCTCAAAATAATAATAATAATAATAATAAATAAAAAAATAAACAGAATAAGTCAGTTTTCTACCTATCTGAATAGATACTGTAATGTTAAAATTATCACCACAAAGTTCCTCACCTTTTAGGAACTCGAGCTGGTAAGGGTGAGGTGGACTTTTATAAACCCTCAGGACAGTGGCTGGGCGGAGACTTTCTTCACACAGTCCATCTTCTGGACTAAAGAAGAGAGGCCGGGCGCGGTGGCTCACGCCTGTAATCCCAGCACTTTGGGAGGCCAAGGCAGGTGGATCACCTGAGGTCAAGAGTTCAAGACCAGCCTGACCAACATGGTGAAACCCCATCTCTACTAAAAATACAAAAAAGTTAGCTGGCCATGGTGGTGGACACCTGTAGTCCCAGCTACTTGGGAGACGGAGGCAGAAGAATGGCGTGAACCCAGGAGGCAGAGGTTGCAGTGAGCAGAGATCAAGCCACTGCACTCCAGCCTGGGCGACAGAGTAAGACTCCATCTCAAAAAAAAAAAAAAAAAAAAAAGGAGAAGAAGAGAAAGGACACACTATTCCTCCTAGAGCATGCATTAATGATTATGAGAAAGCCAGACAAGAATAATAATATTCTTGTTTGTTAAGCATGTACTAGGTCCCAGGCACTACACAAAGCACTTTTACAGAAAGCTATCATCCCCGCTTTGTGGTAGTATTTTTGGCCCAAAATGGCAAGGAAATAGCTACTTCACTGCATAATGCAAGAGCTCAGATTCAAGAGTACAGAAGAGCCCGTGGAGCTGGCCAACCACATGGAGGTGCCCAAGCCCCCTGCCCTCCATGTGGGTGTTTCCTGGTCAAAGGCATGAGAAATCTGCAACTGTTTCCATTACTGGTTGTTCATGGGAGCTTTCCTGCCAGGTTTTGCTTTATTTATTTATTTATTTTGAGATGGAGTCTTACTCTGTTGCCCAGACTGGAGTGCAGTGGTGTGATCTTGGCTCACTGCAACCTCTGCCACCCGGGTTCAAGGCATTCTCCCACCTCAGCCTCCCGAGTAGGTGGGATTACGGGTGCCTGCCACGATGCCTGGCTAATTTTTGTATTTTCAGCAGAGACAGGGTTTCACCATGTTGGCCAGGCTGGTCTCAAACTCCTGACCTCAAGTGATCTGCACACCTCAGCCTCCTAAAGTGCTGGGATTACAGGTGTAAGCCACCGCACCTGGCCTAGGTTTTGCCCTTCTCAACCATGTGTCTACCAGTAAGCCTGGGCAGATGAAAGAGGAAGCATTACAGTTTCCTTCTCCCTGACTGGTCTATGGCAGATTGTGTTTCCAAAGGTAGCCTCAGAATACCTCCCATCCCACATGCTATTCTAGAAACTCATCTTCCTCCACCAAGAGCTAGAATCTAATTCCCTATGTCTTGAATCTGGAAAGGTTTGGGACTTGCCTGCAACCAAAAGAATGTAGCCAGTGTTTCACATGACTTCCAAGGTTGGGTCATAAAATGAGATGCAGTCTCCACCTTGGTATTTGCAATCTTGAGCCCCAAGTAAGAAATCTGACACCCACTCCTGCCCTGAGGCTACAGTGCTGAGAGAAGGCCCAGGCCACACGCAGGTGTGCTGGCAGCCTGCTCCAACCGAAGTCCCAGCTGATAACTGGCATGAAGTGCCATAAGTGCAAGGGAGCCTTGGAGGACTCCAGGCCTCAGCCTTTGCACCTCACCTGACACTTTGCGCCTCACCAGCTGAGGTCCTGGACACCATGGAGCAGAGACTGGCCAATGAGATCAGTGCAACTCGTAAAATGTGACTGCAATAAGGACATGGATGATACTCATGAATGAGTGGAGACACTTCTAAGAGTATTTCTGATTAGCCAGAGCTCAAGAAAACTTACATTTCCCTGAAATCTTACAACTCATGTGAGAGAACACTTGATGAACATAAGGACTAGATAACCCCAAACTTGGAAAGCTCACCGCTCTGTGGAAAAGCTGGATTCTAGAACTTGGTTGGTCCCAGAGGGCGAACTGGAGGCTCCTAGCATCACCCTCAAGTCTTGGGCTCGGAACTGCCAAAGGGGAGAATTGAGTCTGCCAAGTCCCGTTTGGAAGGTTACGCCCCGGCCCAAAGGTCCAGCAGACGGCAGGCAAGAAATGGGCTGTCAAAAGAGACTGGTTCTGCCACAGATGTCCTTTTCCCTCAGAAAGAAAACAGAGAAGGGCCCTGGCACTTCTTCCCGGTGGTGAGATGCGTGGTGGGTGAGAGAGAAGAGAGGAGGAGAGAGAGAGAGAGAGGGAGAGAGTTCATGACAGCAACATGGTGGCCATGGTCGCTCATAAGTTGAGCCAACATGCATCAGGCCCTCAACAGTCTCTCTGGTCAGACAAAACACAGCACCTCCCTGGGGGCAAGTCAGAAAATTGGGTGCAGAAAAACAAAGTGTTCAGCCCAACACTGCCCCTCCGTGGTAGGGGAGAGGAAATTCCCTTCACAGGAACTGAGAACAAGGAAAGACAATTCCCCACCCACACCAGATGAAAGGTGCGGTCGGTCCACCTTCTCTCCCAGGCCCTTGTGTTAGAGCAGTTTTCACAGCTCCCTCTCTGTGTGAGCACAAAGGAAGGGAGGCCCCAAGAATGAAGAACCCCTCCCACGTGTCCACAGCTGGTGGACTCCTGATGGCTGCGGGGAGAGACACTCAGCTTCAGCCCACGACTTCTCGCTCCCTCCGGAAGGCAGACTTGGAGGACAGGCCAGGCCAGGCTCCCCTCCCCGGACCACATGCATCTTCGCACAGAGCGAGATCATGTTCTGGTGAAGTGCGGACTGTGGAGGAAGGAAAGGTCAGGGTCATTCGATGTTGGGAGAGAGAAAAAGGGACTCAGTGTCCATCTCCAGGAAGTGAGAGGACAATGGAGCACAGGCAGTAAAGCATGGTCCTGGTTTCCAAGGAAGTCGGTAAACAGAGGAGGAGGGGCACCAGACTGCTCTGTGGGGTCTCCCCTCCTCCTGATCTCTCTTCTAGGCACCAACCCGCCACACTTTGTGCCCAAGTCTGATAGATGGGAAGATCGACCTGGGCAGGTAAGTGGCAGACATGCTGGGGTGACTGTATTCCTGGAGCCACTGCCAGATGGATAAACAAAAACCAAGGACTGGATTTTAAACATAAAAGAGCTGGCAGGGCGCAGTGGCTCACACCTGTAATCCCAACACTTTGGGAGGCTGAGGTGAGCGAATTGCTTGAGCCCAGGAATTCGAGACCAGCCTGGGCAACATGGCAAGACCCTGTCTCTACAAAAAAATACAAAAATTCACCGGGTGTGGTGGTGCACATCTGTAGTCCCAGCTACTCGGGAGGCTGAGGTGGGAGGATCGCTTGAACCTGGGAGACCGAGGCTGCAGTGAGCTATGATCACACCACACTGCACTCTAGCCCAGGCCACAGAGTGAGACCCTGTCTCAAAAAAAAAAAAAGAAAGAAAGAAAGAGAAAAGAGTAAATGCTTCTCTTCTGTTGGTAGTTCCTGAATGCCCCTGTCATCCCCATCTCCACTTCCCTAAGAACCTTCAGGCTCCGGGAAGCTTGACAGCAGCTCCTGTCACGATGCCTCATTTCATCCACTACCAGCCACAGATACATCCCTGTGAACCTGGCACAGTTTCCTGTATACGGTAGGCACTCAATTCATGCTAGTCAAATCAACAAACCTTAGGAGTGGCCTGTGTGGATTTTAGGACCCTTGTCCCCCTCTAATCCTGGATTCTCATTGTCCCTGCACAGACAACAAATGCCTCCTAGGCATTCAGAGGCTGAGCAGAGCCAACTCTGCCTCGGTGAGTAGTGAGCGTGGCCAGCAGGGCAGACATCCACCAGCCATCCTCACTCAGGCCCTTGGAAGCCTGTGGGCTCCCGGCACCTTCCCTGTGCCAGGAGCCCTGAGCCCTGGGCTTCCCCAGCCAGACAATAAGCCACCCTTGTCTCTTCACCATGGGCCTCTGCAAAGCACAGGCACTCCCCAAGTGTGGGAATTGCAGAGATGGAAGGAGTCTCTCATTTGCCTCAAGGGCAGTTGCGACTGGCGTGCGGCCTGTCCTGATGAAGTTTCACCCTTCTGGCGAGGACATGCTGGTGAGGACATCAATTTAGCCACAAGCCAACTTGCTTGGTCATTTATGACAGCTGGCTTTGCCCAGATGGCTCAGGGCTCACCTGCAGCCACTGTTAGGGGACCTACAAGGCACCAGCTTCAACTTCCCTTCACACAGGCAATTCACACCTCAGGGAGGCCCAGGGAAGGGCCCACGAACACCCTATCTGATATACATAAGGAATCGGAGGTGAGGATGTCTCCTGAAGTGACGGGTGATGCACTCTCAGGCTTTCCACCCTGGACTGCCTCTTCTTCAAAAAGAATAAAACAGATTAATCCAACAGATGAACTGTCTGCTGGGATCTGGGCATGTCCACAGTACTGGGGACACAGCAAGATACAGAGCAAAGTCTGCCTGCAGCGACTGCACTCGCCCACCTTTGCAACTGGTGCCTCCTGGAGAGCAGTTGGTTGCAGTGAGGTGCTGACCACCTCCCTCAGAAATGACTTCAGCAACAATCACCCCGAGTGTCTGACTCACCGGCTGCTCTGGTTCTTCCCTGCCAGCCGCAGTGGCACAGCAAGGCAGCAAATCTTTGGAGCTCTCGGCCATACAGGACAGAGCACAAGTACCCCATGATTTCCAGGAATTCCCACAGCCTTGGGGTCTGGTTTGGTGAAAGGGGATGGGGAAGGCTATGCCCTGAGCAATCACTATTCGGCATTACAGTCACCTGTGCTCCAAGCTGCAGAATACAGCCCCACTCCTGTTTTTGTTTTTTCTTTTAAAAAACACTTTGTTTTTCTCCACCCAATTTTCTTTTTAAAAATTTTTTTAAAGAAATTAAAAAAAAAAAAAAAAAAGAGCAGGCTGGGCGTGGTGGCTCATGTCTGTAATCCCAGCACTTTGGGAGGCCAAGGCAGGAGGATCACTTGAGCCAAGGAGTCAGAGATCAGCCTGGGCAACATAGTGTGACCCCATCTCTACAAAAAACTGAAAAATTAGCCGGCACATGCCTGTCGTTTCAGCTACTTGGGAGGCTGAGGTGGGAGAATCGCTTGAGCCCAGGAAGTCAATGCGGCGGTAAGTTGCTGCGTTCGTGCCGCTGCACTCCAGCCTGGGTGACAAGAGCAAGAAACTGTCTCAAAAAAAAGAGAAAAAAAAGAGTTCCTGGTCTGTTTTTCTGGCAGATCCCAGCCATGTCCAGGCCCAAGGCCCAGGACTCAAACTGGTGCCTCCATTTCCTTTGATCCCTGTGCAGAATTGCACAGACTTGCTTTGAGCCAGATTCCCATTTCTGATAGTCTTTGCAGAAAGCCTGAAACTCATCCTTTAAGGCCTAAGGACTTGAGGGAAGCCTTCAGCACCTGCAGCTGGGGAGGCAGGAGTTCTTGTCAGTCTCTTGGTACTGGTAACGGGCAGTGCACACGTTGACGTTAATGAGACTTAAAAAGCTGCAGCATCTGGCTGCCTGGCCAGGTGGAAAGAAAACCCACAGCAGCATGTGGACGAAGGCACTGCCTCTATTTCCCTCCAGAAAGCAACACAACTCAGGTGAGAGCTGCCGGCTCACCTGGCTACACATACAAAAGCAAAGCCAAGATCCAAGCACACACGCTTATTCCAAGGTGGAAGTTCATCTCCAAAGCTGTGCAGGAGGGTGCTAGGGGCTGGCGCAGTAAGTAAGCAATTCAAATTAATGAATTGGCTGATTGACTCCAAGTTCGATTTAAATTCACAACAACCAGGTTCTGTATTTGTGCTCAGGGATGCCCCATCCCTCTCACGGGACTGGCTTCCGGCTTCTTCCAGGGTTTGCTCCTTATTCCAGTTAGGTATTCAGTGTCGCCAAGCCAGGGCAGCCTCGTGACTACAGTGAGTTGCTAACAGCAGGGCAGCACTGTTTCAAACAGACACCCAAACACCTGTTTTTCTTGTTAAGTAAAAACAAGTTAATAGTCACAGCAAAACCATGAAAGAAAACCACAAGTGACCTAAGGATTTCTGACTCACCCCCAGCCTGGGTACTTTGTGATATTCCACCAAAAGCATCAGCCACCTGCAGCTGCCCTGAGAACTGCTGATCAGCAGTCCTTTTGTCTCTCCAAGTCAGGGTAATTACCCATGTGTGCCCTGCCCCCAGATGGCTCTTGCCTTCAGAAAAAAAGAACAGAGAAAAAAAAACGAAAACCACCTTCCCTCTAAGCCCAAGTGACTAAGAAAAGCTGGCAGGGACCCTCCCTCAGACCATAATGGTGGGAAACCTCTTGCAAAACAGTTTTCTCTGCAAGATAAACTGTCTGTTCCCAGCAGCCAAGTGCCACACCCGAGAGAGGGTGAGAGGTTTCCTTTAAGAAGCCTCCAGAAAACATCATGAACAGTTGCTCCCCTATGCACTAGGAATAACTGTGAAGAGTTACACCCTAATAAAGATTTTTTTGTTCTTTTTTTATTTTAAGTGTAGCCTCCAGGATAGGCCCAGCATCTGCACTATTCTAGAAACCAGTGCTATGGAGCTCCAGCTCAGCCTAGACCTGGTAACCTCCTATGGGCAGAGGGACGGCCACACACCAGGCCCTGTCCCTGTTTGATCACTTACTGTCACAAGTCTAGCTGTCCAAGGGGGCGCAGGGACCTGTCAGGCCTCATAGCCATTCTAGAAGAGGTGGCCCACGTGAAAGTTGTCATGCTCTGTGTCACATAGCTCAGGTCTTGTGGTCCCACCTGGAAGGAACTGGGACTGGGCTGCAAGCCAAGGCTGCCTTCTATAGGCTGAACCATGCACAAGCGGCAGTAGGCTATGAGTTGCCTGTTCCCAAATGGTACCCACTAGGCTGCCTTGCCAGGGACTGGGACCCTCTGACCCCACCAGAGTCTCCTTCTCAGCAAGGGCAGGCGAGGGGACAGCCCCACTTCATCTGCCCGCAATACCCTTGTGCCTCCTGAGCCTCCATCCACCTGCAAGTGCTGTGCCCTGTGCCCGGCTGGGCTCCCTATGAGCCCAGGGAACACCTCTGCCCTCTAAACGACCGCCAGTGGGCACAGTGTTCAGGCCATGCTGCCAAGGCAGCAGCTAGGAATTCAGGAATTCAGAGAAGATGCGAAGGACAGAAATATGAAGGGACTGCTGGGGCACCAAGGTGAGGAGGGACAGGGTTGCCAAACCCCATGTGTAGGAGCCACTGTGCATCCTGCCCGTGGGACAAGCACCACCTGAAGACGCAAGAAGACCTCCCTCAGTTCGAGGGAAAATATCTCCCCCAAAGGCCCCCATACATACTGAAAATCTCTTATGATAATCACCCCTAGTGATTCTAGGTCACTGCCTCTGCTCCTGGATTGCTCAATCTGTGGGACGAGGCACATGGAAGGTAACATTCATTTAGCAACTCCCAAGCTTTTCTTTTTTTTTTTAGACCGAATCTTGCTCTGTCACCCAGGCTGGAATGCAGTGGCACAGTCTCGGCTCACTACAACCTCCACCTCCTGGGTTCAAGCGATTCTCCTGCCTCAGCCTCCCAAGTAGCTGGGATTACAGGCGTGTGCCACCATGCACAGCTAATTTTTGTATTTTAGTAGAGACAGGGTTTCACCATGTTGGCCAGGCTGGTCTTGAACTCCTGGCCTCAAGTGATCCACCCACCTCAGCCTCATAAAGTGCTGGGATGACAGGCGTGACCCACCGTGCCCAGCCCTCCTAAGTTTTTCAGTACACTTCCAATATCAACTTTTCCATCAGTGATTCCAACCACTCAAAAGGTGGACAGCCTGTAAGCCCATTTTATAGATGAAGGATGTGATGATGAGTGAGATTAAGTAATGTCTGCAGAGCCACCGAAGCCCAGATTCAACCCCACGGACATCAGCCACGACAGCCCATGGCTCTGTGGTGTCACACACCTGCAGCAGGACACTGTTTCTCACATTTCTACTGGCACCTGGCACCGGGCAGATGCCAGCCTGGGGGACAAGGCACCTGGAGCGTCTAATGCTTGACCTTCTGCCCTGGTCCTGGGCCCTCAGCTGTCTTGGGAAGAGGTGGCAATGGATGCCTGGTAGAGGTTTTGACCCCTGGAGGGTGCTCTTTGGACACCTCCTGGGGTGACATTCGTCACTTCATTTCATTTCAGCATCACGAACATTGGCTGAGCGTATGGCTGGCTCCAGGCATCGTGTTTTTAGCTAAGACCTTTCTACAAATCTTTTTTATGGTTATTTAAAGAAATAAACCTAAATTTGAGGATCATTATGTTCTGCTTCACTGGCACTCAGAATCTACTTCACCCAGGAGCTCAGAACTCAGCAGTTAGCAAGAAAAGTAGCCTCTGAACCCGAACAAAAGAGAAACATTACTGCAGAAAGCCAATACTTCCTCTCAGGACACCCTAAGGACTGCCTTCCCAGAGTCTGTGTACTTACAATTACGTGTAAAGTGACAATTTTGATGTTCTTCAGAGAGAGAGTCCAGCCTGACCTGAGCACGCTTGGAACCTGCTGGCTGTTAACTGGGTACAGAGAAAAGTCAGAAGAAACGTCAGGAATTCAGGAGTCCACACACCTGCTGGATGTTACTGCTCACCACAGCTTGGGTGATAGGCATTGGGTCATTATGGTTCCCATCAGATCTGACACAGGTGCATTCTCAACACTCATTCATTCCCTTCCTCCGTTGTGGCCTACGGCTCTGTAAGCAACAAGTCAAATCTCAACCTCTCTCTTCATCTCATAAATCACAGAAAGAATGTGCAATGAATAAATGGCCTCCTCTCACCTCCACAGCCCCCAGCTGAGGTTGCTGGCAGTTGCTGGCAGCCTCAGGCATGTGTCTTTGGAAGAACTATTCTGGAAAACAATTTGGCAATCTGGGTTTCAGGCCTTTATAATAAAGGAATTTATATCCCTCCACCTGGCAATAACCCTTCTGGCAAACCATGGGAAGGAAGGAGTCAGAAACTTGGACTTCTTTTTAAAGATGTTCATTGAAGCTTTATATATAGTTGTAAAAAAACTGGCAACAGTGCATCTGTCCCACAATATGGGAACAGTTAAATAATTATGGCACTGCTATAAGATGGAATCTATTGTAGCAACTTCAAGATGGTGTTTTTCAAGACTATTTAATGATGCAGAAACATAGTTATATGATGCAAAGTGGAAAGCTATAGTACAAAATTTATACACAACGAATTCCAAAACAACAATAAAATTACACATATATGTGTATATACAGAGAACTGGGAAGAAATACAACAAAATGTCAAAAGTGGGTATCTCTGGATGGTGAGATTATGTTTCATTTTTATCTTCTCTTTGCCCCTCTATTATTTTCTATATGTTGACTTTATAATTTTAAAAAGCTACTGAAAAGAAATTTCTACCAAAAATTATAAGAAAAAAATGTTCCATAATAAATGGTTCAAAGTTTGCGTTTTTAGAAAATGTTCTATGTGGAATTTTAGTTAAACATGGCTGTAAAAATCAACAGCTCTTGTCCTGGTCTGGCTTTGCTCTTGCAGAGCTGAGCCTGGTGCCCAGTGCCAGCCTCTGGTTCCTGTTCCCAAGAGCAAAATGGGGCAGGGACCAAGGGCGAACAACAAAGGATTGCAGTAATTCTGGAAACTCAAAACAAAATGTCTCAGCACACCTGACTTAGGACAGCGTCTTTTGAGATTATTTTTTTAAACACTGTAATAAATGGGTTGCAGGAAAGGGTTATATAATTACTCTGTTTACACTGAGAGATTTAAAACAAAGAAAAAGTGTCAGGTATAAGCCACAGGATACATAAAGTTACTGACAGTTCATCCTCCCGGTGTGGAGCTTGAAGAAAGCAACAGCTTCCATCTCACAGGACATCTCTGACCACCTGGAACACTGGTTGAGGCTTCTGAAGCCCCATGGCTGCAGCAGAGGGGGCCAGAGACTGGACAGCATGTCCCTGATGGAGCAGCAAAGAGTGTGCTCTCTAGTAAGAAGCCCAGCAGCACTGCCAACATGTCCCTTACATGGGTGCTTTTGACTCTATTTTGACTCTACATAATCATCTGCATGCCCCTAGAGCCCCCCCACCTGGCTTCTTCCACTTGCCCTTCACGTGTTTAGATAAGGAAATTGCTTCTCCAATGCAGGCCAAGGAATTTGGCCTTAGACTTACGCATGCCCCAAATATCCTGACAAAGCAGTGCAAGAAAGCCCCTGTTGCTGATACAGAAGCCCCCAGGAAGGGTGTTCTGCACCCTCACTCCTGAGCTTCTGGAAGTAAGGGACATTTCTTTCTGTGGTCAGCCTGGGAGTCAACCCAAATCCACGGGAAGGGGCAGCATTCCAGCCGGCCTGGAAGCGTCCATCTATGGAGTGAGCTAGGCCATCACAGCTCAGGGAATCCTGAGGGAGACTGCTTAGAACTCCTGCCACTGCCAGGATAACGTGAAGGACTCCCTCAGCCTCTTCTGCTCTGCGGGCTGCAGGGTCTATAAAATATGTCTCTGCCCACTGCCTTTCCAGACATGGGGCTTGAAGGCAACTAAACCAGATCATGAGTGAAGCCTTCGAAGAGTGAAAAAGCTATGTAAATACAAGGGATTTTCATATTTTGAAAAGCTTTTTTCAAGCCACAGAAACGAATAAGTCTCCAGATATAGTCATTGGTGACTCTTACAGGTGGATGTAAGAAAGACTCTTACAGGTGGATGGAAGAGGTGGATGCTTCCTGCTCCAAACTGAGGAAGGGAGGGAATAACAGGAGCCATTCTGCTCCCTCCCAATGCTGGCCACTTTGCTCAGCCAAGGCCGGCTCCTCTAAAAGCAGAACCAGGGTGCCAGGCACAGAGGAAGGGAGGGGGCTGGGAGTCAGCTGGGCTAATGACAGCGGCCCAGGGGAGAGGGGAGGGGAGGGCCAGGACCCTGGTGGCTGCTGGGACATGGCAGGTTCCACGACAGGGAAGGATGCAGACACACTGCCCTGTGTTTCTCACCCACAGGGAACTTGCAACAATTTCAGTTGCAAGTTTACAGCGAGGTTTGGTTTTGAACTGAAGCTCTTCTGGATGCCATGTTTTGGAAGCTGGTGGTAGGGCCGAGCTCTGCGACTCTGCTGCCTGAGGCTTTCCCTCCTAAAGCAGGCCTCAGCAGAGGCTGCTAAGGCCAAGGTCAACAACATGCGCTTTGCAGGCAAAATTTTTACATCACAAGGTTCGAGCACAGGAAGAACCCCTAGACCAATATTTCCCAAAATGTGTCCCCCCATCACCACAGAAAGGAGGTTTTGTGGTCAAAAAACAAGGGGAAAGTGCTTGCTGAACACCAAACAGTTTTCTTCCTGCAGGTATTTGCAGAGTCTTTAATATGCTAATGAACTTGTAATTGAGAGGACGTGGAAGACCAGCTTTTTCCAGACATAGTTGCCCATGGAACCTTCTTGGTGAGACACCCACTAGCATCTGGAACACAATTTACTGCTCTTGGTTTTAAAGAAAAAAGGAAAGTTAAGAGGTTAAGGGATTTGCCTGAGGTCACGTGACCTGTGTACCCAAGGTCAGAAGCAGTTCCAGACCAACGCCTACTCCCCTGCAGACTCACCTGTGCACAGGTGTCCTGCCGCCTCCAGGTAACCTCCCAATGAAACTGCCTTTGCAAAAATTACAACAGTGAGGAAATTATGACAGTGAAAGAGATCTGATTTAATCACCCCCATCTTGCTTTTAACCTCCAGAGTATCCTTGGTCATTCCTGGACCTGGGGCAAGCTAACTTTGGGAGAAATTTAGTTTATAGTTTCAATGATGATAGCCCTTCCCCAAAACTAACCACCTTTGTAAAACTGATGAGAGACCACAAAGTTAGGGGGATGAGAGGGGCTGAATTCTGCTAAGATGTAGGCATAAATGATTACCAAGTCCCACAGATAACATCACTCTTGTAGAGCCTAAGATCGGCCTTTTGGGATGTCCTTTCAGGATTTTGCATTTCTGATGACCGAGTGGCCCCACCCAGACCCATGACTCTTGGCTCAACTGCTCCTGAAGCTCCCACCCAGAAGTGAACTCACAGCATGAGAACCATTTTCCACACCTCTATGATTGCATCCCCAACTAATCAGCAGCACCCATTCCCCTAGCCCCTGCCCACCAAACTATCCTTAGCCCTAGCCTCCAAATTTTCAGGGAGACTGACTTGAGTAATAAAACTCCGGTCTCCTGTTCAGCTGGCTCTGTGTGTATTCAACTCTTTCTCTATTGCAATTCTTCTGTTCCTGATAAATTGGCTGTATCTGGGCAGGGGGCAAGGAGAACACACTGGGCAGTTACACCAACACCCCAACTACGCTCTCTTCAGTTAGACTGCCTTTCCATATCACCCCAAACTGAACATGATTGAAGGTCAATTTTGTAATGGAAACTGAGCCATTTGCCCCAGTGTTAAATGTACATATTGATCATGGATTGCTTGGAACTACTCGTGCCACAACTCACTTCAGCATTGATTTATGTGATGGTGAAATCTGTTGGGGAACTGGAAGAACAAGAGAATCTAACCAAAACAGTGGACTTAGGAAATCCCTGCAGAATCCCTGCTCGCTCCCATCTCGCAAAACCCTACATCAATCACACCGCCAGCTCGCAGCAAGACTCAGGTAGCCCCACAACTGGGGATGTGAGTGAAGGCCCTCCTGCTGCAGCCCAGGGCCGAGGGCAAGCCTCGGATGAGAGGGGTTTATTTAGCACCCTCAGAAGACAGCTGGTTAGTGTAAATGTGTTTTAGAAACTGGCCTGGGCATAATTAAAGTCTATGTGGCCTCTCCTCTCCTGATCTCTCATTTCTAGTATCCAGACCAGAAAATAAAGGGAGTCATGATCTTTTCTTGTTGGATAGAAATAAACTTCCAAGCTCCTTGTTGCTTCTGCAATGGTCCTCAAGCTGGAGATCACCAGCCACTGAGGTGAAGAACACAGGAGAAGGGGACACAGGGCCCATAGGATTTCTGGACTGAAATCAAGGACACAGCAACAGAAGAGAAGAGACAGAGCCAAGAAACACTGTCTCACCACCCAAGCTGCTCAGGTGTGACATGCACCATCAGAGTCCTTCACCCCTGCCATGGAGGCTGTGCAGGGGAAACCAGGATGTCCAGAGCATGCAGAGCCCTGCAGGTCCCCTTCAGCCATGAGCAGCCTCGTCCCACCAGCACCTCCCAGTATGAGTGGTGCAAATGTTATTCTCTGCATGGGCGGGGAGGTGAGGAAGGCCAGGGCACCCTTGCAGGAGGATGCTCTCCTGCCCCTCCCATGCTGGCTTAAGCACCCTTTCTCAATGCTGCCATGGATAGAGATCCCAAGCTGACTGCCCTCCAGCGGCCCTTATGGTGTCATTCACTGCATGCATGGCATGACTCGTGAGAGCTGCTGTAGCCTTCACTTCCCATATTCCCAGGACTTTGCACATTAATAGATGGTCAATAGAACTCTCACCAAACACTTGCCACAAGGCAGGCGCTGTTTATAACACAATCAAGTATTAGTATAAACATGTGAGGTAGGTGCTATTCTAATCCCCATTTTAAAGATATGGAAACTGAGGCATGGAGAATTTGTGTTACTTGCCCAGGGTCAGCCAGATATACGCAGGCCTCAAACCCTGGCAGTTTGGCTACTGGGCTGTGTTCTTGACCATGTGTCATTCTATCTCTTAAGAAATGTGTGTTGACCGCATGTTCTCACTCATAGGTGGGAATTGAACAATGAGAACACTTGGACACAGGGTGGGGAACATCACACACTGGGGCCTGTCGTGGGGTGGGGGAGTGGGGAGGGATAGCATTAGGAGATATACCTAATGTAAATGACGAGTTAACGGGTGCAGCGCACCAACATGGCACATGTATACATATGTAACAAACTGCAAGTTGTGCACATGTACCCTAGAACTTAAAGTATAATAATAATAATAAAAGAAATGTGTGTTGAATAATCAGTCAAGGCCATCAATCAAGGCTTGCTAGAGTACCTATTTCTTACATAATACTACGCTAAAAATGGGTCCCCTGGGTTGGGAAGGGAAACAGATGACAAAGCAAGAGCAAGAAATGACAAAGCAGGCTGGGCACGGTGGCTCACGCCTGTAATCCCAGCACTTTGTAAGGCCAAGGCAGGCAAATCACGAGGTCAGGAGTTCAAGACCGGCCTGGCCAACATGGTGAAACCCTGTCTCTACTAAAAATACAAAAAATTAGCTGGGCGTGGTGGCATGCACCTGTAATCCCAGCTACTCGGGAGGCTGAGGCAGGAGAATTGCTTGAACCCAGGAGGCGGAGGTTGCAGTGAGCCGAGACCGCGCCACTGCACTCCAGCCAGGGTGACAGTGCGAGACTCTGTCTCAAAAAAAAAAAAAAGAGAGAAAGAAAGAAATGACAAAGCAGTGTAGTCCTGGTCAGTCCCACAGCAGCAACGCCTATTACCATCCCACTCTTGTAACAACCTCCGTAAGCAGCACCTGATACAGGTGTAGAGAGAGCTAGCCAGAGGGACGCTGCAGCTGGCATGGGCAGCGGATGTCTCTAGGGGGCTGGATTGTAACTGACACTGACTTTCTTCCTTGCGCTTTTGTTTTGTTTGCATTATTTTAATTTACAGTGATTATGATTTGATTTTACAGAAACCTTTTGTAAAGGTCAGGGTTTAGTCCCTCTCCTCAGGGGTTCACCGGCAAGTTGGGGTGATGTGCCAGAAGCTAATGAAAAGGACCAGCGCCACACAGGAAGAAAGAAAGCCCTGTGGCCTGGTGGCTTGGGAAGGACGCAACAGGACAGGTAAGACCGGCTGGGAGCCAGGTGAGAGCAGGGCTTGCATGGGCAGAGGCTGGAGGTAGGACCACAACAGCTAAGCTCAAGAGGTTCTCTCGTGTTTCTAAAAGGTGAGTGCAATGGAACGCTAGTTTGGGTGTGGTATTATTGTTTTTCTTGAACTAAAAATATTCAAGAACAAAATGGTGCAAAATAGCATGTCCCTCACCATTTCTTCTCTCAACTGCTAGAAAACTGCACATCCAGAATGTTTCCTTGGAAGGTTCTGGTGTGGTGAAGTGGGTGAGGCCAGTGGAGAGAAGCAAGGCACACACACGACTTCCTCAAAACCAAAACACGGCAGAGGAGATTCTGGGAACGAAAACCACAAGTGAGTCAGGGCAGGGAGAAAACATGTGGACAAAGTCTTCATCCCACCCCTCACACTTGAAAAGAACTTTCCAGGAAAAGGAAAAGCTCACACCCTCACACCCCAGGTGAGTGGGCAGCCATCCAGGTCACATGAGTCCTAAATGATTCCTAACACGGCCCTCTGGCAGTGACCACTCACCCCATCCTGACCTCGGGCTGAAAAGGGCAAACTTCTCCCCAGAAGGAGCACGAGACTCGGGCCTGTTTCAATCAGGACTCTGAGATATCTGCTCCCCTGCACACTATGTGCAGAAGTGAAGGCCCAGCCAGCAATGTGCAGTTAGAGAAGTCATTGCTGAATGAATGAATGAGTGAATGAATGAATGAATGAATGCACCACTGTGGTTCATCTGCATCACTGTGAGTCACAAAGACATCTATTGATCCACTGGACTCACATCCCTAATGGCAAAAAATACACCTCAAAGTGTTTTTGGGTTTTTTTGGTTTTTTTGAGACAGGGTCTTTTGCTCTGTCACCCAGGCTGGAGTGCAGTGGTGCGATCTCGGATCTCGGCTCACTCAACCTCTACCTCCCAAGTTCAAGCGATTCTCCTGCCTCAGCCTCCCAAGTAGCTAGGACTACAGGTGTGCACCACCATGCCTGGCTAATTTTATATTCAAAGTTTTAAAGAAAAACTATGTGCACAGTGATGTGGAAGAAGGAGAGACACTGAGAGATTATTTTACTCAGAGAAGTGGTTCAGAACCACAATCCCTCTCTCTGGTGCCAAACACGATTGAAAGTCATGACTCCAAAGTACTTCTCATGTGCCTGGCATAATAATGCAAACAAAACTCTATAAGAAAGATCTCATTTCATTCTCAGTGACTTCATAACATGGTTTCAACTGTTATCCCCACTGATGGCCAAGGAACCTCTGTGCCAGAGAGGTTAAGAAACCTGTCCATGGTCACCCAGCAGGTCAATGGCAGGGCTGGAATTTGAGCCCAGGCAGGCCAACTCCATTCAGGATTACCCCACTCTCCTGAAATGTCTCAGCCGACAGCCACATCCTAATGTGCAGTGAATGCAGGAATGGGCCCGGTGCCCAGGCTCAACACTGAGCAAAATCCAAATTGGACTGGCATCTCACCAAAGGGCTTCTTCACTCCAAAATGTCAGCGACGTGGCTGAGGATGGAGGTGAACCGCGCAACGGGCATTCCGGGCCCCTCTTGCCAAAATGTCAACAGAGACCCTCATAGACTTTGTTAAGTGCAAACCCAACAGTAGCTATAACTCCTGCTGAGTTAGGCAAGAGAGAGAGAAAATGGAGAAAGAGAGGGGAAGCGGTGGTGAGGACAGGGCAGACATTATCTCTAGTCTGCTCCTGGCTGCGATTTGCCCAGTGTAAGCTGACTGGTTGCCCCTTCAGGTGTGGGAGGTTTCGCAACAGTGACTAGTGTATTTAGGAAATGCCTGGACATGCGGAGCCCCCAGCTATGCTCTTGACTCCCCCAAGACTGAGCAGTCTCCTAGAGTTCTACCATAGCAGCCACCTGCAGCCCCTGACACCTTCAAGCCCCAGGACCAACTTGCCTTCCCCCTGAACATTAGTCCTGCATTCTCTGGCTGCTGGCAGCTCAGGGTTGCATGTTTTCAGATGAAGGAGGGCAGAGAATAGAACTCATTGCTAAAGGAGCAAGCACCTCCCTAAGGCAAAAGCTCCCAACCCAGACCCTTTGGCCTTAAGGTGTCATGCAAGGTGTGCAGTATTTGCATTGGCATCGGTAGCAAATCCAGTGCTTTCACTGCATTCTCAGAGTGGCCACTCCTGCTTTGGTGGATGAGTTGGGGAGGAGGAGAGATGCCTTAGGGAACAACCCTCCTCTGACTCCTCAGTGAGATCCAGGACGTCCGCCCCAGTTACAGTGAAAACTGAGCATCAAATTGTCAGCAGCTGTGAGCTGAGTGTCTCCAGCAGGAGTTAAGGCAGAGTGGCCTTCCCAGATGCCAGAGACCAGGCTGGGAAGAGGTTCTGCCCAGGGGAACTCGGGCATCTGGGGCCTGCTACACACTCTCTCTTTCTTCTTGCACTATTGTTTTCTTTTTATAAATGTACCAAGTATTCAAATAATAGATAAGTCCTTACTCATGGGAACATGTCTACATGGGGACAACAGTCTGCAAGATATGTGAGGGCGCGTGCACACTCAGCTGTGCTGTTGTTATTCCAATTTTCCTAGGAGAGGCTCAGCTGACCCTGTGGTCTAACACTGGGCAGGCAGGTAAAGGGAGGCCAAGAAAGGTGGGAGCCCAGGTGGTACAGCGTGAGGAGGCCGGGGAAGGTCCGATGACAATGACCGGGCCATCCGATTGTTTTCAGAGCAGCCAAAGAGGAGGGTGTAGAGGCCACGCCCAAGTCTGAGCCCCTGAACTGACCAGGCCTAGCCGTGTTGCCGAATCTCTGCCTCCAACACCCACTTGTCATCGTCTTAGGAATTAATTACCCAATTGCCCCGAGCAGAATGCAGGAACTTGCAGAAGGCCGCAGGCGATTAGCAGAGGCCTGCAGAGCAAGGGAAGCGGCGTTTGATGCCGAACAACAGAGAAATCCTCGGAGGATGGATTCTGATATTCTAACACTGACTACAGCTCTGACTGCGTCTGAAGCTACTAGTCCTCTGACAGAAGAACTTGGTTATGATGAGTTCATCAACAGAGAATGGTTAAGTAGTGAAACTACTTCAAGAGAATCTCTGCCGTCAGGACAGTCTTGTACAAATCTAGTAACTTGATTTTTTTTAATCCAAGTATATGAGAATAAGGCAACGCACAGTTGAAAACAAACAAAAAAAAGAGCTTATCATGATAAAGAAAAGAAATAAGAAAAAATCAAAGCATCATGAGACTCCTCTGGTGTTCTTTGTTCTTCGAGTTTGCATTGTTCCAGATGCTTTCTCCTGAATTGTGGGAAATCTCCCAAAATTGCTTCACCAAAATGTAAAGGCTGGGTTTGTAAAATTGAAGCTTGATTAAGAATTGACAATAATGAAGCCCACGATGACTGAAGGAATTAGCAAAGAGATGGCTGGAATAAGGAGTTACAGCCCAAGCAAGACAGGGAGGCTATGGAGAAAACTTGACATTTGAAGACTATGTGCCCTTTTCATGTCAGATGCAACAGAAGTTTTTGTTTTTGTTTTTGTTGTTTTTTGGGTTTTGTTTGTTTGTTTGTTTGAGATGGAGTCTCGCACTGTCTCCTGGGCTGGAGTGCAGTGGCATGATCTCAGTTCACTGGAAGCTCTGCCTCCCGGGTTCAAGCGATTCTTCTGCCTCAGCCTCCCAAGTAGCTGGGATTACAGGTGTGTGTCACCACACCCGGCTAACTTTTTGTATTTTTAGTAGAGACAGGGTTTCACCGTGTTAGCCAGGATGGTCTCGATTTCCTGACCTCGTGATCCGCCCACCTTGGCCTCCCAAAGTGCTGGGATTACAGGCGTGAGCCACCGCGCCCCGCCGCAACACAATTTTTTAGTGAAGAATTAGGTTTTCATTTTCAGAGGCATTTCAAATAGCAAGGAGAGTGCACATTGCTTGTATTATATGATACATCACGTTTTCAAGGGTATCTGCTGGCTGGGCATAGTGGCACATGCCTGTAATCCCAGCACTTTGGGAGACTGAGGCAGGAGGATCGCTTGAGGCCAGGAGTTTGAGACCAGCCTGGACAAATAGTGAGACCCTGTCTCTACAAACAATAAAATATTAGCCAGATATGGTGACCACTGCACTGTAGTCCCAGCTACTTGGGAGGCTGAGGTGGGAGGATTGCTTGAGCCTGGGAGGTGAAGGCTGCAGTGAGTTATGTTGGTGCCACTGCAGTCCAGCTTGGGCAGCAGAGCAAGCCCCTGTCTCAAAAAATAAAAAAAGAATATCTGAAATGTTGTGGGGGGGAAAGCCTATAGAGTAAAAAATTAAAGTTCTTTACTCTCCATCTGTGCCAATGGTTTAGTGTGCAATCTTACAGAACTTTATATATTTGCATACATACAGATAAAAATCTGCTACATATATCATTCCATCACTTACATTCTTTATTTAACAATTTGTCGTAAAGATTGTTTTTTAGCCATGTCTGGCTAATTTTTTTCATTTTTTGTAAAGACAGGGAGGGGCTCACTATGTTGCTCAGGCTGGTCTCAAATTCCTGAGCTCAAGTGATCCTCCCTCCTCAGCCTCCCAAAGCTCTGGGATTACAGGCCCAGGCCACCTTGCCCAGCCTGTCATAAAGATCTTTTAATAAAAGATCTTTAATTGCTTCTTTTAATTGCTGGCTGCCTCCACTGAATCACTTACCGAAGCCCTGAGAGGGAATCACAGTTCGCAGGTGATTGGGATGCCGGGGGACGCACCTGAGGGCTGGGCTGAGTTTCACTTAAAAAAAGGTCCAGGCCAGATGAGGGGACATCAGATCACTCAGTGGCCTCCTTCTCACCAGATTCTGTCTGACTCTCTTCGGGGCTGAGCTAAAGGCAGATGCTGCATTCAAATTCCATATCCTTCCAGCTGGAGCTCCCCATTCCTAGAGAAACCTCAGCTTTGTGTCTCCCACGGAGACACTAGAATGGGCAAGCCTGAGTGCGTGGCTTTGAGGGACAGAGTCCCCACCCACAGAGCTCTCACAGCTGGCAGCCACCCCGACACCCACAGCTCTTTCAGAATGGAAAGCCCGGGGCCTTGCAGCTCGCCCTGCTCCGAACACTGTGCGAGGCTTTGTAATGAGCTACCCTGGAAGTGTTTTTCAAGAAGACGGTGATCTCATTACACAAATCCACCATCAGTTGAGGGAAGAGAGGCAGGGCTGGCTTTCTAAGGCCACTGTATATGACCTAAGGAGCCCACATTGCCAAAAAAATAGTCACCCACTGATTTCAAACACCCACTTCTTTGCATGAAGGGCTGCGTTCCCCTCATCACCACCCCCACCCTTTTCATCCCTGGTACAGCTACCTCCAGCCATTCCCCCTAGGGGTCTTCCCTGGGACTCATCTGCCACTTGTTCCTCCTCAGCTGGGGTCACCAACCAAGTTGGGAACAAGTTATTCCTCCTTAATAACAAGAGGCAAAGCCCTATCCAAAAACAGGGGTCTGCCTTATTCACTAAATCCAGTTTTCAAAAAAAGACCCTCATCGGACTCATTTATAAATGATTTAATTTTAGGGATTGCTAGCTAGATGAGTAGATAGGAAGGATAAGAAGCTAAGTATGGGAGAAGAATGTGCAAGAATAAGGTGAAAGAATGTTCTCCATTCACAATGCTGTTTACATGCATCCAGCTGGCTGGCAACGCCGCTGAGCACTCAGCCTTCAGTGGACCTTCCAAACCATGGCAGGCACTCGGAGTCCACAGGGACGCAAAGGACCATGCTCTACCTCTCAGTAGGCTGTGTAGGCCAACCACTCTGGAATCCACAGGCACCAGTCACCAGCCCCACCCTCACCTTCGAGCCAGGCTCCTGTGGTCACCGTCTCATGGTGATGGCAAAAAGCTCCTCTTTTGCTCCCTGTGACCCCCTGCCCCCTCTTTGGTGTGGCTGGGGGCAGGAGGGAGGCCCTCACTGTGCTCTGGCCTCAAGGTAGAGTAGCCACAAGACAATCACCCTGTCAAACTTCAGCGGAGTTCCCGTGTGCTCTTCTGGTAAAAGGGCTTCTTTGTAGCATTGAGCTGTATATGCAACGTATCCTCTTGTGTGTGAGTGTGCATGTGTATGAGTGTGTGTGTGCCTGCGTGTGTGTGTATGTGTGTTAGAGATACACACATATAGGCCCCAGGAAGGAGTGAGGAAGGGGAAAGAAACCAGCATTTATTGCACTATGTATAAATTTTCAAAATTCATCCGTGACTAACACAAGAAGCTGTGTCCCACCTGAACAGGTAAACTTGCGTAGTTATTTCAGAACAGCAGCCCCATCTCCATCCCAATCAGGGTAATATTTTCCACTGAACTGAGTCAATAAGGTAAACAAACCCATTTGCCCAAGAGGCAAACAACAAGGTAGGTTAGAAACATAGCTTTCTGGATACTGCTCCTAGTGAAAGCATCTGGCAAAAAAAAAAAAGAAGAAGGAAAAAAAAAGCATTTCAAATGAAACCCAGGGGACAAATACCTTTAAAAGTTGCAAAGGAGAAAGGCGTCTACACAAAGCAGCATGTTCCAGGATTCCCCATTATTTCAGGACAGACCCATTCAAGGATCAGAGTGGGTCTGTGAACTCAGAGTGACCGTGCCTCACCCCGCCTGGCCCAGCTCTCTCTGAGTGCAGTCACAGGCCTTCCCCACCAGAAAAATCCATCAGCTCCTCTTCAGGCTTCACTCGGGGCACTGACTTCAGCTATCGTCCAGCCATGTAGCTTCAGAGACACAGAAACTTAAAGCTCACTGACCTACAGTATAACCCAAAACCTTCTTGGTTCAATTTTTCTTACCAATGTTTTTTAATGTTCAATCAATGATTTTAGAAAGAAATGAACCACTTTATTTTGAGACTGAGTCTAGCTCTGTCACCAGGCTGGAGTGAAGTGGCAGGATCTTGGCTCACTACAACCTCTGCCTCCTGGGTTGAAACAATTCTCCTGCCTCAGCCTCCCAAGTAGCAGGGACTACAGGCACACGCCACCATGCCCAGCAAATTTTTTTGTATTTTTAGTAGAGATGGGGTTTCACCATGTTGGCCAGGATGGTCTCAATCTCTGGACCTCAGGTGATACGCCCACCTCAGCCTCCCAAAGTGCTGGGATTACAGGCGTGAGCCACCGTGCCTGGTCCATGAACCACTTTTAAAGCTTCTTAGAACAGAAAGTTATTTTAACTTGGGACCTAAGGAAATGCAAAATGAGGCCATTTCTAGAATGCTGTACCCCTATTCTCCCCCATCACACACATCTCAAAAAAAAAGGAAAACCCTAGTTGTGATGTAGTCTCCATGACTAAAGCAACCACAGATTTCTCCATTCAGAATAATGGTGTTACATAAAGCGGCTTCTTCTAGTATGACATCGAAAGCACATAGAGTAATCTTCTATTATTTCCAACTTTGGATAACATTTTCCCTTATTTCTTCCATTTCTTTCCCCTATTTGTCTGCAAATCCGTAGGATGTAACTAAGGAGGTAAGTTTTTCAGATTGGCCCTAAGGAAAAAACTAAGTCCCACAGGAATAAGCAGTTGTTTGCAACCTCAGTGTAAATTACATGCAAAGCAAGAGCTGGAGCGGAATCAGGGGCACCTACCACAGGGAAGTCAAGGGCATGTGGTATACCAGGTAAACCAGGCCTCTGCCCCGCACCTCGCAGCAGCTTTGCTGAGACCGGAACTGACGTCTCCTGATTCCCAACCAGCACCTCAGCTCCACAGACAAACCGCAAGACTGAGTACAGAGCCCCCCAGACAAAGGTGGAGAATGTGTCCTTGCAGAGCAAACCCCCAGTCTTAATTACAGACCTGGCAGGGTGCCGGCCAGGATGGATTGCTGGATCACATCAGTAAGACAACTTAACAATTCGCATTTGTAAGACAACTTTTTCTCTAATAAATTGTCTTTAAATAAATTTATTAAGAGAAAACAGGAAGTGAATAAGCAAAGAGAAATAGCTGGTCTAACTTGAATTGGCAGAATGGTAGAATGGTATTCTCTCCTTACCTTTTGAACAGTCTTTCCTGAGAAATGCATGCTAATAAAATAGAAATTGGTGGGAGGAGTAGGTTATGTCTTTTGTATACATTCTATGGTACTTGACATCATTTTGTAGGTTTGGGTATATATAGCTAACACAGGAGACTTTTTATCTCCTCCATCAAAACATCATTTTCAAAATATTAGGAACTTGGCTCTCATACCCTCATACATGTAGCAAGCACAATTCTTTAACTCATTACTGAGGGAACCCATAGGATGGAAAAGCTGATTCTCAAAGCATTTGAGGAACACAGATGTATCGTATGTCAGAAAGAATGCTGAAAAAAGTTTGCTAAGTTACATACAAAACTGGTTAATGTTCTATGGCACAATACAACTGTAATGTTTGGGTAATCTTTTGAACCTGAAGGAAATCAATCACGCTTGGCCGATTTAAACATAAAAGAGCTGGCTGGATGCGGTGGCTCATGTCTATAATCCCAGCACTTTGGGAGGCCAAAGTGGGTGGATTGCTTGAGCTCAGGAATTCAAGACCAACCTGGGCAACATAACAGAACCCCACCTCTACTAAAAATACAAAAATTAGCCAGGCGTGGTGGTGCACACCAGTGGTCCCAGCTACTTGGGAGGCTGAGGCAGGAGAATCACTTGAACCCGGAAGGCAGAGGTTGCAATGAGCTGAGATCATGCCACTGCACTCTAGCCTGGGTGACAGAATGAGTGAGAGAAAAGAAAAGAAAAGAAAAGAAAAGAAAGAAAGAAAGAAAGAAAGAAAGAAAGAAAGGAAGGAAGGAAGGAAGGAAGGAAGGAAGGAAGGAAGGAAGGGAGAAAAGAAAAGAGAAAAGAAAAGAAAGAGAGAAGGAGGGAGGGAGGGAGGTGAAGGGGAGGGGAGGGGAGGGGAGGGGACGGGAGGGGAGGGGAGGGGAGGGGAGGGGAGGGAAGGGAAGGGAAGGGAAGGGAAGGGAAGGGAAGGGAATCATTTGCATCTGTACTGGACAAAATTGTATCCAGCTTATCTCCCACAAGTTGACAGGCAGCCAGTTACTAGTAAACAGTATGTGAAGCAAAGTTACATTCTCCTTGAGATTTAAATAATCCTTGAGTGGATCTAATAGACAATGCTCTGATCTGGACTTTAAAGGACATAGAGTCATCCTCTTTCCTTATTTCCAAGTTTTGGATAATTTTTCTGAACACCTCTTAGGCTCCTTGCTGGCAAGGCAGCTTCTAGGAAGTCCATGATAATGCCTGAGCTATAGCTTCACGACCAGAACTGGTGTGAACCTAAACACACAGATAGCAGACAAGCAAAGCACAGATTTACTATGTAGTGCCATGAAAATGATCTATGTATTTAAAAATCAGCAGAATATTAAATTACTCATTTCAAATGGCCATGTACAACTGACAGCAAAATGTAAAGAAATTCAAACACCCAGGTACAAACTGGTACCTTTGTACATCTTTACATTTTATCCATCATTGTTTTTTTCCCACTTAGCTTTAAAGAGAAAGTTCAACTTTTTCTCTAAAGGTCAGCCTGCATCCTCAGGCTTAGCCATTTGGGTTACGGTTACAGAATGAGAGTTAAGGAATTGGAGCAGGGCCTGGGATCATGGAACAAGGGACTGGCATGGGAGTTGACTGGACCCCAGGAGAAATCTGAAAACCTATGGTTAAAGCATATCCTGAGTCTGGAGTACAGCTCTTATAACGAGTCATCCAAGGCACTGCCAGTCAAGCATCCCTGTCCTGCAACAACCGAGCTAGAGGCCTCTCCCTCAGTCATCCTTCCTTTGCATTTCTGTGGCCGCCCCTCTACTCCATGCCTTCATCATGCCATGTCACTATTACCACCGTAGAATCCAATCCTCCCATGCCAGTCCCTCCAAACACCTCCAAACACACAATGAATCACAGCATAATTCATTTCATTTATTCAGCAAATACTGAACAGCTTCCAAATGCCAGCACTGTTCTAGGACCTGGGGATAATCGGAAAATAAGATGAAGTTCTTTACTCTTACATATTTCCATAAAAGCAAGGGGGTTCCCACAAAAGTGATGTCAAGTGGTAATAAGTAAAAAACGAGCAAACAACAACAACAAAAACTCAAGCAAGTTTAGTTAAGGGGTCAAGAATGATGAAAAGGTAGGTTTCTGTTTTACTCAAAGTGACTGAAAAAGCCTCTCTGATAAGGGACTTGGAGGGAATGAAACAGCTGGCTGTGAAGATGTGGGAAGGAGAGTGTTCTGGGTAGGGAAAGCAGCTGGTGCCAAGGCTCTGGGGCAGGTGCATGCTGCTCGTGAAGGAGTGCCTGGGAGTCTGGTGAAGGAGGAGAATGGGGTGGAGTAAACTAAGTCAGAGATGAGGATACAGAGGCACCACAGGCCACGCAGAGCTGTGACGGAAAGGACTGTGAATGTCATTCTGAAGGAAACGGGAAACGATTTGATGGTTTTGAGCAGGACAGTGAAATGACCTGACTTGTTCTTAAAGGCTACAGAGAATAGACAGTGTGGAGCAAGGGGAGAAGCAGGGAGTCCCACAGGGCAGCACTTGCTGGGGTCCAGACCAGGTGCAATGTGACTGTGAGTGCTGGAGTGGGGACAAGGGGCTGGATTCTGGATGTATTTCAAGGGGAGAGTCAACAGGATGGCCACAGGTCAGGTGTCAGGTGTGAGAGGAAAAAGACATCGATGATGACTCCGAGGCTGTCGCCCTGAGTAACTGGAAGAACAGAATGGCTTTTTCCTGTGATGGGGTCAGTAGGGGCTGGAGGAAGAGCATGCTGGAAAGGGATGTGGATAAAGAGTTCAGGCTGGTGTATGTTGAGTTGGAAATGCCTAAGAGAGAAGCAGAAGAAGATGGATGTAGACGGTGACTATTTCCACCCCCAGGTCCCAGACTGGAGACACACTGAACAGTGGAGAGCCTGTGTGGGTATCTGACATGTTCACACACACACACACCCCACACACACAGTGGGTAGTGCATGTGCCTGACATTCTGAGGGCTGACAGACATAGAGGCATCTGCTGGCAGGCAGACAGAGGCCTGCAGAAGGAATCTAAGGCAGACACAGCACTCGCCTCAACAGTGAGGAGAGAGAGAGGAGGAGGGCTTGCAGGGAGGCTGGAGCCCTCTAGTGTATGTGTCTAAAACAAGGCTTCATGCGCTCACCTCAAGAACCATCCCAGATGCCCTAGGTCCAAGCGCTTTGGGCTGATCTCTGTGGGGCCGTGTCTGGTCATCCGTCTGCCTCCCAAGCCCACGTGCCAGTGCCTCAACAGGACAGCCTTCAGCCAGGCCAGGCCCAAGGCTCTCGGCCCATCCATACCCCTGCATACCTGGGCTCACTCCTCCAACCCCTCCACTCTGCTGACACACTCCCACTACAAGACCCTGGTCCACAGAGCCCTCCGTGATAGCTCCTTGGCCAGGCCAAGCTTTGAACCTTTACTGCTGACTGGCAGCTATCAGCTGTGGTTCTCTAACAGAGTTCTTTCTTCCGGGTCCTGGCATCCCTCGTGCTTGGCACAGTACCCTGCACAGAGTGGGCATTCAGTAGAAATTTGCTGGTGAGAGCTGCATGAGCAAGGAGAAGGCCACCCATCATGCCACCCTTGGTGACCAAAGCCTCTGGGTGGCCTTCAGTCTGCAGCCAGCTTGAAGCAAGCCTGCCACAGGTGAGCCTTCACCTTCTCAGGCAGCACTTGCCTGCTTCTCTCATGAGAGAAAACAAAAACAAAAACAAAAAAACACAGACTTTGTCCTTCTACGTGATGACTTTCCGCTCTGTTTGGCCACACTGAAGTTGGAAGAGAAAAAGATGAAGCTCACCTGGGGCCCGATCCCTCATCCCCTGGGACCATCCTTTCCAATCAGAAGATGTGCCCCCTCTCAGATGAAAGGGCCTTTCTCTAACTGTAAATTATTTCTAAATTGTATATCCTGTCCAATGTGTTTCAACATTCAAAGAAAATACGTCTCCCACAATTATAGTCATTTTGTAACTAAAGCCCGCAGTTTCCCAGCTCCCTCCAAACCTACTTATTTTAAAACAGAAAAATACTGCCGTTTCCCATCATGTTCTTTATTGAGTAATCCAGAGTGTGTACAGTAGGCCACTCTATTCTCTGGATTATTCTAGGAATACCAGATTAAAGACAAATTAGGTAATATTGCAGGCTGCTCCCTTGCAGGCATTTCGAGAGCTGGATTTTAAGGGAGGTGAAGGCCCGCCAGTGTGCACACCGCAGTTGGCAGGGACCTTGTCGCTGCAACCAGCAGGGGTGAAAGGAAGAGAAAAGAAGTGAAAGATGAAGAGAAGGTGACCTCAAGGGAGACTTGGCGCTGAAGGTCAGAGGCCTGTGTGCCCACTGGGTGGAGGGGATGAGGCCTCAAAGGGTCTTTCAATACTAACACGGGATCCCTAAACCTTTTCAGAAAACAAGCTGTAGTCCATACGTTTACTCTGTGACATTTTCTAGTGTCTAGTCACTTCTCTAAATGAAAAAATAGAGACCCTCCCTCCCCCAAAACACAGCTTAGATGGAGTGAACCTCACCTAAACTTGGCCCTGGACCTAGTGATTAGTAAATCACACTGGCTGAATCCCACAAATCCCATGATCTGGGGATACAATGGGACACACAGGCATGAGTCCATGCCTGCCATGAGATACATCAAGTTGACAAAGCTGGCTCTTGAGGAAGAGGTTAAAGGACTCTAAGAGAAGCAGCCATAATGCACTTCCAATGGTATGGAAACACTGTGGGCAAATGTATTCCAGGATTTGTGACTCAGGCACCAAAAACCAGATGCCCCCAGCACATCCAAAGGGTGTGTCAGTTCTAAAACCCTCGCAAGAAGCTCTAGCCCAAGGCCAAGTCAGCAAGTGTTTGACACTCCCATGCTGTTTCTTTCAATTGCGAGTCGGTTTTCACCAGGTGTGAGACACGGAGCCATTGACTCTAAGCCAAGTATTCAGCAGAAACCTTCCTTAGCCTCAGACACTTGTCATCTTGGATTTAAACTTGACCCCGCCTGCCCCTAACGCACGTGGGATAAAGGTCAGGAAACGAAACAGTTCAGCATGCCGTAAATGTCTCCATGATTAATCACTTTCCACCCGATTTGACAACCACAGATATTTTTTCCTCTCGCCTTCAGGCATTATCTCAACACAGGATGAACTCGAAACTGCCATTAGAGGCACACATGCGAACCTGATTCAGAGGACACGCAGAAGACCTGACTCACATGCATCGTGGCGGATGTATCTGCTTTCCTCAGGAGGAGGATAATGCAAACTCTTCTGCAAAACCCAGAGTTCAAAACTAGAGTCATCTCATCCATAGACATGGTATCATCTTTTGCCTAAAAGCCAAGTAACTTAATTACATGTGGGAGTCAATAAAATGTCTCTAAAACCATTGCACAGATAGATATCCATGGATTTCAGGAAGGCCAGTTATATGGTCTAGGCTAAAAGTGTTGATTTTGAATACAAATGGTATAGCCACCTTGGAAAACAGTTTTGCAGTATCTTACAAAGTTTTAACATATGTCTATCCTGTGACCTAGCAAACCCACTCCTGAATATGAACCAAAGAGAAATGAAAGTAGAACTCCCCACAAAGTCCTGTACATTAATGTTTATAGCAACTTTATTCCTAATTGCCCAAAACTGGAAACAACTCGAATATTCACCAACTGGTAAATGAAAAACCAAATTGTGCTACCTCTGTACAATGCATTACTACTCAGTAATAAAGAGAAATCACACAGTGACATGGACAAGGCTCCAAAATATGCTGAATGCAAGAAGCCAGACATAAAAGAGTACACACTTCTTGATTCCATTAACATGAAAGACTAGAAAGGCAAAACTAGACTCACAGACTGGTTGCTGAGGCCAAAGGGAGGGGAGAAACTGCAAAGAGGCTCGAGGGAACTATTGGGGGTGATGAAGTGTTCTGTATCTCATTGTCGGGTGGTTATACAAATGCAAACAGTTACCAAAATTCATTGTGTGCACTTAAAATAGGTAAATTTTATCTTTTTTTTTTTTTTTTTTTTTTTGGAGACGCAGTTTCGCTCGCACTTGTCACCCAGGCTGGAGTGCAATGGCGCTATCTCGGCTCACTGCAACCTCTGCCTCCTGGCTTCAAGCAATTCTCCTGCCTCAGCCTCCCAAGTAGCTGGGATTACAGGCACGTGCCACCACGCCCGGCTAATTTTTGTATTTTTAATAGAGACAGGGTTTTGTGTGGGGCTGGTCTCAAACTCTCGACCTCAGGTGATCCACCCACCTCGACCTCCCAAAGTGCTGGAAATACAGGTGTAAGCCACCTAGCCCAGCCGTAAATTTTATCTTATATAAATTATATCTCAATATTTTCAAAAGGGCCCACCTCCTTACTCCGAAAAATCAGTCTATAGGCCTCAGCCCTGTCCTTTAACTTACTTTCAGTCTACACCTTTGTTCCTGCAGAACGCTGTGGTTACCTGGAACGGGGCTGGGAGGGAGACCCTGATGTTCTGTTCCTTCTAGAAGAGGGTGGTCCATGGCAGGATGATAACACACCCTCAGTGAGCCAGAATGAGCACAGCCTGGCCACCAGTGCATCCCGGAATAAGCAAACACACATAAAAGATTTTACCTCATAGATGATGCACTCTATCACCCACAAAACATAAGCCCCCAAAGACAATGGGGTGAGTGCAAGGTGATTACTCCAAGGTGAAGCAAACATGGAGCAGGGTGTTACGGGTGCCCGGAGAGAGGCACAGGCCTCGAGGATCAACCCTGTGTGTTCCTGGACTATGAAAGGAAGGTCCATGTGAGCTCTAGAAATTTGTGAGAAATTACACAAAGGATCCGAGGAGTAGGAGCCGGGAGCATCTGCCCCAGGGAGGCATTCAAAGGTGAGAGGCAGAGGGACAGGAACATGGCAAATGTGAGTGCAGAGACCCCTCAACCCTGTAAGGTCTGGCCAGATTCCACAGGATCAAAATTCTCCCTTGCTGTTTCACTCGAACACAAACCACGAAGCTTCTTCTTATTTAGAGAACAAACAATGAAGGTTGGCTTTGTTATTTTTGCAAATTTACACATGCACGGAGCCTGGGAAAATTCTTGAGCAAGAGCATGAGGTGTGGACAGTGGTGTTTGCAGGTCACCACACTGACCACACACCCGTCCACTGCCTGGTTCTCCTGGCAAGGTTTTGGGCAAACACAGGAGAACCAGTGCCACCGCATTACATGCCAACCGTTCGGACCAATTTCTGTGAAATAACAAAGAAATCATCACAGGTTCTCTTGAAGCCCAAACCCTGAATAATACCAACAATACCACAATAGCCCCCAAATTAAAGGCTGCAGCTGCCCGGCATGAAAGGGCTGCAGGGCACCCCGGCCATGGTCCTCAGTCTCTGCTGAGCATTGCCCACATACCTGGTTTTAAAAGCCACAGGGAGGTGCTGGGCCTTTGCAACTCCTGTAAATTCACAAGAAAAGAGAGAAAGGTCACTAATGCTCCAACTCAGCAAAGAATATACAACTTTTGCATTTCCCAGGGTTCCTTGTCAAATGACCTGGCCCCATTTTTTGCTCCTTACCATTTTTCTTGTTCCTTAGCCCCTCCATAAGAAGAACAGATGATTATGTCCTGCTCTAGGTCCCTTAACAGAAGAAGAGCTGCAAGAAGGGAAAAGATTTAAGCTCTGGGATAAAATGTGCAGGGTTGTATAGGCCGTGAGTAGCAGAGCTGGGCCTGCATGCAGTCTTTCCTCTCTCTACATGGCAGCAAAGGAGGATTCTACATCTCCAAGCCCTCCCTGCAGCCCATACCTGCAGATATAATGCGTTTGTATTTTAAATCTCCTGCCCTAAAGCTGAGCTTTAGTCAGGGGTCAGCTGAACAGAATTAGGGATGCATGTTGTGTGGGAAGCCATGATTAAAAGGAATATGCCCTTGAGACCCCCGGGGCTGCTGTGGACTGCAATCCCCCCACAGCCTTCCTGTGCCCTTAGCCTCAGCCTCCGTTTTCCCATCTGTAAAGTGGGTGTTCTGCGTGTTGTAAACAATGAATGCTATGAAATCAGTGCAAGGCAAGCTACAAATTGTTAGCCAAGATTATTGTACGAAACTTCAAACTGTTAGCCAAGATTACTACTCGGACAAACTTACCAAAGTTATTAGCTTCCATTTAATTAAAAGCCATTACCTCAGATAGCCCATTCATCTTTATTAACCAACAAACATCTCAAAGCTTATAATACTCAGTTAATTATGTGATTTTTTAAATAATAAAATTGGAATTCTCCTGCTCTTGAATAAGTTGTACCTGCCTCTGGGCAGCCAGGCTGTTGGCTGAGTGCAAGAATAAAATAGAAATCTGGGCAGGAGGTCGGGCACAGTGGCTCACGCCTGTCATCCCAGGACTTTGGGAGGCCGAGGTGGGCACATCACCTGAGGTCAGGAGTTCCAGACCAGCCTGGCCAACATGGGGAAACCCCATCTCTACTAAAAATACAAAAATTAGCTGGGCATGGTGGCAAGCACCTATAGTCCCAGCTACTCGGGAGGCTGAAGCAGGAGAATCACTTGAACCTGGGAAGCAGAGGTTGCAGTGAGCCAAGATCGCACCACTGCACTGCAGCCTGGGTGACAGAGTGAGACTCCGTTTCGAAAAAAAATTTGGGCAGCTACTGGGTAGGGACTTATCCCTTTGCCAGGGAGTGACTTTATTTGGAATAATATTCAGTCACAGGAATCTTCTGGGATGTCACCAGACCATTGCTTTGAAGAGTAGACAGCCTCAGACCCTCTGGGGACAGGAGCAAGGCAGGCTGATTTATTAACCACATGGCGTCACCCTCTTGCCCCAGAGGTTAGATGGTTCCAGGATCCTCCGTCACCAAGACTAGATCCCAGAACTAGAGCCTTGCAGCTGGACCACTCCCCTCTCTCCGTGGCAGGGAACATGTCCACCAGCCCAGTGGCTGCCACTGGTAGCTGTTGGCTAAATGCAGGTGGGTGAGAGACAAACCCTGCCTGCTCACTTGCCCTAACCTGCTCCTCTCTGCCTAAACTTGGGCTTCACAACACTCTTCTCTCAACTTGTACTGAGCAAGTGGCTAGTGGAGAAAGAAAGTATCTTAGCCTGTAACAGAATACCACATACAGGTGGTTTATTTTAAAAAGAAAACAAAAAA